>NC_000011.10:120505757-120808788 GCF_000001405.40 Homo sapiens | reverse complement strand
TGTTTATACTGCACAGAGTACACGTGAAGCCCTGGCCATCCTAGGGCAAGGCAAACAATTGCCTCATCACTTCCAAAGAACCATCTCCTCTCTTGTGCCAAAGCTGTCAGGAACGCATTCCATTCTGAACTCTCTGGGAGTAGACAGGGGACTAAATGGATTGGCCTTGCTGGCTCTTGAGCCAAGGAAGAAAGTGTGTGAGGGCATGAGTGCCACGCCCCATGACGGGCCCCCTGGTGTCCAAGAACTCAAGACCGCCATCGCCTCTCCTCACCAACAGCGTATCACGCAAAGCCTTCACCTGGTCCCAAGCCACCGTGCAAGCAGCAATACCATTTACTGGGGCTTTCCAAGTGCCAGGCACATGTGCCACCTGAATCTCTACAACAACCCTGAGAGGGAGGAGTCACTATATGAATTCTACTACTACTAAGTAACATTTAAGCACCATCTCATTTAATCTTCACAACAACCTCATGAAGTGAGAACTCTTCTTATTCCCATTTTACAGAGGAGGGCTGTGAGACATAGGAGAGAAGCCCAGGGTGCTGGTAGAGCCAGGATTAGAATCCTGGTGCATTGAACTCCAGAACTTGCTCTACACTGAAGCCAGGATCTCTCCTCTGCCCCTATGTACACTCTGTTTCAGCCATACTGTCTGTCACTGCATCCCAATGTATCCCATTTTTTTTCCTGCCTTAAGCCTTTGCTCATGCTATTATGCCATCTACCTAGATGCCTTCTTCTCTCTCTTCATCAATCAACATTCTAAGGTCTGGCCAGGGGCCTCACCTGACCCCATAGCCTGCTCTGCCTACCTCCTAGTTCTGACCTCCTGCTCCCCTGTCTGTGCCACTCATTGGCACGTTCTCTGGAGAGCCACCTAAAGATGGTGTCGTTTTGCAGATGTGTACATCTGAACTTCCTGGAGAAGATCTTGAACCTCAGTTTCCCCATCCGTAAAAGGAAGGGGTTGGACCAGATGATTTCTAAGTACAGCAATTCAATGCATGGCTGAGCCCACATCATGCCTATGATGCGGGTAGCTCCGAGAAGGGGAGTAAGGAATGTTTGCTGAATGACTCATCACTATTTGTATGCCTTTCTCTTCTGGCTTCTTACTTTTTTTTCCTTAAGCCAACTTCAACTGACTCTGTTGAACTGAAGGAGGGATGCTAGCCCTCACTTCTCAGAGGCAGCTCTGAATCACCAGAGGTCATGCTCGTGGAGCCTGTGAGAAGCTTGGAAGCCTGTGCAGGAGGTGCAGCCATGTGGAGCTGGAACGCTACGCGCCGGGCACTGGAGCCACAGGAGGCCCGGATAACCAGGGCGCCTCTAGTTTCAAGGGGAAACTGTGCGGACAGCTGATAGCATGCTTGGCCTCACAGAGACAAACTGAGGCACAGGGGAGGGGTTGACAGGGAAGCCCCTGCTTCTGGGTCTGCAGGAAATTAAACCTCAAGCTGGGACGGAGCCTCAGGTTGTTTGAATGGTAAAGGGTGGTGCTTAGTTAAGCTCTAATTCATTAACCGCAGGAGAAACGCTGATCTATAGGAACAGAGGAGGTAGCTTGTGGTAGCTCCCTGCAGAAGAAAGGCTCAGGTTCAGGTAAGACACGGAAGGGAAAGAAGGAAGGGCCAGGTGGGACAGGAGCTGACCTAATAGGTCTTGTCCATCTCTGTTATTTTAGATCTGTAGGCTGTGTAGAAGGAGTTGGAAAGTCAAACACCAAGATCCTGGGGCGATAATGGTGGAAGGGCAGAGGTGGGGGATGTCAGATGCAGGCTGGAGAAAGCTTTACAAGTGACCCTCACTTTAAATAAACCCATTATATGAAAATCTGTCTATTTGAACCCAAGAGAACAGGGGGTGATTTCTCCTCATATCTTTCCAGTTTCCAGGCTGGCTATTAATTAATGCCCCGTGTGATACTTTCCATCTCAGAGCCTCGCCTTCAACCATCAGACGAGGGGGCTGACCTCTGGCTTCCAGCATCGTTAGCTTCTTTACACTTCATAATCTTTGATTCTTGAAATAACCATTGCTTCCCTCAACTGACTCTCCCACCCTGAATAGGATTCATTAAGTGTGATGTGGACAGAGCTTTCTGAAATCCCTGTTACTCAAAGTAAGGCACAACTGTGCCCTGTTGGAGTGCTACAGCCCCAGCTTCAATCAGAGCCTCTGCTTTCCACAGTCAAAGATATCATCACTAGGGTCTCTTTCATCCCCCTGAAGCAGAGTCCCTGGCCACAGGGTGACAGGTGTAGGGTTAGGGCAGTTGTCCAGGGCCCCAGAGCCACTCACATTTTTTTAAATTAATGATGCAAATTAGCCCTGGGCCACTAGCCCAGGGCAAACCACGGCCTTTGGCATTGGGCAGCAGCTGGCTTGAGGTGGCTCACCACAACTTTAAAAGGCTCAGAGCTATCAGATGCATCAAGCCCAGAAAACTGGAAGGAGAAGGGGAATATCCAATTACGATGGATGCTGACATTAGGCAGGCCACTCGAGAACAGCCCTGGAGACAGTGCTGCCACATAAGTAGGGCTGAACCTTGAAACAAGAGAGAGGGGGGAGGCTGGTAATAAGTTGGGAGGAAGCCCGTTCAAATGTGGGGTGAGAGAATGAAGCCAACAACAAAAGCCACAGCTGCCACTTCCTGAAGTCCTGCTATGTGCAGTGCCGAGCGTTTCACCTACACCGTTCCCAGTGACCCTATGAGGCAATGCTACCATCACTCCCATTTTACAAACGAGGAAACAGAGGCACAAAATGGTTAAACAGCCTGTCTACGTCACACAGCTAATACATGGGAGACCCAGGATTTAATGCTGGTCAGTCTGGTTCTAAAACCCATGCTCTGAATTTTTATACCACACAGCCTCGCCAAAGTAGGGATCACAGAGCTGTGGGCTCTCCTCCACCCAGAGATCCTGTCCCCCTCCTCCCTTCCTTCCCCAAATATAGTCACTGCCCCACCCTGCAATAGCCAACAGGTGGTAGGCGCTTAAGCCACAACCCACCTGCCCCCTTACTTTGGGAGGGAAAGAACTGGGCTGGAATCTTTCAATGAACTTTACCTGGGTAGTGTTTAAAACCCACTGTGGAGGGGCACTCTGGCTTCAGGTGAAAAGCCTTTGGAGTGGGAAGATCCAGAAGTCCCCTTTCCTAACAAATGCTAATCGTACCTCAAACACACTGAGATGTAAAAACTGAACTGAGGCCCACTTGCTAAGAAAATACCTGGTGCCTAAAAGAAGCCCATTAAAAAGATGCCCAAAGTTCTCTAAGATGGAATAAAGATACCTGTTTCCTTTATTCCCCTGATTCATCTGGCTCAATATTTTAGAAATATTGACTTTACTAAGTCAGGCTGCATGGGTCACTAAAAGAGGAAATTTACATCTGCTAACGATGCCATCCATGACGGGCAAATCTTGGCTCCCTCATTTCTGCCAGAGAAGCCCTGAAGAACCGAGAAGAGAAGGGCTGGCTTTTCAAAGTATGGACTACTGAACTATTTAGAAATCTGGACCCTTGTCTGAGACTTGCCTCCCTGGACAAGGAAACACTGTGGACTGGACTGGGGGTTCACAAGGAGTTGTTGCTGGCATTTCTGATTTCATTTGCAAGATACTGGGAAATCTGAATCTTCCTTCCATTATACTAGAAATTAACCTCTATGACAACTAGGATTCTTGTCTGTGCCCTGCTGAATCCCCATGGCCTAGAATAAAATATAATAGGCACTCACTAAACACTTACTGACCGAATGAATAAATGAGGGACTATTTTGGCCCTTGTTCCTCCATGCCTTCTTGGGGAGGAATCTGTGCCTACAGATCCTGTTGGCCTCAATGGCCCTGTTCTATATGGTATGGCCCTCCCTCAGTCATAGGAGCAGGAGGGACTGGGAGTAGACCCTCTCTCCAAGAGTAGTTATTAGGCAGCCTGGCCAACACCTGCAGCTTGTGAGACTGGCCACACTGCAAGTTGAGCTGATCCAATCAGAGCCAGACCTTGGGGATGCACATTAAGAGGCACTGGGGGAAGCTGCCCCTGATGTGCAGCCTAAAGACAGACTGAAAGCCACCTGAGGTCAGGAGCACATCTATCTTATTTCCTGCTTTGTTCCCAATGCCCGATATCCTGAATTATGCCTGAGATAGAGTCAATGCTCAATAAAAGTTTCTGAATGAATAAACAGAGAGTAAATCAGGTCTGGGTAGTCATTATGGACAAGTACATGATGAATAAACCAGGGAACCCAAACTAAGAGAGAGGGAAGAGCCTGGATCCAACACCACAGGAGCAAGAAGGAAGCTGTGAGAGGGAGAAAGGCTGGGGAGTCTCCAGAGCCACTGCCTGCATCGCTTCTTAACTTTTCTGGATGTCACGACACCCCACATGTGATGCTTGGGCCTGTGTGGATGTACTGATTTTCTTGAAACCCTAACAGCCCAGGCTGGAGCTTTGCTGGATCCTCAGATGGAAGAACAGATGTATTTGAGCAAGTTGTTCTTTTGTTTTGTTTACTTATTTTTGCCACTGAGTGTGGTCAAAGGTTGAAACGGGTTAGAAAGGGAGGAGACGGGGACTCTTCAAAGTCTTAGGGAATAGATACTATTATCTCTGATTTGAGGGGCTCTTCTCCTGCCCTCTGAACTGGAGCTGATCCATTTCCAGCTTAGCCACAAGTCACCAGCCCACTAACTTGGGCCTAGTCTTGTAAAGTTGTCAAGGTAATACAAACAACAGGCCGGAGGACTGTAGGGAGGTCTCATGGACTGCACTGGGCACACAGGGTCCAGAACCAGCTCAGCCATTGACTAGCTCTGTGGTCTGGCAAATGATTCAATGGCTTTGAGCCTCAGTTTCTTTTCTAAAGTGGAGGTGATAACACTTAACACTTAGGTGAGAATTAAAAGCAGTACCCAGCGCATAGTAGGGGCTCCATATGTGTGACTTGAGCGACCTACTACATATGCCTGTAAAACACTGCAATTCACAGATTTTCCTGTATTTAAAATAATTTAAATCTCACAATAGGCTGGGCGCAGTGGCTCATGCCTGTAATCCCAGCACTTTGGGAGGCTGAGGTAGGCAGATCACTTGGGGTCAGGAGTTCAAGACCAACCTGGCCAACATGGCGAAACCCCATCTCTCCTAAAAATACAAAAATTAGCCGGGCATGGTGGCACACCCCTGTAATCTCAGCTACTGGGGAGGCTGAGGCATGAGAATCACTTGAACGCGGGAGGCAGAGGTTGCAGTGAGCTGAGATTGTGCAACTGCACTCCAGCCTGGGCAACAGAGCAAGACCCTGTCTCAAAAAAAACAAAAACAAAAAAACACCTCACAACAACCTAACAACCTGCAAGATTTGCAAAATAGAGCCTAGTATTCCTATTTTAAAGATGTAGAAACTGAGGTTTGGATAGGATAGGATGACTTAGTGACTTATCTGAGGTTACCCAGAGAGTGAGTGGTCAAATTCCATCCCAAGTCCCAGTTTCTCCCACAACAGCGCCCTTAGCATAAGGAAGCAAGGTAAGCAGTCAGATGTGTAGTGGCTAAGATACCCTTGGGCTGGCCGTCTCTCTTATCACACACGAGATTTCATTCAGGAACTTGTGGACAAAATGTCCAGAACATGAATGAATCAATATATGAAGCAATGAATGAGTGGATGAATGAATGAATGGGTATCCTGTCTTAATTCTACTCCACACGTGATTCGCACAAAACCTGGGAATCTCATCCAGGCTGAGAGCTTCACAGGACCTCCTGGTTCAAGTTCCTCTCCTTCCTCTGGAAATATCGACATCAGATATCTCAGAGGCCTGGTGACTGATAGGTGCAGCTCACACCACTGCTCATCCATCCTCTGCCAGCAAGGGAAGAGGCAGCCCTGCCCAGTCTACGTACTGGTTTCTGCAGTCTCGTACTCGCTGTCTCTGAGAAGCTCAAAGATGTCCACTTCGACCTTGGCCTTGCCCAGCCTCTCAGGAGCGCGGTTGATGCGGTTCTTGGCCAGGGTGATGGAGAGCCGCTCCCCTCTGCTGCACTCCATGGGGTCGTCCAAGATAGCAGCTGTGGGCAGGCAACCACATGGAGACAATTGGTACTCCACCGCTACTGTTACCCTCCTCCTTCTCCAGCCTCCCCCTGCTGCCACCTTCCTCTTCCAGGCAGCACCCCAAGTTCCTCTCCATCCTGCCATGCTCAGAACCGTCCCCCAGAACAAGTTCTCTCCAAGCTTAAGGGTCTTGGTTTGCAGCCAGGTGTAGAAGTGAATTCTAATGTGGATGCACGCCTCGGGAATCCTGTAATACCAGAGCAGGCCACTAGGGGTCCTGTCTGCACGAAGTCCCCGGGTCCAGGCATCCTGATACTTGGATACCTGTCTCCATGCACACAGGCAAGCAGGCATTGTGCAAAGTGAGGCGGGTAGTGGCTGTCCTTTGAAATAGTATTCTGAACATATGAGAAACTCTCCCTGAGGTGAGAGAGGGTTAAAGGATGCCAGGTCTGTGAGGGAAGGCTGTGGCCTCAAGGAGCAGCTGCCAGACACTGCTGAATGCTGGCTCCCCAGGCTCTGACACCGATGGGCCATGCCACCAAAGTGAGCTACTTAGTTTCTCTGAACCTCTTTTCCTCACTGAACATTAGAAAGAGTAGGACAACCTCACAGGGTTGGTGTGAGGATTCACTAAGATAATGTGTGGAAGTGGCACAGCACACAGATTTAATCAGTGTGACTTATTCAGTGTGGACAACTGCAGTGGTGTAATACCAACAGTTGCCCAACTTCTGGGAGCAGTGTTAAGGATAAATGTTATGGTATCACAGACAACTGGCTTCCAGTCCCAGCTGCAGCCCTCCACAGCTCTGGGACCTCAGTTGCCTCGCTTTTAAGGAAGTGGAGAGAGCCTTGGGCTATTGTGAAGATTACAAGATATGGCATGGGATCAACACAGGATCTTGCACACAGGAGGCACTCAATAAATCTAGCTATAGAGATTCTTAATTCTCTTGATGGAGATGTTACAAAAATGAAGATCACACAAAAACTTGTACACAAATATATATAGCAGCATTATTCATAATTTCCAAAAAGAAACCCAAATGTCCATAGATTGATTGATAGATAAAAAAATGTGGTTTACCCATACAATGGAATATTACTCAACAATAAAAAATAACAGGTACTGATACATGCTACAATAGGAATGAACCTAAAAACATTATGCTAAGTGTGGCTGGACGCATGGCTCATGCCTGTAATCCCAACACTTTGGAAGGCTGAGGCGGGCAGATCACTTGAGGTCAGGAGTTCGAGACCAGCCTGGCCAATATGGTGAAACCCTGTCTCTAATAAAAACACAAAAATTAGCCAGGTGTGGTGGCATGACGTCTGTAATCCCAGCTACTCGGGAGGCTGAGGTAGGAGAATCACTTGAACCCGGGAAGTGGAGGTTGCAGTGAGCTGAGACAGTGTCATTGCACTCCAGCCTGGGTGACAGAGCGAGACTCCATCTGAAAAAACAAACACACCATTAGGCTAAGTAAAATAAAGCCAGACATACACAAAAAAATACATATTGGACAGTTCCATGCATATGAAATGTCCAGAATAGCTGAATCCACAGAGGCAGAAAGATTTGTGGTTGCCTAGGGTTGGGAGAAATGAGGAGTGTCTGCTAATGCGTGTGGTGTTCTTTTTGGGGGTGATGAAATGTTCCTAAAATTGTGATAATAGTTGTGCTACTCTGTGAATATACAAAAAGAAACCACTGAATTATATACTTAAAGTGAATTACGTGGTATGCAAGTTATATCTCAAGAAAGCCATTACATTAAAAGAAATATTTATCTTTCAGAGGTTGAGAATTCAGAAAAGCAACACAGGGAATCAAGCCGAATACATTTCACTGACACGTGGCCCTTGAATGTCTGCGCGGACGCAGAGATCCAGGTTCTATGCTGTCTTTTCTGTGCATTGCTCCACACTCACTGTAATCCATCCCACAAACCCAAAATCAGGACACAGAATATTGCAAAGCATTTCTTCCTTGATTTGTGGATTTATTTACATGCATAACTTCATTGAATAATAAAAGTTAAATGTCATTTACTCAGGTTGGCCATGCATGGGGCGACAGAGGTACATCCCAAGTCCGAGGCAATCAAGTGGACTTCTGGGAATTAACTAGCAAAGTCCACGCATACCTGGGGTGATTAGCCACCCGCAGAAGTGACCAGAGCACCATAAATGTGACTGAAGAGCCTGGGAACATTTCAATCACCCCCACACCCCCACCTGCGGGAAGCACGACCAGAATGAGATGGCTACTGAGAAAGCAGAAACCGAGACAGTCATGCTGTGGCATAAGAGAATGACGACCTTGCAACTAGAAAGGAAGCAGGGCAGCCTAGAGGAATGCTTCTCAAATGGTCCTCCCTGGCAGGCCCCTGGGCTCCTCCAAGAAGTGGAGGGGAGGCTGCCTGGGGTCTCCAGCCCCATACCAGCTCCCACCATCACAATTCCACCTGCATCCATTTCAGGGGTTGGGGTTCCACCTAAGAGTTGATGTGGGAAAAAATGTTTTGCTATTAAAAATATAATAGGGGCCAGGCACGGTGACTCACACCTGTAATCCCAGCACTTTGGGAGGCTGAGGCAGATGAATCACCCGAGGTCGTGAGTTTGAGACCAACCTGACCAATATGGAGAAACCTCGTCTCTACTAAAAATACAAAAAAAAAAAAAAGCCAGGCATGGTGGCAGGCATTTGTAATCCCAGCTACTCGGGGTGCTGAGGCAGGAGAATTGCTTGAACCCGGGAGGTGGAGGTTGCAGTGAGCCGAGGTCATGCCATTGCACTCCAGCCTGGGCAACAAGAGCAAAACTCTGTCACAAAATAAATATATAAAATAGGAAAAAATTAGCCAAGCTGTACAACAAGGAAAAGAGACATCTAAAGTATCAGGAACTGGCAGTGCCATCCAGCATGAGTTGGACAGACACTGGATCCATGACACACAAGCTTTACATTAAGCTACAATGTCAGCATAACCACTTAGTGGACTCTATCTCACTTAATCTCTGCAACAAGTCCATGAGGTGGATATTTTATCTTCACTTGGACACGAGGAATTGGAGGTCAGAGAGGTCATGATCTGCCCGTTCTCACAGGTTTGAAGCATGACAGAGGAGGGAAGTGAGCCCAGGTCAGCCTGACTCCAGACCTTGCACCCTGACCAAGCTTGTCTTCCTTCTTATAAAAACTCAAGGATTTGCTGCGAAGCAGGGGGTGCGCTAGGGAGCGTGCATGAGGCTTCCAGGGACTGTAAAGGAAGCCTCCATCTACAGACTGTAAATGAACCCTAAAACACCAATAGCAACAGGCTTGCCCCTGGACCTCTGAAAACTCTCTCAGGTAACTCCCCCTCCTCCCTTCTCCCTGTCCTCCCTCCACCCCATTGAGATGGTGTTCAGACCATGGAGGCAGCTATCCTTCCCTTTGGGCCAAATGAGCTCACTGTTACCAATGTTTCCATCTATAACCTACTAACTATTTAACAATCACTTGTAGTAAGATAAATAAAGTAGTAAAATAATCTCTCAGAAAATGAGCATGTCCCCTGTGGGCCTGGGGACTGGGAATGTTTTGATGTAGTTGTTCATGTTTCAGAGTCACGCTGGGCCTGCCTCTGCCTCATCAGTGTTCAAAGGCCACAATTACGCCTGCACCACAGGAGGCAGCACACACCAAAGGGTCTGCTCCGGAGCCAGCAGTCCCACCTATCCCCATTTTGTTTTGGCAAAGTAAACATTCAAGAGTGTGCTGTGGACTTCAGCAGGTCCCACCAAATTCATATACTGAAGTTCTAACCCCCAATATTACTGCCTTAAAAAATAGGGTCTGTAGGACAAAACTAAGGTTAAATAAGGTCATTAGGATGGGACCTTGATCTGATAGGATCAGTGTCCTTATAAGAAGAGACACCAGTGCCTCACGCCTGTAATCCCAGAACTTTGGGAGGCCGAGGCGGGCGGATCACTTGATGTCAGGAGTTCAACACCAGCCTGGCCAACATGGTGAAATCCTGTCTCTACTAAAAATACAAAAAAATTACCCAGGAATGGTGGTGTGTGCGTGTAATCCCAGCTACTGGGGAGGATGAGGCACGAGAACCGCTTGAACCCAGGAGGCGGAGGTTGCAGTGAGCCAACAGGATCATGCCACCGCATTCCAGCCTGGTCGACAGAGTGAGATTGTCTCAAAAACAAAACAAAACACAACAAAAACAAAAACAAAACCTGGCATAGTGGCTCACACCTGTAATCCAGCACTTTGGGAGTCTGAGGCAGGTGGATTACCTGCGTGAGGTCAGGAGTTTGAGACCATCCTGGCTAAGGTGGTGAAACCCCATCTCTACTAAAAATACAAAAAATAGCCAGGTGTGGTGTCGGGCACCTGTAATCCCAGCTACTCGGGAGACTAAGGCAGGAAAACCAGAAGGCAGAGGTTGCAGTGAGCCGAGATTGTGCCACTGCACTCCAGCCTAGGCGACAACAGGGCAAGACTCCATCTCCAAAAAAAAAAAAAAAAAAAAAAAAAGAGACAGCAGAGCTCACTCTCTTTTTCTCTCCGCCACGTGAGGATAGAACAAGATGGCTATCTGCAAACCAGGGAAAGGGTCCTTAACAGGAAGCGAATTGCCTGACACCATGATCTTGGACTCCTAGCCTCCAGAACACTGTGAAACATTTCTGCTGGGTAAGCCACCCAGTCTGTGGTATTTTGCTATGGCAGCCTGGACACCAGTCTGCCATGTAACAGCATACAGTCAGCTCACAGAGCATCACTGCACACACCTTGAGACAGAGGGAAAATGAGTACGTGGGAAATAGGGAACGTGCGAATCTTGTATTAAGGGGAGGATGAGGTCCTCTCTTCACCCCATTCCTCTTTCCCTGCCCACAGCATCTAATGCAGAACTTTGTGCTCAAAGTTATTAGGCAGGTCATTGCCAACTCACTAACATCTAAAATCCTGTCCTCTCTACCTCCCAACCCCCGTGCGATTCAGGGACCACTTTTAATTAGGTTTTCGACAGTGATTCCTATCTGGCTGGAAACGGCCTCAACCAGTGGTTGGCTGGCATAAAACATATGAGGATCAGAATAACTAGGACGACAACAGGTACCCAGACTCTAGAGCTGTGGACATCAAAGACAAGGTGGAGGCTCAGGCACTCTTGGGACACCAGAGAAGCATGTGCTCAACAGGCAGTTACCAAACAGCATGCTTCTTCAGTAGTCCCAGGAGTGGAGACCAGATGAATGAAGGAGAGCAGCTTGCTCAAGACTTAATGTGCAGTGAACGCTCATAGCCTGCACTGCGTCCCCCAGGCCTGGCTGCCTGGCTGGGCTGGGACGCTCCGAGTCCCCAGCTGCTGCCTAATGAGGAATAATATGATACGGCACATCCTCCAGCCCTGGGGACTGCCCTGCAGAGAAGCCCCGAGCCACAGTGAGGCTGGGAGGTCTGGGGCCACAGCAAAGGCAGGGCTGAGATGGGGAGATGCGTTCAGAGACCCGGGGCTTCCCGCTCTTTCCATCCATGGGGCCTCAGTGCACACTGACTCTTCCAACCCAGGTGGATTCAAGATGCCTCCGGCATGCCCAGGAAGCCGGGATCCCTTGCATTTCCATTGAGCCTTTCTCCCCATGAGCCCCAAGAACTTCACCCTGTGCCCAGTTCTGAGTTCTATGGCTCATGCCAAGAAAAGGGGAGCCCCTTGATTGTGCCCTTCTCCGCCCCCCAAACTCCTCTCCATATTCTTGTCCCATGCTTGTGTCAATGCTAGAGGGGACTCCTCCCCCCTGCAGCGCCTTCCAGCTCACCCCAATCAGTGTGGCCGTGGCGACCCCGAGAGGGCATACAGCCACTGACCCGCTCAAGGTCCTCAGAACCTCCCCACTCTCTGAAGAGCTGTCCCTGTTGAGTCTCTGGCATGGCCTCAGGCCCCTTCTGTCCTGTCTGGCTTCCACGGTCATAGCATCCCCTCCACCCCCAACAAGGTGACAGAGCCTCCATGTACAGTCCTGGACTGGCCCATTAACTCTCCTCCATGCCTTTGCCAATGCTGTCCCTGTCCCTTGTTCTCCCTTTCCCTACCAGGGCTCTTCTCTCCCTCAGGCGCCTCTTCCAGGAAGCCCTCTCTGACCCCCTAGCCACAGTGCTCTCTTTCTCCTTGGATTTCCCGAGAAACTCCCACCACTCAAACAGACTATTCCTTGCACACTGCCTTGGAGGGGTATTTATCCTTCTATCTGTACCTGTGAGTTCCCTCAACTGCTTGTATAATCCACCCTCCATATCTGTGGGTTCTGCATCTGCAGATTCAAGCAACCGTGGATTGAAAATATTCAGGAAAAGGCCAGGCACGATGGCTCACGCCTGTAATCCCAGCACTTTGGGAGGCTGAGGCGGGCGGATCACGAGGTCAGGAGAGCGAGACCATCTTGGCTAACATGGTGAAACCCCGTCTCTACTAAAAATACAAAAAATATGCCAGGCGTTGTGGCGGGCACATGTAGTCCCAGCTACTCGGGAGGCTGAAGCAGGAGAATGGCGTGAACCTGGGAGGCAGAGCCTGCAGTGAGCTGAGATTGCGCCACTGCACTCCGGCCTTGGCAACAGAGCGAGACCCCGTCTTGGAAAAAAAAAAAAAAAATTCAGGAAAAAAAAACCAAAAAATAACAATACAATAATAAAAATAACACCAACAAAAATACAGTATAGCAACTATTTGCATAACACTTATACTGTATTAGGTAAAGAAGTAATCTAGAGATGATTTAAAGCATATGGGAGGATGTGCATAAGTTATATGCAAATACTACGCATTTTACACAAGGGACTCGAGTGTCCCCGATTTTAGTATCCGAGGGAGGTCCTGGAACCAATCCCCAGTGGATACTGAGAGATGGCTGTACTTAAAAAAACCCAGAGTAATCCCTCTTTCCTTTGAATCTTCCCAAACTCCCCATCCCAAATTAATTTTCCCTTCCTTTGAACTCCCACAGAAATTCCTCTGTACCCTTCATTAGACACAAGCCACTTTTTCATTATGCTGATTTGTCTATCTTTTCAGCTCCTTTGGGGTGAGGACCACACCTGATTCATCTCTGTAGCTGCACAATTCTGGACACACAGTAGGCCCTTAATGAATGGTTGTTGAGTGAATCAATAATTCAAGGCCGCTTGTCTTTTCATCCCCTACAGCCAGTAGTAGACGTGGCGCCTGGCAATGGTGCAGTCAGCATTAGGCGATGAGTGGACGGACAGCAGCCCCACGACACAGGGATCCGCAGGGTGGATGACCCGCCAGAGGCCTCCAGGGTCCCCCGGGGCTGGCTGCTCTCCTCCTGCTCCCTGGGTAAACTGGACTGGGGCTGGCTCTCCCTCCACACATTCTCAGCAGCCCAGAAGTGACCCCTCAGGTTGGAAAAGCAGCCTCCTTAATCCCTCAGTTCTTCCAGAGCCTCGCTGCTGAAGATTTCCATGCACTTCGGTAACTCTTACCCTTTTAAGGGGTAAAATAAAGAGGTTTTACTGGAGAGTCTTTATAGGCAGTATCTATAACACTGTCTGTGGCCGTTTGGCTCAGCCGGATAGAGCCCTGTGTTAACAAGAAAAAGTGACAGTTTGCACCTTGGGGAGTGCGTTAGCTCTGCTCCCCAGCTGACCCTGGCTGCTCACTCTCGGAGGCCCAGCTACAGCCCATCCCCATCACTCATCTGGCACCTCTGTCCTCTGTGTCCCACTCTTCAGCCCCTTGTCCTTGGTCACCCCTCTTGCTGGAGGAAATCACACCACTGTGCAGGCCGCTCCCGCCGCCAACTCATGCCTTCGTCCCCACCTGGGGCACCAGGCTGGGCCGCTACCAGCCTTGGAGCTTGCTCAGCCAGCTCCTCCCACACCACAGACCCTTAGCATCAGCTGGGGCTGCCATTACAAAGCACCACAGACTGAAAGGCTTAAACAACCAAAATTCCTTTTCTCACAATTCTGGAGGCTGGAAGTCTAAGATCAAGGTGTGGGCAGGACTGGTTTCCTCCAAGACCTCTCTCCTTGGTGTGCGGATGGCACCTTCTCCCTGCACCCGTACGTGGTCTTTCTTCCCTCTGTGCATGCCTGTGTGCTGAGCTCCTCTTCATGTAGACAGAAGTCCAACTGGATTCGGGACAAACCTAACAACCTCGTTTTAACTTTCTTACCTCAACACCAAATAGAGTCACATTCTGATGTCTTAGGGGGTGGGGCTTCAATATAGAAATTCTGGAGAGGAGACAACGTAGCCCCTAAAACCGCCGTTTACCTCTAACCATCACCTGACTCTAAATTCCTAACACCACCCTTACCCTCAAAACCATCACCCGACTCTCAGCCCCTAACACCACCCTTCCCCTCCAACCATCGCCTGGCTCTCAGCCCTAACACCTCCCCTCACCGCTAACCATCGCCTGGCTCTCAACCCTAACAACTTCCCTCACCTGTAACCATCACCCGGCTCTCAGCCCTAACAACTTCCCTCACCTGTAACCATCACCCGGCTCTCAGCCCTAACAACTTCCCTCACCTGTAACCATCACCCGGCTCTCAGCCCTAACACCCGCCCCTCACCTCTAACCACTGCCTTGCTCTCAGCCCTAACACTGCCCCTCACCTCTAACCATTGCCTGGCTCTCAGCCCTAACAACTCCTCTCACCTCTAACCATCACCCGGCTCTCAGCCCTAACACCACCCTTCCCCTCAAACCATCTACCTGCTCTCAGCCCCTAAACACCGCCTGGCTCTCTGCCCCTAATACCGCTCTTCTCCTCCAACCATCACCTGGCTCTCAGCCCTAACACTGCCCTTCCCCTCTAACCACCACCCAGCTCTCAGCCCCAACACCTCCCCTCACCTCTAAACATTGCCCAGCTCTCAGCCCCTAACACTACCCTTCCCCTCAAACCATCTACCTGCTCTCAGCCCCTAACACCACCCTTCACCTGTAACCACTGCCTTCACCTCAAACCGTCACCCTACTCTCAGCCCCTAACATCACCTTTCACCTGTAACCATTGCTGGGCTCCGACCCCTAACACCACCCTTCACCTCCAACCATCACCCTGCTCTCAGCCCCTGGCTCTCAGCTCACACACTGGTTAAACTGAGGCCACTCTCAGTGAGCTGGTTGACTTTGTGCCCCATACCTTCCCAACAAGCTCAGGTAACGAGGGCTCCAGACAACCCACAGCCTTCCTTCCTTTCCCCTGGGACTCTGCCTCACCAGGCCTCCTTCTTCTTCAGCCTCTCCCGAGGCCTGCTGGCTCCCCTGTGCTAACAGTCAAGGCCCGCCCCTCCTATGCAGACCCTCCCCTGACCACCCTGACCAGCTGTGCCCTCTGGCTCTCCCTTCTCTGTCACTTTCAATGCAAGCCAGGCTTCTCAAATGACTACTCAACATTTGCTGACTTCACCCCATGCCATGTTCTCCTCGACCCACTGCACTCTGCCTTCCGTCCCCACCACTCCACCCAAACTGCACCTGCCAAGTCAACATCAATATTCATTTTTGCAAAACTGGTGAACTTTTGATTCTTTGTCTAACTATATCACTAGCTGGCAATACGACTTACAACCTGCCAGGTGCTGTCCTAAGAAGAGCATATATGTTATCTCATTTAATCAACCTCCTTGGCTTCCATGAAACTACTCTCCTAGGGTTCTCCTCACACTGCTCTAACTGTTCCCTCCAGGTATGTTCTTCTGCCTCCCCTTTAAACAACGGTGCATCCAAGGTCTTTGCAGAGGCCTCTTCTTGTCATCCTCCCAGGAGCTTCCTGATTGATCTATTTCATAGCCGCCTCCATGGGTGTGCTTTACTTATATCCAACAGCCTGGTGACATCTCCATGAACGTATCTGCAGAGCATCTCAAATTTAGGAAGACCCAAAGTAAACCCACCTCTTCCCTCCTAGATTCTTCCTGTTAACATTCCTACGTTTAGTTAATAGCAGCACCAGCTACCCAGGCATCGTGCCTTCACCCAATTCCGCACCTTCCAATAACCAGTCTCCAATTGCTTTTGGTTGTACTTCCTCAAAATTTCTCAAACCAGTCCACTTCTTTCCAGTCTTAACACCACCACCCTACTTCGGTCCTTTCATCTCAACGACTTAACTGCAACCTCTTAACTCTTATCTGGTTTTCCTGCCTCCAGGCTGGCACAACCACCACCACCTGGCGCTCCTCAACCACACCCTCTCCTAGCTGCCAGAGTGTGCGCTTTGAAGTGTAAAGCCCTGCTTTAAAAGCTTCCATCCTCAAAATAAATGGAATTCCTCAGCACGGCACACAAGATCTGACTTGACTCTGTCAAACCTTATATTGTGCTTCCCTGCTCATCCCTCTCTACCTTCTAGAAGCAGTGAACTACTCATAGCACCCCTTACACACACACACACGCACACACACACACACACGGTGCTGCTGCATGCCTGCACACCTTTGCTCACTCTCCTCCTTCTGCACTCTCATCTTTGCTCACTGACTATCTCGGCTCAGACATCCCCTCCTTCAGGAAGCCTTCCCTGAACGCAGAGGCTGAGCAAGTGCACCACAATGTGTTTTCACAGAAACCCATGCATCCTATAATGTACGCCCATCATTCATCTAGTCTTCAACTTTCGAGGTTTAATTCTTCCCATCCCCAATGCAATGACCTCGCCTGACAGCAGGAGAACTTCAAGAATCTTTGAGCCAAACTTGTCTTGGCTTTTGAGGGATTCTATGCCAACTTCTATTCCTTCCTTCATAATTACTACTTTGACCCGTGCATTTGTGGAAAACTGATTTTAACAAAGGTACAGTGGGGAAAAAAAGTCTTTACACAAACTGTGCTGGAACATTTGGATATCCATATGTTAAAGAAATCCCAATCCTTACTCATGCCATATGCAAAAATTAACAAAAAAAATGGACCATAGACATAACGGTAAAACCTAAAACTATAAAACTACTAGAAGAAAATCTTTGAGTTAGGCAAAGATTTCTTAGATATGACATCAAAAGCACAACCCATAAAATTAAACAATTGGTAAAGTAGACGTCATCAAAACTTAGAATGTATGCTCTTCAAAAGATTGGAATGAAAGACAAGCCATAGGTGGGGAGAAAATATTACATGCAAAGCACATGCTGGATAAAGGACTTGTATCCAGAATATGTAAAGAACTTTCAAAGCTCAGTAATAGGAAAACCAACAATCTAATTTTTAAAGTGGGCAAAAGATTCGAATAGACATTTCACCAAAGAAGTTGTACAGGTGGCAAGTAAGCACGTGAAAATATGTCCAACATTATTAGTCACTGGGGAAATGCAAATTAAAACCATAATGATATATTACTACACATCTATTAGAATGGCTAAAATTAAAAAGCTTGACCATACCAATTGCTGACATGGATATGGAAGAACCAGAACTCTCATATGCCCCAACCTCTTCCCTCGCTCCCCTTCCTCTTCCATGTAATGCTAGACACTATGTAAGTGTCCCCCAATTTTACACCCTGGATTTAGTCCACAAGCCACTCTTCATTGTGCAATTTCTCCCTTAAGAAACATTAATTTTTGACTATCAGCCCTATGCAGATAACTCCAAAACCCCTATCTCCACCCCCAATTTCTCATCTACACATCAGACTCCTTTTTCTGGCTACTAGTAAGAAATGTCCAAATGTCCAAATTCTGTGTCCCAAATGTAACCCATTATCTTTTTATTGAATTGGGGGCTCTTTCTGGCTTCCCAGTTTCACTTCATAGCACCAGTTGGTCTCATGCAAATCCCTGGCAGAGCTGCCTTGCATTCTCCCTATCCCTACAGCCCCTCCATCTGCTCACCCACTAAAGACTGCTGAGGGATCTGCCTCCCACCCACTGCCCCCCTTCTGTTCCCACTGCCGCCACTCCTTGCTTTCTTTTGCAATATGTCTACCCTGTCTTCTGCCTCCAGTCTCTCTTGCACCAACCTAGCTACTCTCCACTGCAGATGCACCTGCCTGGCCCTCAGGCCCTCCACAGTCTGGCCCCAACATGTCTTTGCAGACTCACCTTCTACTGAATTCTATGACCACTTAGCTACATCTAGATTGTCCTTGCTGAACACTGAATACAGCATGCTGCTTTGCCCTGTTTTTTTGTTCAGGTGGTCTCTTCCTGGAACGTACTCAGCTGTTTTTTAAAACCCATGTCCAAATCCTACCTAATAACCCTCATTCTCATACCCCATTCCCACCGTGCCCCAGGTAAGCACTGAACTGCTCCACCCCACACTTTCACCCTCCTCAAATCCTCCAAAGCACTTATTGTGTGCACCATTCATTTAGTACTTAATCGTTTGCTTTCTAATTGACATGGGTAAGGCATTCACTCATTCAATCATTCCTTTCTTTATTAATTCACCAAATACCTATTAAACACCTATCTTAAGCAAGGCACTATGTATGCAGAGAAGGATAAGATGTATCTCTGCTTTCAAAGTGTCCAGAGAAGGACATGGTCATACAAGCAAATAGCCACAACCTGATACGGTAAGTGATATGACAAAATCTTACGATGCTCCCACCATGAACCAGCTGTTCATGTGCTGGGAAATCACAGGTGACTAAGATGAGGTCATTTGACTCTGGAAGGCATCCTGGGGTCAGAGGACAGAGCCAGACTTTACTGTACAATGAAGTGGTTCCATAGAGAGAATCACAAAATTCTAAGGAAGCACAGATAAAGGGAAACCAAACTCCAGGTGGTGGGGCAAGTTTTAGGGAAGGCCTCATGCATTTATCTAACACCCATGTGTTAAGTTACTACTACCTGCCAGGCTTCACACAAGAGTCAGCCTTGAAGGAGGGGAGTGAGCTTCCCAGGGAAGCAAGGAAGCAAAGTGTGTTCCAGTGTGTGGTGACTGGCTCAGTCAGCGGGAGGGGCCTGAGCACCTGGCAGGGAAGGCAGATGGGAGGAAAAGAGCATGAAGAACCTGTGTGTCTCACTGGTGAACTGGGATGGAGGCCTGAAGGTCCAGAAGGTGCCGAGGGACAAGAGGAGGGCTTCCGACAGGCGATGACGTCATAAGATTTGCATTTTAGGGCGATCACTCCCATAGATACACTGGAGTGAGAACAGAAATACGAGTTGGGAAGATCAGCTTGAGGGTTATTTTAATAGTCCAGGAAAGAGAAATGAGACAGGTAGTGAGGGGCACGGAAAGAGGATCAAAGAGAAGAGGCAGATTCTAGTGAGATAAACCGGGCAGAATCAAAATCAGTGGGGGTTGGGATGAGGTAAGAGGGCTCTTGGCTTCACTGACAATTTAGATAGTGACATCAGTGACCAAGATAAAGAATACAGGGGGATAGAGAGGAAGATTGTTCTTTTTTTGTTTTTGGAGAAGGGCAAAGATAATGATTTTGGTGTAGTATTTATTAAGTTCGGGGCGCACTGTTTAGCAACAGAAAAAGTTACTGGTCTGGCTCTCCAGATAATGATCCAGGCTGGAGACACGGAGACCCGGGAGTCCCCAGGGTCAGGGTGATAATGACAACTTGGATCTGGCATAGGATGGTGAGTAACAGGAGAGGAAGAACCAGGCTAAAACTCTGAGGACTCAACATTTGGGACAGTGTAGGGAAAAAGACTGAGAAGCAATGGTTAGACCAGAGGATCTAAGGAGAACAGAAGTCAGATAAAACAAGGACTGAGCATTCTCCACAGGGCTGGGCAAGTAGGAGGTCACCGGGGACTTCAGCAAGAGCCCTTCCAGGGGAGAGGTTAGGCAGCATTTAGATGGCAGCAGGTGGAGGAGCGGCCGAGAAGTGAATGGAGAGAGCCAAGCAGCCGGTCTGGGAAGGGAGGGGGCATAATTAGGACAATCGGTGGGGGGAAGCACAACCTCCAAGGAAGGGTGTTTAAATTAAGATAAGAAGGGCTCAGAAGAGGAGCCAGTGGGAAGGGAAAGAGAAAGTCAGCAGAAAGGAGCGCTTTCTGAAGCAAGCCCTGCAAAAAGGCAGATGGAGGGAGCCTGGTGCACAGGTGCAGGCTCATCTGGGGTGAGAGAAGGGACGGCTCCCCCTTCTTGGGTGCCTTCTCCTTTTTTTCCTTTTACTCATATGACACCCTATGTTTGACACAGACGCATGGCCACCTAGCTCAGACCACACTTACCAGCCTCCCTGAACTCAGGAGGCCATGGGCTAAACCTGCACTAGCAAATGGAAGTAAAGTGACCAGACCATCCAGTTCATCTCCTTGCCCTGGATGTTCCTGGCCTTTTTGGCTGGTGGTAATGACACATACAAGAACATATAGAGATCACGTGCTGCTGACGGCAATGCCGCCCGCCACCCTCTATCCTTGGACCACTACTATTTACCTCCAGGTTTATGTGTGAGAGAAAAACACTTTGATCTTGGAGCTACTACATTTTCAGGTCCCTTTGTTTTTGTGGCTCAGCCTATATTCCCACTCAGAGCTGAGCCATAGAAATATAATGCAAGGCAGCCGGATGTGGTGGCTCACACCTGTAATCCCAGCACTTTGGGAGGCCGAGGTGGGCAGATCATGAGGTCAGGAGATTGAGACCATCCTGGCCAACATGGTGAAACCCCATCTCTACTAAAAATACAAAAAAAAAATTAGCTGGGCGTGGTGGTGTGCGCCTGCAGTCTCAGCTACTAGGGAGGCTGACGCAGGAGAATAGCTTGAACCTGGGAGGCGGAGGTTGCTGCTGTGAGCCGAGATCATGCCACTGCACTCCAGCCTGGCAACAGAGTGAGACTCCATCTCAAAAAAAAAAAAAAAAAAAAAAAAAAAAAGAAAAGAAAAGAAAAAAGAGAAGAAATATAATGCAAGGCACATATGTCATTTTAAATTTTCCAGTAGCCACATTTAAAAACATCCAAAGAGGCCAGGTGCGGTGGCTCACACCTGTAATCCCAGCACTTTGGGAGGCCAAGGCAGGTGGATCACGTGAGGCCAGGAGTTCCAAACCAGCCTGGCCAACATAGTGAAACCCCATCTCCACTAAAAATACAAAAATTAGCTGGGCGTGGTGGAGTGCTTGTAATCCCAGCTACCTGGGAGGCTGAGGCAGGAGAATCACTTGAACCCAGGAGGCAGAGGTTGCAGCGAGCCGAGATCGTGCCACTGCACTCCAGCCTGGGTGACACAGCCAGACTCTGTCTCAAAAAATAAAATAAAATAAAATAAAATAAATAAAATAAAATAAAATAAAATAAAATAACATCAAAAGAAATAGGTGAAATTAAAAAATTAATTTCAATATTTTCCTTAACCAAATTTCACAAACACTATGTTTTGTTTCTGTTTTTGTTTTTTTGAGACAGGGTCTCACTCTGCTGTCCAGGCTGGAGTGCAGTGGTGCGATCTTGGCTCACCGCAGCCTTGGCTTCCCGGGCTCAAGCGATCTTCCTGTCTCAGCCGTGAATAGCTGGGACCACATGTGAGCACCACCATGACTGGCTAATTTTCGTATTTTTTTTGTTGTTGTTAAAAAAAAAAAGAGTCCTACTATGTTGCCTACGCTGGTTTTGAACTCCTGGCCTCAAGCAATCCTCCCGCCTCGGCCTCCCAAAGTGCTGGGATGACAGGCGTGAGCCATTGTACCCAGTCAAATACTATGATTTTAATCTCTAGTCAATATAAAAATCATTTGTGTATTTCGTATTCTTGTTTTCATACCAGAACTTCAAAATCCAGTGTGCATTTTATATTTAAAGCACATCTCCACCCAGATGAGCCACGTTCCAGGGGCTCAATACTAATGGCTATAGCACTGCGTAATGCAGGTCTAACCGATGCTGACAGATACAGCTGTAAATAAATATTTGCTGTAGGTGGGGGGTGTTGAGAGAGGCTGAGCTGGATGGCATCTATTTTCTCGGAAAAGAGGAAAGGTCTCATCTTCATCTTCCACTAGCAAGACTGACAAAGATAAGGAAGGTGGCTTCAGGGGAGGGCTTGGAATAGCTGCTCTGATATGTACATGCATTTCTGTTTGGACCCAGTTGAAATGAAGAGATGTTGGTGTGTTTCTGAAAGCAGCCTCAGGGCACAGCCAGAAGCAAGGCAGGCAGATGTCACAACTAAGAGTAGGAGGTGATCAGGTGGGTGGGCAGGACTGGGGACAAATGAGTGAAGGTGCTATTGGGACCTGGCGAGGGTGATGGACTGGGCCTTTTCCACTGGACAGGAAAGGGAGTAACACCCAGAAAAAGCTGTCCAATGGGTTAGCCCCAGCAGAAAGGAAAGGCTGCATATTTGTGGAATATGTGGATACCAGGATACGCAGAAGAGCGGAGCAGGGGAATGCGATGGTGAGATTGGGTAAGATGCTGTTTTCAGACCATGGGATTTGGACATGTATGGTTTTAGAAGCAGAGGATCAAGGGCTGCCATGACTCAAGAATGCAGCTGTGATGGTGACATGGAGTGGGAGAGAAGGCCACCGGAAGGGAGGCGGCTGAGGATCCCCAAGGCCATGGCACCAGCGGGATGGCCCCGTGGACACTGATGATGATGGGGCCAGAGCAAGGCAGCAGTGAGAGGAAGGCTAGGAGCCCTACATGAGAACGGCAGGCACAAGGCAGGGGAGGACTTGGATCGGGAAAGAATGGGGGAAATGTTTGAAGGTTGCACTGGGGAGCAAGGGAAATGCAGCTGCCACTCTTGAGTAAGCAGTTGCTCTGGAGATGGGTTGGAAGGAAGCACTCTGACAGGGCAGGTGAAGTGTGATGGGCTTGGCAACCCCGCTGAGTGGGGGCTCTGTGTGTGCCAAAAGGGCCAGGAGGGCAGGTTAGCTGGGGATGAGCACAGAGCCACCAGGAGGATGCGCATGGAGACGCGGAGGCATGCACAGAATCAAGCTGCTCAGGCGCTGCAGAGAACCATTTCCCTGTGTCACGGGACTGCTGTGTAAACCGGAAACACCCCAAGTGCAGGAGCTGAGTCTCCTCTCATCCTGTAACCCCCATACAACTCAGCACAGAGCCAGGCAAATGTTAGGCACGTTAAGCACTTGACCCTGATATGAGCTAACTCTCGGACTTTCACAAGGTTCACCTTTTGGTCTATCCCTTCATCTTTCACACTCCCACAATTAGCTAAAGAACATGACCCCTGGAACAAAATGTATGAGTAAAGTCCCTGGCATCACCGACAATTCTATCTGCAGTTAGTGCCCTATGTATACGGCCACTTTGTAAGGTCTCTGGATACCTGATTGATATTCCCAGTTAGCCTCCTTAAACAGTTCCTTGCTCTCTGTGGACCGGCTCACCTCCCTGTAGGTTTTCTTTTGGGTAGGAAGATAGTCCCCATGTGTTCTCTTTTGAAAGCAGTCATGGAGAGCCCCCAGCTACATCTGGGCAAGCTCAGCCAGCCAGCACTGGCCAGCCCAGATGCACGACTGTGGCAGTTCAGTGCCCGGGATATCCAGTCTCATGGCTCACTGCACAAACAGCCAGGCTGGAGGAAAGGAACAGTGGGCTGGAGTTGCCCATTTGTCTTGTCTAATGGCCCGCCGGTGACAGCCTTCTGGACGACTTATGGGACAGAGTGGGAATGAAGGCAGAAGGGACGGGAGTGATGGGGGCTGCTGGGAGCCTTCATAGGTCTAGTGCAGACAAAGATGCCAGGCAAGGTCTGCCTGTTACCTCCAGGGGAGACCTAGCCCAGATCAGCTTCATTGTCCGGGATAATTCAATTTGACTTGCATTTACTGAGCGCCGACCTCACGCCAGGCACCAGTGGGGTAGATGCCGTTGAGAACACAAGACATGAAGACATGAAGTAGTTCTGTCCCCTGCTCTCAAAGACTCATGGATGAACTGGGGAGATGGTGGTGGGGCAGGGGAGGGAGGGTAGAGATCACAAGCTAGGTGCCTGGCAGACTCTGAAACTCAAGCTCAGCGGGGCAGCTGGAAGGTGCCATCTCAAGAATCCACTCACCCCTGGGCAAACATCACTCCATGCTGTCTTCTGACCCATCTGTCAATCTCCATCATGTTACATCCCTGATTCTAGACAGGGTGACCCTAAGCCATAGGACCACTGAGGGTCTTATCTCTACATTTTAGCCAAAGCTGTGAATAAATGAGCATCATGCCTGCTAGAGTCTACAACACAGGACCCTGTGGCCTCCGATCAAAACTGGCAAGTACCAAGGGAGCCAGAGGTCTGACCACACCAAGGAAAAAAGCAAGCAGGAGAAAATGACAGATTAGAATGGCTTTGAGTTCTTTGCAAGAATATGGGTAGAAAAATCTGGAGGGCCATTACTTCGATTGTTTCCACCTTGGAGTTATCTGTCTCTTTTCCCAGGAGATCAAAGCACAAGTAATGGGTCTTTTTATTCATTGTCATCATCCCCCAGGGAAGGAGCCAGTACAGGGAAGGGAGTATTTATCCAGGAGGACACGGGGGTTCCGAGTCCAAGCTAGGGCCCCACAATGGGGCAAGAGCAAAATATTCCTGTGATCATTCCTTCAAATAATATTCAGATAATCTCTCATCATTTGTCTGTTGCCCTTTTCCAAAGGTGAAAGGGAAGAGATATGTATTAATATCAAGTCACTGTTCTACATGCTGGGGAGTACCTCCTGGTGGAGGCCACATCTAGGATGTGGGTGTGAACCCTGCCTCGCTCCCTGTCCCCTCAGCCTCCCTGAGGCTGGGACCTCCGTAACACACTGCCTCCTTAGTCGTCTGCCGAAGTCTCAAACATACTTTAAAGCACTTCGCAAAACAAACACCTCTCAGGTCTGTCCTCCCTCAAAAACCCATATTATGCATCGTTTTTTTCCTGGACACTAACCCGCCTGTTTCCTTGAAACTAACCTGCTTTGGTATTCTTTTCTGGATAAACTCATGCTGTCTGCATGAATTTCCTCAAGAGCTGTTGCCTGAAAGAGATGCTTAGTTGACTGTTGTCAGAATATTCAAAATGCATAGAGGGACGAGGGGAAAGAAATATCACTTACCACAGGGGATAAAAAGCAGTCCTATTCCGATGCCATATGCCATGGAAGGAAAGAGCTAGTAAATTTCATTTAGTGGAGCCCACGCAATTACCCACTCTAAAAATTAAGAACCGAGACCATAAACCTACTAAACTTCAAATATTCATAATGGGCTGTTAAATGGGGGACAAAGGGAGAGGGAGCAGAGGGAGAAAGGAAGAAGAGGAAACAGACAAGAGGGAAGGGAACAGGGAAGGCGAGAAGGAAGGAAAGAGGAAGGCAGGAGAGAAGAGGAGGAAGGGAAGAAAGGGGGAGAACAGAAATACAGGATTAGCAAGACAGAGCAGGAGGCAGCGCCAAGCAGAAAATAGAGAAAGACAGAAGCAGAGTTTGATGCACGCACATTCTCAGAGGAACTCCTGTTCTCGTGGTCTTCCCACTCTGTGGCCAAAGAGATTTAAAGTCCTAACCGTAGGCACAGAGAGGGGAACAATCCTATTCTGCCGACTTGGAAATATTCAGCACTACTGACGTGGGGCTGGGTAATTCTCTGTGGGGGGGCTGCTGTCTGCATTGTAGGGAGTTCAGCAGCATCGCTAGGGCGACGGTTTGAATGTGTCTCTTTTCAAATTTCAGGGGTCCCCAATGTGAAGGTAGTAAGCAGTGGGGATTTTAAGAGGTAGTTAGGTCACCAGGGCTCCTCCCTCGTGAGTGTGATTAAGGCCCTTATAAAGAGGCCTCATGCACTCTTCGGAAGGCAGAAACTTGCCCTCCTGCCTTGTGAGGATGCAGTAGATGCCAGTAGCACCCTCCCCAGTTGTGACAACTAAGAATGCCTCCAGATACTGCCAAAAGTCCACTGGAGGAGGGAGAGGGGGAGAAATTGCCCCCAGCTTAGAACCACCGGCGTGGACCCTTTTCATGTCACAACTCAACTCTTGGTGTCCCTAGTTTCCCTCATTTCAGAGCCCTCCTGCTTCAGCACCCCCTACACATAGCCACGGGAGGAATCTCCACAGAAGGCACCCTTTGACGGGGCTGCTTCACTATTCAGAACAACCTCAGAGCATCCCAATGTCTGCTGAATAAAAAAGTCATACTGGCGGCCAGGCGCGGTGGCTCATGCCTGTAATCCCAGCACTTTGGGAGGCCAAGGCAGGCAGATCACAAGGTCAGGAGATCGAGACCATCCTGGCTAACACGGTGAAACCCCGTCTCTACTAAAAATACAAAAAATTAGTCAGGTATGGTGGTGGGCGCCTGTAGTCCCAGCTACTCAGGAGGCTGAGGCAGGAGAATGGCGTGAACCCGGGAGGCGGAGCTTGCAGTGAGCCGAGACTGAGCCACTGCATTCCAGCCTGGGCGACAGAGCGAGACTCCGTCTCAAAAAAAAAAAAAAAAAAGTCATACTGGCTACCTACTAGGTGCCAGGCTTGGTTCCAAGCATTGGAAATAGACTGACGGACAGGACAGAGAACCAGACTCGAGGACCTTATGCTCTAGCTGAGGAGGCAGACAGCACACATGTAAGGAAATAAATGCAGGATAATTTCAGGCAGCAAAAAAGTACTACAAAGAGAAAGAAAATAAGGAAGTATGAGAGAATGATGGGGGGTGGTCAGGGAAGGGATATTGCTAATGAAGCGCCACCTGAGCTGCGACCTGAATCAGGAGGAAGAAGCCATAGGAGAGAGAGGAAGAACATGCCAAGTTGGAGGAGAAAGGTAAGAGGGAGCTTGGCAGCCACTGGCGTTCAGCGGCTGGAGTGGAGCATGTGAGGGGAAGAATGCAGGGAGGCACAGGGAGCAGGGACACACAGGTTGTCACATGGCCTCAAGGGCCATGGTGAGAATCTGTCTTATTCCAGGTGTGATTAACAGTCACTGGAGGGTTCTAAACCTAGCCCAAAGTCCTGAACCTGATTCTAGGCTTCCAGAGACCACCCTCACGCACTGCCAGCTTCATCCGCTTGCATCCCTCTGCACCAACTTGAGTGCCCATCAGAGTCACCTAGAGGGCTTGTGAAGACACAGACAGGGCAGGGCACGGTGGCTCATGCCTGCAATCTCAGCACTTTGGGAGGCCAAGGTGGGAGGACTGCTTAAGCTCAAGAGTTCAAGAACAGCATGGACGATATAGTGAGACCCCTGTCTCTACAGAAAATACAAAAGTTAGCTGGGCATGGTGGCACTTGCCTGTGGTCCCAGCAACTCAGGAGGCTGAGGTGAGAGGATGGCTTGAGCCCAAGAAGTTGAGGCTGTAGTGAGCCAAGGTTGCAACTCTGCACTCTAGCCTGGGTGACAGAGTAAGAATTTATCTCTAAAAAATAAAAAATAATAATTTTTTTAAAACCCCACAAATTGCCAGACCCCATGCCCACAATTTTTGTTTCAGTCCCTCAATATAATTAGATCAATAAATCAATTACTTGTATAAATGACTAATACTGTGTCTTCTTTTCACCTCACACCCATTAGGATGACTATTACCAAAAAAACAAACACAAAAACAGAAAGCCAAGAAACAGAAACAAACAAACCAAAAAAAAAAAAAGAAAGAAAGGACATAAAAAGTGGAGAAATTGGAACCCTTGTGCTTTGCTGGTGGGAATGTAAAATGGTACAGCCACTATAAAAACGGATAATGTGGCCAGGTGCAGTGGCTCATGCCTGTAATCCCAGCACTTTGGGAGGCCGAGGCAGGCAGATCACGAGGTCAGGAGACCGAGACCATCCTGGCTAACATGGTGATACCCCGTCTCTACTAAAAATGCAAAAAAATTAGCCAGGCGTGGTGGCAGGCGCCTGTAGTCCCAGCTACTCAGGAGGCTGAGGCAGGAGAATGGTGTGAACCTGGGAGGCGGAGCTTGCAGTGAGCTGAGATCGTGCCACTGCACTCCAGCCTGGTCAACAGAGCCAGACTCTGTCTCAAAAAACAAAACAAAAAAAACAACAAACAAACAAACAAACAAAAAAAACCCCGGATAATGTAAGGCCTCAAAAAATTAGAAATAGAATTACCATATGATGTAGCAATACCACTTGTGGGTATATATCCAAAATAATAGAAAGCAGGGTCTCAAATTGATATTTGTACACCCATGTTCATAGCAACCTTATTCACAACAGCCAAAAGGTGAAAGCAACCCAAGTGTCCGGCCACAAATGAATGGATCAACAAAATACATACATACAACGGAATATGATTCAGCCTTACAAAGGAAGGAAATTCTGACACATACTACAAGGATGAACTTTGTAAACATTATGCTAAGTGAAATAAGCCAGACACAAAAAGACAAAGACTGTATGATTTCACTATGTGAGGTACCAAGGTTGTTGCCAGGGGCTGGGAGGAGAAGGAATGGAGAGTTATTGTTTAATAAACACAGAATTTCAGTTTTGCAAGACAAAAAGAATTCTGGAGATAGATAGTGGTGATGGTTGTACAGCAATGTGAATGTAGTTAACACTACTGACCTGTACACTAAAAATTGGTTAAAACAGTAGTTTTATGTGTATTTTACCAAAATTAAAAATAATTTTAAAATGCCCAAAGAGTTTACAAAGCACATTCACACATGTGTCTCATTTGTATCTCATGATAATCTAGGAGATTAGAGTAAAATAGTACTATTCCCACTTCACAGATGAGTATTCTGAAGTCCAGAAAAATTGCCTCCTCATTGTCTGGCACTTGAGAGCTGCCTAAGCCAATACAAAGGCATCCACAGGCTGCCCCAACTCAAGGTCACACAGCAGACATGTTGAGGAATTAAAGCTAAAATCCAGATCTCCTGCTCTACCAACGCTCTGTCTAGTGTATCACAATGCTTGTGGAATGTTCTATAAAGTAAATCACCTTTCATGTGCTAAGTGATGTAGAAATACTACCTGCCTAGCTAAGAGAAAGAAAACAGGCAAGGAGAGAGTGAGAAGCAATGATTTGATTTGAGGAAGATTCCTGCCTCATGATTTAGGTATAGAGGGAAAAACCAACATTTTCTGCCTTATATGGTGGGCATTATTATTATTATTATTACTTTGCAGATGATGATAAAGAAAATAGAGTCCTTAAATCACTTGACCAATTTCACCACGACTTTGAATCCAGGTCTATGTGACTTCTGGGTGCAGGCTCCCACTGCTGGAAATGTAGCCTCACCCTTGTTCCAGAATGGTGTGGTTGCTGACATGTGGCACCCAGGCCTTCTTGCCCCTGGCTAGCAGTCAACTGATTCCTTGCCCAATTCACCTTCTTCTTCCACCATGCCCCCAACCAGGGTACTTGCCCTTTAAAGGGGATGCCATCCTGAAATGCCCTTTCCTCTGAAGGGACCCACCCACCAGCTGCCCTTTCTCCAGCTCCTGACCGGCTCACTCTGCTTGGCCTCTCAGGGTAAGGACAGACATGATATGGAGGCTTCTCTCTTCACCTTCCTTCGCCCTGGCTCACAGAAGGCCTGCGGACTACCTTCTCCAAGAATGGTTGGTCGGTCCCCTGTCTGTCACAGGACTCACACCTCCATGTGACTTCTCAGAGGACAGGAAATCATGTCCAGTCAATCACATCTTTCTCGCAGTCCTGCCCCTCAATCATGAAGGAATGAACCCACAACTGAGGTCCTGGTGCACCTGTCCCACTAAGTCGGCGCTCACCTCCCCAGCTGACAGGAGAGCAGTCAAGGTGCTCTCAGAGCAGGGGCTGAACAGCAGGGGGCCTGAGATGTGGAGCCCCGCCGTGAGTCTGAGAAGTTCTGCACCCTCTGGACTCACAAAGGCACCTCACACCAGTTCTGAGTCAGCTCTTTCTCCCACCTGGCCTCCTTATTGTCTGGCACTTCAGAGCTGCCTGAGCCAAACAAAGGCATCCATAGGCTGCCCTGTTCTAAGAATGCAGAAAGAGCTGAGGCCCCACTGATATGAAGGAGGGGCTCATCGGCCCCTGTGTAATGAACTTGGCTGCAAATGTGACCTCAGCTCCCAATTCCCCATCAGAATTAGTCATTTGGTGGCCTTCATTTCTCAGCATCCAGAACTGGGTAATCTACCAAATGTTAGCCCACTCCATGAATCTGTTGGTAATGAGGTCAGCTTTTGCTTTATTTATTATTAGAGCTGGCAGACCCAAAGGGTAAATCAGTGTTTGAAAAAGCCGATTTTAAAACTTTATGTTTTAAATCAGGTGACACATTGCCAAATGCAGCCTAATAACCACATCATTAAATACAAACTAAAGTCTTTATTTAAATTTATTTTCATCTCACCTTGTCTATAAGGCATAGGGATATAAACGGAATGAGTCTTTAATCCACAAAACAAATTTATCTTCTCTCGTGTTTCTCCCCCAGTCAGCGTCCTAGTGCCTCTGGAAGTTTGTTAGAGTCCCGATCCTGTCTCTCAAAGACACTTTTCAACTCCTACACATCAAAAGCACATTCCTTATTCATCAGGCCTCTACCATGCTAAGCAGTGGGGACGTGAAATTGACATAATTGATGTATTCATGGTCCCTGCCTTCGAGGAACTTACAGACTTGTGTGGAAACAAAAGCAAATCATTATAACATGATAGGCATTGAATGTTGTTCCCAGATATCCTCCCAGTTCAATGCCTCACTTAGTACTGGTCTCCGGTCCTTGTCACCTGAGCGGCAAGGCCTTCCCTGAGTAAAGGGTAGGAAACAGCACCCCCACCTCATCCTTACCCTGCTCTACTTTATTTCGTCCTTTTTTTTTTTCTTTTTTTTTTTTGAGATGGAGTCTGGCTCTGTCACCCAGGCTGGAGTGCAGTGGTGCTACCTCAACTCATTGCAACCTTAACCTCCCAAGTTCAAGCTATTCTCCTGCCTCAGCCTCCCAAATAGCTGGGATTACAGATGCGTGCCATCATGCCCGGCTCCTTTTTGTATTTTTAGTAAGGACAGGGTTTCACCATGTTGGCCAGGCTGGTCTCGAACTTCTGACCTCAAGTGATCCACCCGCCTTGGCCTCCCAAAGTGCTGGGATTACAGGCGTGAGCCACCGCACCCAGCCCTATTCTGTCCTTTTGTCCATAGTGTATATCAACACCCAACACATTCCACATTTCTTGGCTTCTTTGTCTGTCTGTCAGCCCCCACTACAGCCGGGGCAGGGATTGTGTCTGTTTTGTTTACTGCTGTGCCCCCAGCCCCAACCCCGTGCCGGGCACACAGTGGGCACTCACTCAATACTTCCCAAGTAAGACATGAATGGCGGCTGGAGCGGAGGTACAATGTGACTATGGGGCACTGGGAGAGCCCCCATCTTTCTGGGAAGTTGCCCAGGAAGGTTTCACAAAGGAGGAGATGGGCTAAACCAAGTTGTAAGATAGAAATCTACTGGTTGGAGAAGGGAAATTGCAGGTCCATGGTCACAGAGAAATGACACCAAACTGTTTGTGTAGCTGGAATGGGGGTGACTGGAGAAAAGAGCAGAAAATGTGTTAGAGGTATTGGGGGGCTGTGAAGCACCTTGTAAGCCATTGAAAGGGACCTGGACTTTATCTCAAAGATAAACTTTGAAGAAACCCGCGTCGGTGTTTTTAGAATGGGAGGGAAGACTCGCAGGTGAAGTTTCTAGTTCCCTACATCACCCGAGCAGCACAGGTTCCTGCCAGGCCTTCGTCATAGCCAGCCCCCAAGGATGCCTGAGGACCTCTGCCTCCTGGTACTCACACCCCCCTCGTAGCTCCCTGAACACAATGGGGGTTGATTTGCCCAACAGCACATGGCAGAAATCATGGGATGTTGCTTCTGAAACTGCCACTTCTATGTAAGGGGACTCTTCTCTCTCTTGTCTCTTGCTCTGCGGAGAGCCGGCTGCCCTGCTGTGAAGAGGCCTATGGAGAGACCCACACCGCCAGGTGCTAAGGCCTCCAGCCAACAGGAACCAAGGAACCGAGAGGCCCGACAACACCTTGACTGAGCTTGGGAGTGGACTTTCCAGCCCCAGTCAAGCCTTGGGATGGCTGCAGCCTCAGCCCAACAGCTTGAGAGTGACCCTGCGCCAGAAACACTCGCTAAGCAGCTCCCACATTCCTGACCCTCAGAGACTGTGTGAGACAACAAATCGTTCTTGTTTTAAGCCAGCTAAGTCTTGGGATAACTTGTTACAAAGCAATACATTGTTCTTACAGCCTAATTCCCCTCTGAGAGCATCCAGTGATCTCCTGCCTTCAGGACAAAGACTGCAGCAGACATGGAGGGTGTCCCTTCTACAAAGGTTACTAATCAGAGATTCCCAATGAGGTCAGGCAAAAAAGAGGGGGAACTCCAACTCCTCCTCTCCAATGCCCAGCAGGTGGAAAGAATGCCTGGAACTCAGCTTCCCTCTGAGCGAGGGCAGACACAGCCCTTCCTCCGGCTCCTGGGGCTGGCAGCTCTCCCCACCTGGCACTCTGGTCCACGCGGTCCCAGAGGTGCGGTAGAGATGTGAGCACGCAGTCAGTTTTACTGCTTCCCTCCACTTAATTCATGAACTAATCAGAGGACATTGCAGCCACGTCTGCACAACAATAACAGAGAGCAGATGTTTCTGGGCAGGTTTATCTCTTATTGGCACAACACTGGGAGGCTGACCTTTCTCCGCCACATTTATTAAGTGTTATTAACACTTTTAAGAAGGTCGTAGGTACCCAGGTCCTTAGTCAAACTGAGAGATGCCTTCTCAGGGAAGGCTTCCCAATCAGCCACTGCAGGATGCAGCCTGCCAGGGGAGGCTCTAGGGGCAACCAGGTGGCAAAAGAGGGCTCAGCCTGACCCCAGTGGTAATAATAAAAGTATCTCACAAATACCCCAAGAGGTAGCACCGTGTGGTAAGGAAGCCCTGAGCTTGGCTCTCACAAACTCCAATTTCAGCTAGACCATTTAGTTTTTGCCCTTAGGCAAGTTATTTGATTGGTCTGAACCAAGAGTTCTCATCAGGATTGTCGGATTGTCATCAGGTTTAAATAAGAAACTGCAAAGAAAGTGCCGGCCACAGGCTCTGAATATGACGGGTATTAGTCAAGGTCTTCCTGCTAGGATAATTTGTAAAAATCTCATCGCTGCCCCATCCTAATCAGTACACTGTAAATTCTCTTTTTCTTTGTTCCATACACGTAGTAAGCATTTCCAAATAGTACCTGTCATTATGGTCATGTTTTATACTTTCCAAAACACTTTCAATATTCATGAACATGTTAGATCCTAAGATAGCCCTGTAAGGTCTGAGAGGTAGGGACTCTACCCAAGTCACATCAGTGATAAAGGGAAGAGTCGGGACCAGAACCCAGGCTGCCTGATTCCCTGTCCTCTTGCTGCCCAACCCAGCTGTGTCTCTCAGGTCCTTCCTCCTCCTCCCCGTCATCAGACATTTCACCACTTAGGGGGGCTCTCTTGTATGGCTTGTGTGCCATTTCATGTGTATGAGTCCAGATTCTTCAATGGAGGGCAGGTTCTTAACAGCCGGAGCTCTGGGCTTGCCAGCAGACCAGAGGCAGAAGAAATACAGAGGCCCAGGGTGTTTTCCAGGACAGTGGACAAGAAGGAGCCATGTTACAAGGCCCTCCTTAAACACCAACTCACATAAGTTAGAAGTGCTGAAAACATAAACTGCCCCTCTGGGATGCCAAGGGCAGAGGAGGGGAAGGGAAGGAAGGATTGCTGGGTGCCTCCACACATCTGACACCACACACACACACCTCTCTGTGCCTAGCCCCATCTTTATCTCGTCTCTCACCCCTGTGGTAGAGTGTCACTCATGCCGCATCAGTAGGCCCTCTGCTGTCATTTAGGTTTCTATTTGTTCATGCGTGTATTCACACACTCCCTCACACTCAGCTGGGCCCCCAAATGGTCCAGCAGCCTTGTCAACGGACTTAACCATTACCAGCTCAGAGTCCCCACTCCTCTCGGCTTCCCAGCCACCCTGATATCTTTCCCCTCCACAGATCACCCCACCTCCCTATTCACAGAGAGAATGCAGACTATAAGGACCTGGGTTAGGCTACAGTGCCTGAATGTTTGGCCAAACACCAGTCTAGATGAAGGTATTTTTTATATGATTAACATTTAAATCAGTAGACTTTGGGTGAAGCAGATGGCTCTCCATAATGTGACTGGGTCTTATCCAATCAGCTGAAGGACTTACTTAAGAGAAGAAAAAGACTGAGGTCCCCCCAAAAAGGGAATTCTGTCTCCAGACTTCTGCCTTTTGACCTGACCTGCAATCCTCCTTGGGTCTCCAGCCTGCTGGCCTGCCCTGCAGATTGAACTTGCCAGTCTCCATAACCATGTGAGCCAATTCCTTAATATCAGTCAGTCTCAATCTCTCTCTCCACACACACAAATACACACACACACAGAGCTGGTTCTGTTTCTCTAAAGAACCCTAATACACAGCTCTCTAACCCTAAAGCCACCTCCCTAGCACTCCCTTTCGCAAACTCCTACCAATTCTTCAGTATCTGCTCAAACATGACCTGGGGAGCCCTTCTCTGGCTCCTCCAGGCAGAGCTCTTTCTCCTAGACTCAGCATCCTTCCAGCATGAAAAAATGATTAGATGGTGCTGTGATCAGCTCTGTCTGGTGACGCAATTGGCTGTACCTTCTGAGGGTCTAATCCTGATGTTTGTAGCTTCTGCTGACTCATTTGCAGGGGTTGCTTTCCTCTTTGTTATTGAATTTTGGATTGCGAGCTCATTGTCAGTGGGGCTTTTTCTGTGGGAATCCTTTGTGGCCAAGGTAGATGGTTTGTTCACTTGAGGGTTTTGTTTTGCTTCTGTCAGAAACTTCAGGAGCATTACCAGCCTGTGACCACTTTCTATACAAATGTTTTAACTTGGTAATTCTTGGACCAGCAGAGGGTATAAGTTTAAACTTCAAACCCTTTGAGAGTAGTCTGTGGTTATAAAGTCCCAGGGGACAATTTTTTCTAACTCAGAGCCCAGTTTATCCCCTCTACCTATGAGTCAGCTGTTTTACAGTCCTCATTTCACCAAGGGCGTGGCCTTGAAAGCACTGCCTTTATGTGGGGTTCTCAATTCTAACTCTCGCCTAACACAGTTCCAAGGTTTTGCCTCCTATCTTTCCTTGAACAATAAAATCCAAATCCCTGGAATTTCCTGAGGAGCAACACCCCCACTTCCCCACTCCAGGCTGCCACTGCATCCATTCGCACGCTTACCACTTCAGCTTTCAGCTTTCTCTCCGTGTTTGGTCCCTGGTGGTTTTCCTGTTGCTCCTTCTTGCTCAGCTAGCTTCTCAAAAATGTTTGTTATTACATTTTATCCAGCATTTCCTGGTATTTTATAGAAGAGGAGTTTTCATATTATCTAGTCAACCACACTGTCGGAAATAGACATCTGCTGTATTTTAATTATTTGTCTGTGTATCTGTCTACTCCAGCTGGGCTAGACAAGCTTCTTGAGGCAGAACATTTGATGGGTACAAGGGTGGGCTTCAGACCACAGGCTGACTAGACACAAAGGCTGTCTCTGCTCCTTCTTAGCCATGTGGCCTTGTGCAGGTTACCTAATCTCTATGTCCCAGTTTGACCATCAAAAACAAGTGAAAATATCAACATCTACTGTTATGATGATTAAATAAAATATGGAAAAATTTCAAACAAAAACAGGCATATGATCAATCCTCAATAATACTGCTATTATTGTTGGAATAGTACTCAATCTCTAGATGCTCAACAAATATGCACTGAATTTATTATTGTCAACTTTATATCCTCATTGCCTAGCATAGTAATATTGGCCAATCACAGGATTCAATAAATATTTAATGAGTTGATGTGACTAGATGACTAGATGAATGAATGAATGAATGCACCAGCACTTGGACCCACTTTCCCTTCTGTCCCAGGGAAGAGGTATCCCTCCCCTGTGTAAGGCCAATCCTTCCAGCAGCATGCTAGATCCCATTCCTTCCCCTTTCTTCCCATGCCCTCTCTCCCAAAACTTCATCTTCCCTTCTCTCCTTCTCCCCACAATATAAAATGTTCTCATTTCTCCCATGTAACACACACACACGCGCGCACATACACCACCTGTTCTCACCTACCAGCCTAGTTCAAGCTTGCAGACCATCTCCTTTTTTGACCTCCTTAGCCTGAGTTGAAGGCACTAAGCCACTGTTTCCTGCCCTAATTCCCATCCTGGCTCTTAATCACTGCATGATAACAGAGGATGGGGAATATACAGTAGTTCTCCTCTTGTCATCCCCAATACTTACTTACTACAGAGCCTAGCATGCAGTAGGTGCTCAAGAAAATCTAATTTTTATTTGAGGATGCCAGGAGAAAATGCCATGCATGAAACAGGCCCTCACTAGACATCTAATATACTGGCTGTGTAATCTTGGACTTCCCCGCCTCTGGAATTCTGAGAAATATAATAAATTTATATTCTTTATATATTACTCATTCTAAGGTTTTTTTTGTTTTTTGTTTGTTTGTTTGTTTTTTAAATAGCAGTAGGAATGAACTAAGACAATAATCTTCTGACTCAAGGCTCTGGCCGCTAGACCTGTTAGGGCAGAGTTCCTGCCTTCTAGACACACTGGGGCAGAGGCTGAGCCCACAAGGCTCTGAGTGGTCCTGCCCCAAAGGCTTTGGGCAGTCCTGTCCTTTTGGCTTTTTTGGGTACAACCCACACTATAGCCCTCAGAGGTTGAAGTCACATGCTTGAAGCTCCTCTGGACTAGAATCACTGCCATTTCTACCAATCTGTGATCATGAGGGTAGTTCTACCCCTGTGGTTCTACTGGGCAATTGCCCAAGTGGGGGTTCTCCATGGTGATCTCACTCCTGCAGCAATTTTCTGCCTGAGCTCTATGGCTCTCAAGAGCATCCTTTGAAATCTAGGTGAAGGCAGCTATGCCCCCACATACCTGCACCCACTGGAGCCACACCTGGGGCAGCTATAGTGATGGAGATAAGTGCTGATGATCCCTGAAATGTCTTATGGGTCATTCTTCCATTGTCTTGTATAATAGGTCCTGGATTCCACTGAGATAGCATACCAATCTCCCTATCAAAGAGTTACCTGTTTACACCCTTAGTGTTCTCTCTCAACACACTTTCTCATTCTTTACAATACAGATAGACTGGGGATTTTCTAAATATTTAAATTCTCCTTTCCCTTTGATTGTAAGTTCTGTCTTGTTCCATTTCTTTCCTCTCGAATATCACTATAAGCACTCATAAGCCAAGCCACATCTTCAACACTTTGCTTAGAAATTTCCTCAGTCATATATCCAGTTTCATTGCTCACAAGTTAGACCTTCTATATTACAATATTAGAACACAAACACAATTCAGCCACATTCTTTGCCACTTTATAAGAAGGATGTCCTCTCCTCCACTCCTCCATTGTCCAATAACATATTCCTCATTTCTGCCTGAAATTTCATTGGGATGGCCTCTATCTTCCATATTTCTACCAACATTCAGTTCATGACCACTTAGCTAATCTCTACAAAGACTGAAGTTTTCTCTGTGGTTCTCCTCTTTTGAGCCCTCATCAGGATCACCCTTAACAGTCTGTTCTTGGCAATGTAAGTTTTTTCTAGTATGCATCTCAAAACTCTTCCAGCCTCTACCCATTACCCAGTTCCAAAGTTGACTCCACATTTTAGGTATTTGTTAGAGCAGCACCCTCACTTCTTGGTACCAATTTTCTGTTACAGTCCATTTGGGCTGCTATAACAAAATACCATAAACTAGGTGACTTATAAACAACAGAAATTCATTTCTCACAGTTATGGAGTGCTGGCAGATGCAGTGTCCAGTGAGGGCCTGCTTTCTGGTTCATAGGTAGCACATCCAGCTGTATAATCACATGGTAGAAAGAGCAAGGCAATTATCTGGGACTTGCTTTATAGGATACGAATCCCACCAGAAGGGCTCTACCTTCATGACCTAATCATGTCCCAAAGTCCTCACCTCCTAATACTAACACATTAGAGGTTAAGTATACATGAGTTTGGCAGGGGCGGGGCAGACACAAACATTGAGACCATGGCACTTCCCCAGAGTCAAAGTCTCTCACTGCATAAAATATAGAATTAGGCACAAAATACTTAAATGCATACATAGCATAAGAGAACAAATAAATGAAATTCATCCAAAAGAAAGTATACCTTGTCAGCCAGCCTCAAGTAGGACTGGCCAATGGCAGATCTTTGTTTATAAAGGATGGAGCAAGGTCAGAGAAGAGACAGGGCCTGATACAGTGATGGGACTGAGAAACAGTTTGCCACTAAAAGAGGTAACGTGTTTTTAGAAAGGATGGCTAGAGCCAGAAGCTTAACTTTGGGTGACTTCCCAGTTTTGCTGAGGGTCAGCCCTCATTAACTTTCACTATGTGGCATAAACAGATGCTGGGAGTTAAGGTAATTTTATCATGCCACCATCACCCAGGCAGCTCTGTGCTGTAGAATTTGGGAAGATTTTTGTGTGTATGTTTTGTATGCCATGCCTTGACTATATAGGAGGATCATTCAATTCCTTTGCTTCCCTATTGCACCCATGGGGACTGCAAAGCTAGTAAGTGTTTCAATGACTACTTACGGACTAACTGACTAATTGCAGAACTCCTCTGGGTCTAACAACAAAAGTGGGAGCAGGAAGGCCCTGCTAAAATGTATGGGTTTGGGTGTTACCTGGAAGTGAGGGAAATATTTCTCAGCCCATTGCCATTATTTTAAAGAATTAATTATATATTGGTTAAGCTGGGAGGGAGTCATGGCAGTTCCCAGATAGGGAGAAGTGTTGCCCAGAAACTGTTGGTGCAGGCTTTGTCCACCATGGAGCACCACACAGATGTTGTAAGCCTCACTGTCCACAGTCCCAGCTAAACTACACTTCTTGCAGACCCTCAAAAACACCAAGCTGTTAGTAGAGCATACTGAAGTTGACTTCCTATCCATTCCATGTCTCCTTCATTATACAACAGCAACATAATTTAGGGACTGAAACCACGCTCCAGGAATGAGCTCTTATTAGTGTAAGTCAGAGGTCAGCAAACTATGATCTGCTAAATCTAGCCTGCCACCTGTTTTTTGTTTGTATGTGTGTGCATGTCTTTGTTTGATGTGGTCTGCAAGTTAAGAATTGTCTTTACATTATTAATGTTTTGGGAAAAAGTCAAAAGAATATTTCATGACACATACAATTATATAAAATTAAAATATTAATATCACAAATAAAGTTTTATTGGAACACAGCCATGTTCATTCATTTATGTGTTGTCTATAGCTGCTTTTGTGCTATAATGGCAAAGTTTAAAAGTTGTAGTGGCCTCAGAAACAAAAGAATCATAGAGACTATTATGAACAATTTGAACAATTATTTTTCAACCTAGAGGCTGAACAACCGAGAGGAAATGAAAAAATTCCTAGAAAAATGTAACCTACCAAGATTGAATCAGGAAGAAACAGAAAGCTTGAACAGACCAATAGCAAATAAAGAAACTGAAGTAATTAAAAACCTTCCAATAAAGAAAACCCCAGGACCAGATGGCATCACAGCTGAATTCTACCAAACATTCAAGGAAGAATTACTACCAGGGCTTCTTAAACTCTTCCAAAAAATACAGCTAGAGGGAATACGTCCAAATACATTTTACAAGACCATCCTTTTGATACTTAAGCCAGATAAAGACACTGCAAGAAAAGAAAACTACAGGCCAATATCTCTAATTAACATTAATATAAAAATCCTCAATAAAATATAATCAAACTGAATTTAACAACTCATTAATCAGATTATATATCATGACCAAGTTGGATTTATGCCTGGCATGCAAGGCTGGTTTAACATATGCAATTCAATCAGCATGACACATCACATTAATAGAATGAAAGATAAAAGCCACACAATCATCTCAACTGGTGCAGAAAAACATTTAACAAAGTTCAGCATCCCTTCTTGATAAAACCTCTTAACAGTTTAGGTATAGAAGAAAAATTCCTCAATACAATAAAGGCTATGTATTAAAAACCCATAGCTAAACTCATAATCAATGGGGAACAACTGAAAGCTTTTCTACTAAGATCTGGTACAAGGCAGGAATGCCCATGTAACTTCTATTCAGTATAGTATGAAAAGTACTAGTGCTAGCCAGAGCAATCAGATAAGAAAAAATAAAAATAAAAAGGCATCCAAATTCAAATGATCTTTACTTACAGACGACATGATCCTATATGTAGAAAACTCGAAAGTTTTAACCCACAAAAAAAACTGTTAGAATAAATGAATTCAGTAAAGTTGCAGTATACAAAATAAACAAAAATCAGCGGCATTTCTATGTACAAATAATGACTTGGCTGAAAAAGAAATCAAGAAAATGATCCCACAAAAATTGATAGCATCAAAAAACAAAATATCTAGGAATAAATGTAATCAAGGAGGTGAAAAATTTTTACACCAAAAGCTATAAGATGTTGATGAGAGAAATTGAAGAAGATAAACAAATAAATGGAAAGATATCCCATGTTAATGAATAAGAATAATATTGTTAAAATGCCCATACTACCCAAAGCAATACATAGGTTTAATAAAGCCCCTATTAAAATTCCAATGACATTCTTCATAGAAATAGAAAAACAACCCTAAAATTTCCATGGGATCACAAAAAAAAAAAACCCTTAATATCCAAAGCAGTACTGAGAAAGAAAAAGAAAGTTGGAAGCATCACACTTCCTGACTTAAGATTATATTACAAAGTTGTAGTAATCAAAACAGTATGGTACTGGCTAAAAACAGAAACACAGACCAATGGAACCAGAATGGAGAACCCAGAAATGAATCCAAACATAAACAGTCAACTGATTTTTGACAAGGGCACCAAGAGGACACAATGGGGAAATGATAGTCTCTTTAATAAATGGTGCTGAAAAACTGGATTTCCACATGCAAATGAATGAAATTGGACCCTTATCTTACACCACACACAAAAATAAACTCGAAATGCATAGAAGACATAAATGTAAGACCTGAAACCATAAGACTCTTGGAAAAGATCACAAAGAAAAAGCTCCTTGACACTGGCCTTAACAATGATTTTTTTGGATAGCACACCAAAAGCTCAGGCTACAAAAGCAAAAATAAATAAATGGGACTACATAAACTACAAAGCTTCTGTACAGCAAAATAAACAACAAAATGAAAAGGCAACCTACAGACTGGGAAAAAAAATATGTGCAAACCACATATCTGATAAGAAGTTGACATCCAAAATTTATTTTTAAAACTCTTATAAATTAATAGCAGAAAAACAAATAACCCAATTTAAAAATGGGCAAAGGACCAAACAGATGGTTCTCCCAAGAATACATACAAATGGCCAACAGATATATGAAAAAGTGCTCAAGATCACTTATCCTCAGGGAAATACAAATTAAAACCACGATTTCACTTCACAATTGTAAAAATGGCTATTATCAAATAGACAAAAGATAACAAGTGTTGGCAAGGGTGTGAAGAAAAGAGACCTCTAGTGCACTGTTTGGTGGGAACATGAATTGGTAACAGCCCTTATGGAAAATGGTATGGAGGTTCACCAAGAAATAAAAAATAGAACTACCATACAACTCAACAATCCCTCCTCTGGGTATATACCCAAAGAAGATGAAATCACTACCTTATAAAGATATTTCAACTGCCATGTTCATTGTACTATTAATCACAATAGCCAAGATATGGAAACAACCTACATATCCATTGGCAGACAAATGGATAAAGAAAATATAATACACGGATTCCTGGGCAAGATGGCTGAATATGAACAGCTCCAGTCTGCAGCTCCCAGCGAGACCAACGCAGAAGGCAGGTTATTTCTGTGTTTCCAACTGAGGTACCTGGTTCATTTCACTGGGATTGGTTAGACAGTGGGTGCAGCCCACAGAGGGCAAGCAGAAGCAGGGTGGGGTGTCGTCTCACCCAGGAAGTGCAAAGGGTCAGAGAACTACCTCCCCTAGCCAAGGGAAGCCATGAGGGACTGTGCTGTGAGGGACGGTGATATTTGGCCCAGATACTACGCTTTTCCCATGGTCTTTGCAACCCACAGAACAGGATATTCCCTCGGGTTCCTACACCACAAGGCCCCTGGGTTTCAAGCACGAAACTGGGCAGCCATTTGAGTAGACACCAAAGCTAGCTGCAGGAGTTTCTTTCATACCCCAGTGGTGCCTGGAATGCCAGCAACACAGAACCGTACACTCCCCTGAAAAGGGGGCTGATGCCAGGGAGCCAAGTGGTCTTGCTCAGTGGATCCCACCCTCACTGAGCCCAGCAAGCTAGGATCCACTGGCCTGAAATTCCCGCTGCCAGCACAGCAGTCTGAAGTCGACCTGGGATGCTCAGGCTTGGTGGGGGGAGGGGCGTTTGCCATTACTGAGGTTTGAGTGGGAGGTTTTCCCCTTACAGTGTAAACAAAGCCGCTGGGAAATTTGGACTGGGTGGAGCACACCACAGCGCTGCAAAGCCACTGCAGGCAGACTGCCTCTCTAGATTCCTCCTCTCTGGGCAAGGCATCTCTGAAAGAAAGGTAGCAGCCCCAGTCAGCAGCTTATAGATAAAACTCCCATCTCCCTGGGACAGAGCACCTGGGGGAAGGGGCGGCTGTGGGCACAACTTCAGCAGACTTAAACATTCCTGCCTGCCAGCTCTGAAGAGAGCAGTGGATCTCCCAGCACAGTGCTCAAGCTCTGCTAAGGGACAGACTGCCTTCTCAAGTGTGTCCCTGACCCCTGTGCTTCCTGATGGGGAGACACCTCCCAGCAGGGGTCGACAGACACCTCATACAGGAGAGCTCCAGCTGGCATCTGGCAGGTGCCCCTCTATGATGAAACTTCCAGAGGAAGGAGCAGGCAGCAATCTTTGCTGTTCTGCAGCCTCTGCTGGTGATACCCAGGCAAACAGGGTCTTGAATGGACCTCCAGCAGACTTGCAGAAGAGAGGCCTGACTGTTAGAAGGAAAAATAACAAACAGAAAGCAACAACATCAACATCAACAAAAAGGACAACCACACAGAAACTCTATCTGAAGGTCACCAGCAGCAAAGACCAAAGGTAGATAAATCCACGAAGATGAGGAAAAACCAGCACAAAAAGGCTGAAAATTCCAAAAACCAGAATGCTGCTTCTCCTCCAAAGGGTCACAACTCCTCGTCAGCAAGGGAACAAAACCGGACGGAGAATGAATTTGACGAATTGATAGAAGTAGGCTTCAGAAGGTGGGTAATAACGAACTCCTCTGAGCTAAAGGAGCATGTACTAACCCAATGCAAGGAAGCTAAGAACCTCGATAAAAGGTTAGAGGAATTGTTAACTAGAATAACCAGTTTAGGAAAGAACATAAATGACCTGATGGAGCTGAAAAATACAGCACAAGAACTTAGTGAAGCATACACAAGGATCAATAGCCAAACCGATCAAGCAGAAGAAAGGATATCAGAGATTGAAGATCAACTTAATGAAATAAAGTGTGAAGACAAGATTAGAAAAAAAAGAATGAAAAGGAATGAACAAAGCCTCCAAGAAATATGGGACTATAAGAAAAGACAAAACCTACGTTTGATTGGTGTACCTGAAAGTGACGGGGAGAATGGAATCAAGTTGGAAAACACACATCAGGATATTATCCAGGAGAAGTTCCCCAACATAGCAAGACATGCCAACATGCAAATTCAGGAAATACAGAGAACACCACAAAGATACTCCTAGAGAAGAGCAACCCCAAGACACATAATCGTCAGATTTACCAAGGTTGAAATGAAGGAAAAAATGTTAAGGGCAGCCAGAGAGAAAGGTCGGGTTACCCACAAAGGGAAGCCCATCAGACTAACAGCAGATCTCTCTGCAGAAACCCTACAAGCCAGAAGAGAGTGGGGGCTAATATTCAACATTCTTAAAGAAAAGAATTTTCAATCCAGAATTTCATATCCAGCCAAACTAAGCTTCATAAGTAAAAGAGAAATAAAATCCTTTATACACAAACAAATGCTGAGGGATTTTATCACCACCAGGCCTGCCTTACAAGAGCTCCTGAAGGAAGCACTAAAAAGGAAAAAAAAAACAAAAACAAAAAACTGGTATCAACCACTGCAAAAACAAACCAAAATGTAAAGCCCATCAACACTATGAAGAAACTGCATCAACTAATGGGCAAAATAACCAGCTAGCATCATAATGGCAGGATCAAATTCACACATAACAATATCAACCTTAAATGTAAATGGGCTAAATGCCCCAATTAAAAGGCACAGACTGGCAAATTGGATAAAGAGTCAAGACCCATCGGTGTGCTGTATTCAGGAGACCCATCTCACATGCAAAGACACACGTGGGCTCAAAATAAAGGGATGGAGGAAGCTTTACCAAGCAAATGGAAAGCAAAAAAACAGCAGGGTTGCAATCCTAGTCTCTGATAAAACAGACTTTAAACCAACAAAGATCAAAAAAGACAAAGAAGGACATTACATAATGGTAAAGGGATCAATGCAACAAGAAGAGCTAACTATCTAAATATATATGCACCCAATACAGGAGCACCCAGATTCATAAAGCAAGTTCTTAGAGACCCACAAAGAGACTTAGACTCCCATACAATAATAGTGGGAGACTTCGACACTCCACTGTCAATATTAGACAGATCAACGAGACAGAAAATTAACAAGGATATTCAGGACTTGAACTCAACTCTGGACCAAGCGAACCTAACAGCCACCTACAGAACTCTCTACCCCAAATCAACAGAATATACATTCTTCTCAGTACCACATAGCACTTATTCTAAAATTGACCACATAATTGGAAGTAAAACACTCCTCAGCAAATGCAAAAGAATGGAAATCATAACAAACAGTCTCTCAGACCACAATGCAATCAAATTAGAACTCAGAATTAAGAAACTCACTGAAAACTGCACAACTACATGGAAACTGAACAACCTGCTCCTGAATGACTACTGGGTAAATAATGAAATTAAGGCAGAAATAAATAAGTTCTTTGAAACCAATGAGAACAAAGACACAACGTACCAGAATCTCTGGGACAAAGCTAAAGCAATGTTTAGAGGGAAATTTATAGCACAAAATGCCCAAAGGAGAAAGCAGGAAAGATCTAAAAATTGACACCCTAACATCACAATTAAAAGAACTAGAGAAGCAAGAGCAAACAAATTCAAAAGCTAGCAGAAGACAAGAAATAACTAAGATCAGAGCAGAACTGAAGGAGATAGAGGCATGAAAAACCCTTCCAAAAATCAGTGAATCCAGGAACTGGTTTTTTGAAAAGACTAACAAAATAGATAGACCACTAACCAGACTAATAAAGAAAAAGACAGAAGAATCAAATAGACACAATAAAAAATGATAAAGGGGGGATCACCACTGATCCCAAAGAATACGAACTACCATCAGAGAATACTATAAACACCTCTATGCAAATAAACTAGAAAATCTAGAAAAAAATGGATAAATTCCTGGACACATAAACCCTCCCAAGACTAAACCAGGAAGAAGTTGAATTCCTGAATAGACCAATAACAAGTTCTAAAATTGAGGCAGTAATTAATAGCCTACCAACCATAAAAAGCCCAGGACAAGACAGATTCACAGCTGAATTCTACCAGAGGTAGAAAAAGGAGCTGGTACCATTCCTTCTGAAATTATTCCAAACAATAGAAAAAGGGGGACTCCTCCCTATCTCATTTTATGAGCCCAGCATCATCCTGATACCAAAATCTGGCAGAGACACAACAACAACAAAAAAAGAAAATTTCAGGCCAATATTCCTGATGAACATCGATTCAAAAATCCTCAATAAAATACTAACGAACCAAATCCAGCAGCACATCAAGAAGCTTATCCACCATGATCAAGTTGGCTTCATCCCTGGGATGCAAGGCTGGTTCAATATATGCAAATCAATAAACGTAATCCAACACATAAACAGAACCAATGACAAAAACCACATGATTATCTCAATAGATGCAGAAAAGGCCTTTGATAAAATTCAATACCCCATCATGCTAAAAACACTCAATAAACTAGGTATTGATGGAACGTATCTCAAAATAATAAGAGCTACTTATGACAAACCCACAGCCAATATCTGAATGGGCAAAAGCTGGAAGCATTCCCTTTGAAAACCAGCACAAGACAAGGATGCCCTCTCTCACCACTCCTATTCAACACAGTATTGGAAGTTCTGGCCAGGGCACTCAGGCAAGAGAAAGAAATAAAGGGTATTCAAATAGGAAGAGAGGAAGTCAAATTATTTCTGTTTGCAGATGACATGATTGTGTATTTAGAAAACCCCATTGTCTGAGTCCAAAAACTCCTTAAGCTGATAAGCAACTTCAGCAAAGTCTTAGGATACAAAATCAATGTGCAAAAATCACAGGCATTCCTATACACCAATAATAGACAAACAGAGAGCCAAATCATGAGCAAACTCCCATTCACAATTGCTATAAAGAGAATAAAATACCTAGGAATACAACTTACAAGGGATGTGAAGGACCTCTTCAAGGAGAACTACAAACCACTGCTCAAGGAAATAAGAGAGGACACAAACGGAAAAACATTCCATGCTCATGGATAGGAAGAATATCATGAAAATGGCCATACTACCCAAAGTAATTTATAGATTCAATGCTATTAACATCAAGCCACCATTGACTTTCTTCACAGAATTAGAAAAAATTACTTTAAATTTAATATGAAAGCAAAAAAGAGTCCGTATAGCCAAGGCAATCCTATGCAAAAAGAACAAAGCTGGAGGCATCATGCTACCTGACTTCAAACTATGCTACAAGGCTAAAGTAACCAAAATAGCATGGTACTGGTACTAAAACAGATATATAGACGAATGGAACAGAACAGAGGCCTCAGAAATCATGCCACACATCTACAACTATCTGATCTTTGACAAACCTGACAAAAACAAGCAATGGGAAAAGGATTCCCTACTTAACAAATGGTGGTGAGAAAACTGGCTAGCCATATACAGAAAACTGAAACTGGACCCCTTCCTTACACCTTATACAAAAATTAACTCAAGATGAATTAAACACTTAAATGTAAGACCTGAAACCATAAAAACTCTAGAAGAAAACCTAAGCAATACCATGCAGGACATAGGCATGGGCAAAGATTTCATGACTAAAACACCAAAAGCAATGGCAACAAAAGCCAAAATTGACAAATGGGATCTAATTAAACTAAAGAGCTTCTGCATAGCAAAACAAACTATCATCAGAGTGAACAGGGAACCTGTAAAATGGGAGAAAATTTTTGCAATCTATCCATCTGACAAAAGGCTAATATCCAGAATCTACAAGGAACTTAAACAAACTTACAAGAAAAAAACAAACAACCCCATCAAAAAGTGGGCGAAGGATATGAACAGACTCTTTGCAAAAGAAGACATTTATGTGGCCAACAAACACATGAAAAAAAGCTCACCATCACTGGTCATTAGAGAAATTCAAATCAAAACCACAATGAGATACCATCTCATGCTACTTAGAATGACGATCATTAAAAAGTCAGGAAACAACAGATGCTGGAGAGGATGTGGAGAAATAGGAACGTTTTTACACTGTTGGTGGGAGTCTAAATTAGTTCAACCATTGTGGAAGACAGTGTGGCGATTCCTCAAGGATCTAGAGCTAGAAATACCATTTGACCCAGCAATCCCATTACTGGGTATATACCCAAAGACTGTAAATCATTCTACTCTAAAGATACGTGCACACATATGTTTACTGCAGCACTATTCACAATAGCAAGGACTTGGAACCAACCCAAATGCCCATCAATGACAGACTGAATAAAAAAAAAATGTGGCACATATACACCATGGAATACTGTGTAGCCATAAAAAAAGAATGAGTTCGTGTCCTTTGCAGGGACATGGATGAAGCTGGAAACCATTATTCTCAGCAAACTAACACAGGAACAGAAAACCAAACACTGCATGTTCTCACTCATAAGTGGGAGTTGAACAATGAGAACGTTGGGCACAGGGAGGGGAACATCAGACACTAGGGCCTGTCGGGGGTTGGGAGTCTAGGTGAGGGATAGCATTAGGAGAAATACCTAATGTAGATGACGGGTTGATGGGTGCAGCAAACCACCATGGCACATGTATACCTATGTAACAAACCTGCACGTTCTGCACATGTATCCCAGAACTTAAAGTATAATAAAAAAGAAAAGTATATATATATATGTATATATATGTTTATATATGTATATCTATGTTTATATATATGTATATATATGTTTATATATATATAAAATATTCCATTGTGTGTATATATATATTATTCAACTTTAGAAAAGGAGATCTTGCTATTTGTTACAACATGGACGGACCTAGAGAACAATATGCTAAGTGAATAAGCTAGACAGAGAGACAAATATTGCATTATCTCAGTTATATGTAGAATATTTTTATAAAGAAGAACTCACATACACAGAGAATAAAACAGTGGTTATCACAGGTGGGGATAAGGGGGAGAAGAAACAATAGGGAGACATAAGTCTAAGAATACAAAATGGCAGGTATGTAGGATGAACACGTTTAGAGACCTAACGTACAATGTGAGGATTAAAATCTACTTATTTAACAAAAATCTCTAATATAAAGTGTGTTATATTAGAGATTTTTGTTAAATAAGTAGATTTTAGCTGCTCTTGTCATAAAAAGTATGTGTGATAATAGACATGTTAATCTGCTTCACTATAGCAACCATCTTACTATCTATATGTATCCCCTAACATCATGTTGTAAGCCTCAAATATATACAATAAAAAATTTATTTTAAAAAAAGATTCTAGGAAAAAAAGAAGTCATAACAGAGACCATATGGCCCACAAAGCCTAAAATATTTACTATCTGGCCCTTCATGGAAAAACTCTGCCAATCGCTGGGTCTAAGTCAATCACAGTAATCCCATTTCCCTTACCAGTATTTTGGTTTGTTTTGTTTTGCTTTGCTTTTAAGAACCCAGACTAAGTCAATCAGAGCCAGGCATTCCCCCATGACAATAATCAGTTCAGGGTGGTTAAGTGAGCCAGATTGGCCCCATTAAGACTTGAGGGAAGACTTTGGTTCTTACTCTCATGTTAGACTTGAAAAAAAAAAAATGCTACTGATAGCCCACAATACAATACAAAGGGAATCCAATCTTGGGAGAAGCCAATCTTGGAGAGAAAGCCAATCTTGGGAGAAAGCTGAGGCTGTGGACAGTGGAGTGAAGAGACTGGAAAGCCTGAATCTGATGTCCCTGAGCCACCAGGACAAACAATGCTGACAGCCTCCCTGGCCCCTGCCTGCCTCTAGACCTCCTACTGTGGAAGCCAATTCATTTACTTGGCATTTTAGCTGCTTTCGGTTTAGTTTTCTGTGACTTGCAACCAAAAGCTTCTCTCTGACCCTGACCATTTGCACATACTGTTCCCTCTGCCCAGAAAGCTCTCCACTCCCCAGCTCTTGCTTGCCTGGCTAACTTCTACTACTCATCTATCAAGCTTCAAAATAAATAGCAGTGTCACAGGAAGGCCATCCTGTGGCCTCCTGGACGAAGTAATATCCCTGTGCTATGCACCATCCCTGTCCACAGTACCCTTGACTCTCTCTTTTGTAACACACATCACTTATCTATTATTATGTGTTTATCCCTGCCTTCCCTGCTAGTCTTGGATATAAGCCAAGGCCATGCTTGTCTTGTTCTCTACTGTATCCCCAGTGCCTAGCACAGTGCCTGGCAATTAGGTGCTGACTAAACTGCACAAGGAACAGCATTTCCCAGACTATGTTTCACGGAATACCAGTGTCCCTTGAGAAGTTGGTAGATAAGACACCAAGACACTCCCATTTATAGATGCCCACTATAGACCAATTAACAGCTGGTGATTATTTTTAGCTGCCCTCTCCCTTTGTCTTCTGTAATGTTTCACTCCAGTGTCCTGAATAGACTATATATTATTAATAGATGGTCACCCTCTTGTTATTAGAAGTTCCAGGTGTAACACCTAAATAATTTCAAGAATCATTTAGATGATTCTAAGCAGTGGCCTTTACTACGGGATTTCTCAGAGACACGGTTACAGTGCTGACCCTGCAATGGTGCCACGGGAGGTGGGCAATGCTGGAGCCCTGGTTATGAGCCTCTAAGAGGTGAATATATATAAAATGCAGCATTTCCCAAACTTATTTGATGGCACACTTTTCTCTAAACCAAGTAGCATCTTACGAGACTCTAGAGCTGGAAAAAAAGAAAAAAAAGTTTATGAAACCTACTGGCTTAGGGCCTTTGGGAAAAGACAAACGTAGAGGCAGAGCATGAAGAAGCCCTCTGAGGTATCCGTAGAAATCAACTGATTTGCTAAAGACTCCAGAATCACAGATGTTAGGCACAGGGGCCCCCCAGGTCCTCAGGATGGGTACAATGAAGCAGAGTGAAAGAGAGGGGTGTAGGGTCTTGCACCCACTGTTCTGCTGCATGGGATCGTGTGCCACCTTGCTTCCAGAGTGGTGTGAGGGGCATGGACTGTGCTGCACTGAGCCTTAAGGAATGCCCAGGGAAATGGATGCAGAGGGGTCACCTGGGGGCCAAGTGATCCCCACTTGGCATCTCAGCCTAACGCCCACTCCTGGGCTAGGAGCTAAAACCAATCCAAGAAGCTTGGACATCAGTCTCTACATCATCAATCCCATGGACTGTAAATAATTTGCAGTCTCTCACTGAGGCAGAGCCAAGGACTGCTCCAGTGGAGAAGCTGAAGCTTCAGGTTCCCTTCATGTTTTCCCAACACACCCTGTGCGGGGTGGGAACGGAGTGATCCTGCCCTCCGAAGCCCAGAGGGAAGGAATCCCATGGAATCCCCCAATCCAAACTCTCCTCCGCAGATAACTGAGACTTAGTAACGGCCCCTGATCACTGAGGGAGAACTGGTGGCTCCATGCCCAATTCGGCAAACCAGTATTTCTAGAGCCCAAGCCCTATTTTGAAATCCAAAAAAATAAAATATAGGGGTCTGGAAGAGATTGAGGTTTCACTGCCTTCTGCCAGACCCAGGGAACTCTTCTCCCTTTCACAGCTGTGGAGGTGGACAGATTCTCTAGAAAGAGATATTAATGGCTACTGAGCCCTCCCTGGGCCACATGTCATCCTTGCTATTTTCCATACTCTAAGTCTTTTTGCCTCCCAACCCCACCGTGTGACAGGTAGTACTATCACCCACATTTCACAGATAAGGCACGTGAGGCTCAGAGAAGTCAGAGAACTTGCCCAAAGACACAGCCAGAGAGAGACAGAGCTGAGGTTTGGCTAAAAGCCCATGCTACTCCCATTGGCCACACCACCTTCTGGACGCCCCAAGGCAGGTATCCTGGCCCAGCAGACACAACCTCACTTATGCTGCCCAGTGGCCCTTGACATTTTTATCTCCCTAGAGGCTGCTTTCAGGGAGTCCAGCAGTATCTCTGTGGGGCTGGTGGCTCCTAGTGGCCAAGTGTGTGCCTCCAAAACCTCTCAGGCCAACTCTGGGAGTCTCTTACCCTGCTCAGTGAGGAGGCAGCTCCACGATGCTGCTGCTGTGTCAGTGAGAAAAGACACTCACGGGCCATCAAACTGATGAGCACACACTTGATTCACTCAAGGGTGAAATCCTTCACCTCCTTCAAGATCAGAAAAATCAGCTCCACTGACCTGTGTTCTTCAGGCAGGAGGCAAGCTGGGCAGGGGCTGGCTGGGCTGGCTGCAGGTGCACAGCACAGTGGGAGGTGGTTGAAAGAGAGATGAGTTATCCAGGCTGCAAAAAGCCTGCAGAGAAGCTGCCAGGGACAGCCCCACCTGTGTCCCAGCCTCAGGGCCTGGATGCTCCCCTATACTTATTCCCTGCCTCTTAAATAATAAAAACATCCAGGAGTCTCAGTGTCAGGATCTGAGCTCTGTGTCCCCTATAGATCAATGGAAAATATGGAAGATCCACAGGATGAGACTACTGGGGTCCATTTGCACAAGAGACAAAAGGCAGTGATGGTAAACTTAGTTTAAGAGTTATGAAGAGTTGACAGGAAGAGAAATAATTTGGAGTCCAGTATGGCTCATGGACCTCAGCCCTTTGAGCCAAGTCTTAGAGAGCATGCAATAAAGAACAACCACAAACAAGAGAGGGGTTTTCTTTAGGATACTAGGCTTTTAAGGCAGCCCAGTTTCCTTCCCTGTAGGGCAGTATGTGGCACAGGACACTGGGGAACATTTTACCCCCATCAGAACACCACAGAGGCCTTAAGGGTCAAGAGTTAGAGATGGGCACAGAGCCCCTGGGATCCACAGAGGGGCAAGAGCAGGCTAGGACATGGGGTCCCAGCCATCTTGCTGGAGGGGGAGGAGCATAGTATATAGCGTGGGCACACACATGTCTGACAAATGAAAATATACCTTCAGACTATTATTCCTAAGGGTGGTGTAGCCTGGAGAAACCAACGTTGCAACAGCAATGCCATATATTGGTTTAGGGTGGTGCAGGTGACCAAGTGCTCAACCATCCTGGGGCAGATAGCATCAGTCCTACCTGATGAGGGACACCAAGCTTACACTGCTGGGATCCAGTCAGGTCTGGAGTCCAACACACAGAACAGAGTCTCATGATGCTGGAGACAGAACACCTCTGTCCTAATCCTAATCTCAAAAATTAGTAATTGTCACTCTGGGCAAGTCACTTAACCTCCCCAAGTTACAGTTTCCTCATCTGTAAATGGTGACAATAATAGTTTACCTACCAGGCTATCATGAGATGATAAAATGTCCTAGACTCTTCCAGGAGCAGCAGAAGGCATCCACCCCAACTCTCCCTGGAGGGTAGGAGGGCAAGGCCAATCACATTGTCTGTTAGCATGGAAATAAAAGCCATAAAGGCTTGAGGGACCTTCACAAGCAGGCTCTTTTCCTAAATAGTTTTCATTGTTGATTTGCATAGTAAATTATTTTTATTATTATTATTATTATTATTTATTATCTTTGGTGTTTTTTTATTTTTTTGAGACAAGGTCTTGCTTGCCTCTGTCACCCAGGGTGGAGTGCAGTGGTGTGATCACCACTCACTGCAGCCTCAGCCTCCCAGGCTCAAGTGATCCTCCCACCTCAGCCTCCCAAGTAGCTAAGACTAAGTGCTGCCATGACTGGCTATTTTATTTTTCTTCAAATTTTTTGTAGAGATGAGGTCTCACTAGGTTGCCCAGGCTCATCTTGAACTCCTGGGCTCTAGCAATCCTCCCACATCGGCCTCCAAAGTGCTGGGATTATAGGTGTGAGCCACCGAGTAAATGCTTTTTAAACAGTTAGCTCTTCCTTCCCCAGGGCTCCCTGAGCACCTGGCTCTGCCATTAGCGCTCAGGCCCTTGGCTCCCATGGTGCAATTGTGTTCTCCTCACCACACACTGTGGCTGTAAAGGCAGGACTCAGCTCTGTTCACCTCTCTACCCCCAGGGCCTGGCACAGTCTTTGACTATAGACAGTCTCAATAACTGTTGAAAGAATAAACTTTGAACCTCTGCCCTGACCCATTCCAAATTACCAGAGTCCAAATTAATGATGTTTCATTGTAATTAACACTGACATCGTTTGCAGTTCGGATTCAGATGTGTTCCTTCAAAGGACACTGTGAAGAAAGTAAAAAGACAGCCTACCAATGACAGAAAATATTTGCAAATCATATAAATGATAAGGGGTTATACCTAGAATATAGAAAGAACTCTTACAACTTAATAAAAAGACAAATAACCCAATTAAAAAGGGGCAAAAAATCTGAACAGACAGATCTCCAAAGATGATATAAAAATGGTCAGTAAGCACATGAAAAGATCCTCAACATCATTAGACTTAGGGAAATACAAATCAAAACCATGTGAGACAGAATGCAGAGAAATTAGAACCCTCATACATTGCTGGTGGGAATGTAAAACGGGGCAGCCACTTTGGAGAGCAGTCTGGAGTTCCCCAAAGGATAAAATATAGATTTACCATATGATTAGCAATTCTACTCCTAGGTATATATCCAAGAGAATCGAAAACATGTGTCCACCTAAAAACATATACATGAATGTTCACAGCAGCATCATTCATAATAGACAAAAAGTGGAAAAAAACCCAAATATCTATGAACTGATTAACAAATAAAATGTGGTAGAGCCATACAATGGAATATTATTCAGCCATGAAAGGAAATGAATTATTGACACACGCTACAACCCGGATGAGCCTTGAACACATTATGCCATGTGAAGAATGCCAGACACAAAAGGCCACACATTGTCTGATTCCATTTAAATGAAATGTCCAAGGGCCAGGCACAGTGCTTCACGCCTATAATCCCAGCACTTTGGGAGGCTGAGGCAGGCAGATGATGAGGTCAAGAGTTCAAGACCAGCCTGGCCAATCTACTAAAAATACAAAAATTAGCTTGGCACGGTGGCGGGCGCCTGTAATCCCAGCTACTTGGGAGGCTGGGGCAGGAGAATCACTTGAACTCGGGAAGTGGAGGTTGCAATGAGTCAAGTCACGCCACTGCATTCCAGCCTGAGTGACACAGCAAGACTCCGTCTCCAAAAAAAAGAGAAATGTCCAAAATCCGCAAATCTAAAGACACAGAAAGTACATGAGCAGTTGGCAGGGGCTGGGATGAATGGGGACAATGAGGAGTGATAGCTCAAGGGGATGGGCTTTCTTCTTGGGGTGCTGAAAAAATTGGAAAAGTGATTGTGATGAAGCTTGCCTAACGGTTAAATACATTAAAATACATTAAAAACCATTACACTGTGCACTTTAAATGGGTGCATTATATGTTATGTAAATTCATCTCAGCACAGCTGTTTAAAAAACAAAACAAAAAGGAAAAACAGATTCTGGTGTCTTCGTTATTCTCAAGCCTCTAATTTTGAAAGACAAGGGCCGGCATCATCTCTTACCTGTTGTCTCCCCCACAGCACCTAAGATTGGGCTGGATGTAGAATAACTACTCATATATTTGTTGAATTGAAAATGATGACTGTTTTGCCAAAAAAGGAAAATAGGGTATGTAGTCTCTCATTCAAATTCAACACCATCAGGGAAACAGTCTCCTAAAATCTACATAGGACTTGTTGGGATACGCATGATCCCAATTTTACAGAAAAGGAAACTGAAGGTCACTTAAATTGCTTGTCTGAGGCCGCTCAGCCAATGAGTGACAAAGGTAGAATTAGGTTCTAGTCTCTCCTGACCTGTTTGATTTTCCCACCCTAATTCACTTTGTCTTCCCCTAGCCACCCTGCACACACACACACACACACACACACACACACACACACACACACACAGAGTTGTGTTGTCTGATTGCTCAACTGCTGGCCCAGGCTTTGGCCTCTGCTCCCCAGCCTTAAGCCGGAGGCCCCTCAGGCTCCGCACCAAATTCTTCCAATTCACCTGCATTTCTATTCTGCTCTGAATAAAGTTGGGCAAAACTCCAGAGCTTTCTTGCCCATTTTCTCCAAACCACCCATCCGTGCTCAGCTGCTCTCCTGTAAAGGACACGATGAGGTGAGCAGTGATGCCTCATTCGGGAGTCCCCATCCAGCTGAGCACCATCTTCCCTCAGGACCACTTCCTTGAAGGCCACAAGGGAGAGGGTGGGACTGGCCCACGAGGAGGCACCTCCAGGCCATCTTCCGGCCTAGGCCCACGGCTGTGCTCTCCTGCCTCCGTCCCTCGCTTGGAGGGAGCCTCCTCTGACTTGACTATGGAGGAGGGTGAACAGGCTTAGAAACCCACTGTGGGTCACTAATCACTGCTATGCTTCATGCCTCAGCTGTGCAAACAGTGACAACAGGTGGCCCTCGAGCAGAGCCAAAGAGGAGCAAGGCCAGTGTAGACAGCTTTGGGCTGGGGGGCAGGAGACTGGGTCCCCACCCTGACCTGTCTAAAAAGCTGTGTGCTCCCTCCTCCCTGAGAGCTGCAGGGAGGGTGGAAAGTAAAATCAACTAATGAAAATGGGAAAACTTTAAAAGGAATGAAAAAACATAAACTAGATGATGTTTAAGGGGCATCAGGCCAACACTGTTAAACTCTCTTTGACTGTGAGAAGACCCTCTGGGCTCAGGGAAGGGGTGGATCTCTCCATTTCCCACCCAAGCTGGGGTCACTATGGCTTTTGTAACAGCTCTTAGACAGGGGCCTGCCCACCTTGGCGGGCTGTGTGACTCTGGCTGTGGCTCTGTCCCTCCAGATGTCAGTATCAGATCATGGGGGGGCTCTGCTGACGTGGCTTCCCTAGCAAGGTTACAGATTCTGCTCTGACCCAGTTGCCTCAAAACTCTGCAAGTAGAGTTGTGGCTTCATTTGCAGGGATCTCTTCCTAAAAACAGCAGCCTTTTGAGACTGAAGAGCTAGATTTTAAATCAGACCTCCTGCTCCCTGGCTGACAGACTTGGGCAGGCCCCGGTTGCCCTGAGTGTCTGTTCCTCACTGGTCACAAGAAGTTGGTGATCTCTTCTTCACAGGTTGTGGGAGGATGCACGAGACCCTTCACAGGTTGTGGGAGGATGCTGGTCAGGGCTTGGTGGGGTGCACAGCTGCCCTGTCACCCTGCAGGGAACACCCGGCATCTTACTATTAATAGCTCCTCCAGCTCACACCTTGGAAGAGGGTCCTCAGAGGGTGTCTCCCCACCCCCCAGCCGCAAGCTGGTGGTACAGATTCCTGAGATCCCCTCCCGACATACCACAGCAGCCTTGGCAAGGAGATCCAGGAACCTTCACCGGGAGAAGCTTCCCAGGATCATCCTCCCACTCAGCACCGAGGACTGCTGCTGAGGGGAGCACAGGAGCCAGCCCGGAAGCCCAGCAGGGCTTGGGAGGAAGGAGCAGGCCCTTCACCGAAGATGCTGCTGACGTCAAGTCAGCACAGAAGGTCTAGAGAAACCTGCAGAATCGTTTCCTGGTGGGAACATGGTCTGCTTTTATTGCATCCAGGTGGCTGTCCGACTGTGTGTCTGACTTGTCTGCTTCCTCCAGAACCTGGGCCCAGAAACCTGCCCTTCCCCCAAACCCACCCAGAGCCTGGCAGGGAGGGGCTCCTGGGGACTCTATGCAGAACCCAACAAAGCAATCACTTCCCTCTCAGAGCACAGGCTTATGGGAGTCTGCTTGGCAGCCTTATCGGCCATTTATTTTATTTATTTTATTTCATAAAGCTACCGATAGGACTTCCTATGCAAATGACTCCCAGATGAGATGCAAATTGGGATTTGGAGCCAAGAACCGCTAAGGCTTTTTTGTTTTTCCTTTTTCTTTTCTTTTATATTGGAATGGCACTGTGGCACCTCCTGCCTCTTCCTCTGCCCTCTGCCTGGCAGCTTCCTTGCCACGTGCTTCCCACTGGCAAGGCTCTGCCTGCCCCTGCCAGGCACGGGTTCTGAGCTGACCACAGAGAGCTTGTTAATTGTGCTTGAAGTAGGGAGTCTGGGTGGTGAGCAAGCCTGGGGGGCCATGCCAAGGTGAAAAGAATCGCTCCCTCTCTACTGCGCTTCTCACACTGGGGTCTTCCCACCCTGTGTCCCCTGTACACAGGTCAACTTAGATGCAGGTGTGCAGACAGGAACCCTCCGCAATTAACTTTCACGTTGCAAAAGGCTTTACTGCACATGTGTTCCTCAGGAGCCTATAGATCTGGGTTCAAATCCTGACACAACCACTAACCCACTGTGTGATCTGAATTTAATTTATCCGAGTTTCACTTCCTCATCTGTGATGAGGGTAACAATGCCTACTTTCTGATTTGGTGAAGAGTCCATGGAAGCATCTGTCCAAGGTACTCAGTCCAGCATCCATTACAAAATAGCTCATCAATAGATTATTATGACATTAATTAAATGGAACACAGAGTACCTCACTTTGGAGAGCCTGTGTTCTAGATGAGGAAGTAACAGAATGATAGAAACAGAGGTTTCCAGGCCGGGGGTGGCAGCTCACGCCTGTAATCCCATCACTTCGGGAGGCCAAGGTGGCCAGATCACTTGAGGTCAGGAGTTTGAGACCAGCCTGGCCAACATGGCAAAACCCCTTCTCTACTAAAAATACAAAAAAATTAACCAAGCACGGTGGCACATGCCTGTAATTCCAGCTACTTAGGAGGCTGAGGCAGGAGAATCACTTGAATCCGGGAGGCGGAGGCTGCAGTGACCTCAGATCACACCACTGCACTCCAGCCTGGACCACGGAGCGAGACTCTACATCCCCAGCCTCCAAAAAAAAAAAAAAAAAAAAAAAAGAGATTTCTAGTTTGTAGATCCCTTTTTTATAACCAGGGCAGGATTAGGGTGTACCAAGACTATGTCTTGGCAATTTGTTTTTTTCAATTCAGTGAACATGTTTTAATGACTACTGTGCGGGGACCAAATGAGAAACACTTGGCACTCAGGCTTAACACCCCCTCTTTCAGGGTTGCCATTGCCAGCCTGGGAGTCAAGAGCCACAGGTCCTGTCTCAACTCTGCCACAAAGTAGCCTGTGAACTCCAGCAAGTCACCTTCCTTCTCTGCCTCTGTTTCTTCACCTGTAAAATGAGGAGGCTAAACCAGGACCTCTGAGGCTCCTTCCAGTGCTAAAATTGGATTTTCTACCCAAGGCTGCTGGCCTGCCTTCTCTCCCTCACACAGCTAACAAAGCACATTAACAAATGGTTCTTGCATACATAGAAAACAACCCTAAACTCAGGACCCACTGCCAGATTGATTTATCTTTCTAATCTGTCAGCAAAAAATTAATAGCATAAAAGTAAATTTTAAAATGATTCTGAAACTTCCCCCCGCCCACCGCTGAGCCCATCAGTCCTTCTGTGGAGTCCCACCAAGGCTGAGATGCTGAAGGTTGTGCTGTGGGGCCCCTCCTCTACAACTGGCCTTCAAAAGAGCTCCCTACCACAAAGCAGCGCTGGCATTATTTACCATCTTCCTGCTGTCTGTCCTCTCAGAGGCTGTGCTCATTGTGCTTGGCTACACCCTCAATTCTCAGCTGGACGAACCCAGGCCTTTTGGTGTGATTCATTCTGGGGAGTTCCTCTGCTCTGTCTTGCACCTTCTCTTCCTGCCTGGAAAGCTCTACGGATTGCTCTGAGCCCAGCAGCCCAATGGCTTCCACAAAAGTGGGTGGCACAAGGACAGAAGTAGGACTGTTTGCTTCCCTGTGGCTCCTCGACACCATATGTGAGCTGGGCAGATAGAGGCTCTCGGGGCCCTGTTGCTGGCCCCCTCTCCCGACACCTGCCCATGGTGCCCTAGCCACAGAAGAGAGGAGGGGGCTTCTTTCTAGCCTGGCACCACAGCTACCAGTGTCCAGAGATCATCTACTTTGGAGTCCTGGAGTGATCTGTGTCTTTTCCCAGTTAGATCAGCAGAAGACTGGGAGGATGTTGGGAGTGGGATGGGGTGGGGGGAATGTTGGCAGAACTCCCCTGGGGCAAAAAAAAAGTACTATAGGGCCAAGCAGGGATCCAACTCTGCCTACAAAATCCCAAACCCACCAGAGCTTTCTTGTTCCTGCTTAAATGTACCCACCTTAGCAAATGTCTAATCCTCACAAATCAGCAGGAGGAGGAGATAGTAGGTTAAATAACTTAAAAATGGCCATAAAGCCTGGATCAAAAAGTTAATGGGTTCCCACTTCTAATTCATTTGACTTGGCTTTGTGGCTGTAGCACCACTATTTTTGAGGAGACCTTAGAAAAGCTACCCAGGAACAACAGGCAGATTTCCCTAACGGTCTTGGGCAGATGGAAGGCTGCAGCTTGCCTAGCCTCTCCTTCAACTCCCGAAGGGCCCTGGGCAATTCGCTGTCCTGTGGTTTCAATAGAAACCTTATCTTTTTCATGCAAAGAGCAAATGGTGACCAGGGAGGGCTTTACAGAGGGATTGGGTGCTGAGTGCCACTGTGAATGGTCACTAGGTGTGAGGTATAGGGGGAGGCCATTTGCCATTGTGGGGAAAAACCAAGTGCAAATGCCAGAGTCAGCAAAACACAGGCACGTTTCATTCCTTCCTCACTCTCTTCTATAGCTGTTCATTACTCTCCTCTGTGCCAGGTGCTTCCTAGACTTGGAGACACAGCCATGAGGTCACCAGTGCCTGGGGGAGAGTGGAAACTGTGGGTCTGGTAGCAGAGGCTGTCCCCTTACCCACCCGCTACACAGCAGCACCCTACTCTCATCTCCCCACAGACATGGGGCCTGCGTACATCAAGGAGAGGTTTCAAGGTGATAAATAAAAGTGAGGAAAAATGAGGTGCAAGAAGAAGACAGAATCAATTATTCCAAGCAAATTAAAAGTGCTTGGCAGGGGGTGGAAGGAGATGGGAGGTGGAAGGGAGAGTCTGGGAAGGTTTCCAATGGACACAACAGCCAAGTGCTAGAGGAGGAGGGACGCAGGGAGAGAGGAGGGTTTAACCTGTCGGCCAGCTTCTCACAGACCACCTCGGGAGACAAACACCAACTCCCCAGCCAAGGTCTTGGTGGTGAACAGAGAGGCTGAAGGCTGCTCCTCAGAGCAGAATCACAGTCCCCAATGGCGCTTCTTAGAGAGGATATTGAATTAGCTACATTAATCCACAGAGGCGCCTGGCAGTGATAAGCGTAATTAAACCACTTAGTTGCTGGATCATGGGCTTGGGTTATAAATAGTCAAGTTTACTCATCACGGCCCTCACCCTGAATCTTGTTTGAAGAGCACACTTGGAGAGGGTGAGGCTTGAAAACTGGTGTGTGTGTGCATAGGTTTGCATGTGTGCGTAGCCACGCACACGCAAAGATTTTGTGCCAGGCCCTAAGCTGACTTCTAGACACTTTGATAAAATTCTGATTAAAATTATTTGACAATAATGTTCACAATATTAACCACAATACCAAAAATATTAACAGTACTACTGAGCTATGCTCAAAATAAATCACTAAGCGAAAATACCACAAATGGGAACGGCGCATAGAACAAGGAACCCTGGCAGCCTCTTCTCCCTCCTTCACCTCGTATTGTTCTGAAGACCTCCAAAGTAATTTCTAAAGTCCTAGCTATCTGTCTAAGCTTTTCATCAGCCTCAAACTACCTTAACACTCCTGACTTTACATCTAGGGTAATCCGTTTATGGGGTTTTGGACTTTTTCCATCACTTCTGGCTTCCTTCCAGACATTTTCATCACTGCTAACACTGACTCGGTTTGTCACACACCCTAGCGGGGGAGGAGACTGGGGCAAGTCAAGACAGGCTGGGGATGCGCAGGTCTGGCTCAGAACTGAAGTTGCCCAGTGCCTGTTGGGACGTGCAGTTAATCAGCTTCCAACAAATGTGAACTAAAGACCAGCGGATTAATAGGATGTGCTGAGGAAGAGCCTTCTGCTCACTCACTAATTGTTTGTTTATTTAACTGATGATCATACTATACTCATTAGGGGTTGTTAGAACATCAAGGCAGTAGGTCTGCTGATACTGAGAAAGGCTTGAGTTTGTGGGCCTGAATTGTGAGAGTTTGGCGACAGCACGCACCTGTTATTTCAGGGATGCCATACCTCACAGAGCTACCAATTACTGAGTGCTTACTCAAAAAAAGCCAGGGATGATCTCATTTCATTCTTAGAGCAAGCCCATCGTCCCTGGCTCAGAAGGGGATGTGGTTTGCACAATGTCGCACAGCTTACCAGTGGTGGAGTCAGGATTCCAACTCCATAGTCTTCAACATTCTGCTGAATTTTCCCATCCTCCAACCTTTGCTTCCGTGGGTAGTGACTGCATTCATTCAAGAGTTGTCTGTATTTGAAATCCTACTGAGTGACGTGCTTAGAAAAGATGGGAAACCTGAGCTCTGCCTCTTCTCTGAGGAATCTGTCATTCCTGATGATGACAGAGAGACATTGCCATCCAATGCTTGCAGCTCATGAATATTTCTTGATTTCTGGGAATGGATTGTGGCTGAATAGAAATGGAGCCTTAATTCCCCCTTTTGGGTAAGCAGAAGCTCCTCCCCGCTTGCTACCTAGGACAGTTCCTCTCCTAAGGCATTTTTTATGTTACCACTCCACATTCGTTGACCCTGGGCTCTGAGGGCACAGAGCCCTCCCCTCCTGGCTAGGACAGAAAAGGGGGCTGGAGGAAGGAGCAGTTTGCTCTTCTCATCTTGCCCTCATGACCTATCTACCTGTCCCACCTACCTACCTAGGCACCTACCTGTCCCACACCGTATCTAAAAAATCAGCAGAGCTGCTGATCCTGACAGGGCTGAGCTTCTTACACAGTTGTACCTCCCTTGAGTTTTCAGAAAGGGAAGCTCCATCTTAGAGAGGTTTAATAACTTCCTCAAGGTCAAAGAGCAAAGAGGAAACGAACACATCTCTTTTCTTTAGGTCCCAGGGCTCTGAGCACTGTGGTGGAGAGGGGAGGAAAGGGAAGGAATACTTTGGTCAGCTTTAAATCAACCTCAAATACATGATTAATAAAGACACTGACATTTATGAAGCACCTTATTCTTTACAAAGTAATATTGCAAGAGCTATCACATTTACTTTTCACAGTGACTCTGTGAAGTATTTGTGATGGTCCCATTTCACCCAGGAAGAGGTTAAAAAAACATCCCCAAGTCCCAAACTCATTAAGAGCAGAGCTGGAATCACAATGCTGGGTTGGACAGCAAGCCCCAGGTGCCTAATGCATCGTCAGTGCTCTATGGTAGCTGCTATTATCACTAGCTGAGGTTGCAAAGGGGCTCATCACTACCCTCCTGAACACCTCTCAAGTCCCACTGATGGTGGGAGTGAGGCTAAATGTTCTACAGTCCAAAACAAGCTCTATCTCTTTCTCAGTCTTCATCCTGGCCCCTAAATAAGCAAAATCACCAATTCCCAAAAGATCTTTCAGGGTTTTGTGCAGTAGTCTGACATAATGAGAATCCATTCGACCTAGAGGACAAACGTTGTTGAATCTCATTTCTCAAGGTCAACAATGCCCAACTGATTCTGCTTTAAGATGTTCATACCCTTTCACCCAAATCTTCCACTTCTAGGAATTACTCTCCAGAAATGCTCCTGCAAATGTACAAAGACCCAGGCACAGGGATGGAAACAACCCATATGTCCACCTAAAGGGGAAAGGTTAGTTCAATGATAGTACATTAGAGGACAAGCACACAGCTTTTAAAAAGAAGTAGATGGATGCATATGAACTGATATGGAAAGCTGTTCACGATACAGTGTAATGGGCTCATTGTCATGCAGTACGTATGGAATGTTCCCCATTCTTTGGAGAGAAAAAAAAATTTATAGATTTAGTATAAATAGAAAAAAGCCAGAGGAATGTTCACCCATGCTGGTTAACTTGGCAGGCGAGAGAGAGGCAGAATCACAGGATCCAGGAGTAAGTGTTCTAGAAGATGTCCAGTGGACTCTGGCCGGAGTCACCTCCTCTGTCTCCACTGTTTTCCCTCCAACTGTGACCAGGATGAAAACTGGAGGCCTCTCCCCAGCTGTCATGTTTGGACATCAGCAAGGATGAGGTGGGACGGTCATTCCCATTTACATCCCTACTCAATTCCCCTCGGTCATCAAGTCCCATCAGGTTCAGAACAAAATCAAATCATAAAAAAGAAACACAAATTTAATTACCACCGTGGTAGAATTGGGCCATTTTTTTCTATCAATTTCCAAGCCCAGAAATTGCCTTTTAAATGGATAATGATGATTCTGATGGTCCAGTTATTACCTTGAAACCTCACATTTTGATATATTCATTGCTGTTCTCTTATATAAATAACAGTTATTACTGCAAAGCGATTTTTTCCCCTTGCACTTCCAAAGTGTTCCTGCAGGAGATGGCAAGAAAATGGATTCCATTAATATTCTACATAGAACTGTTGCTTTTTCCAGCACTAACTTCCACATAAATCTCCTCGTGAGTCTTTTTATACAAATGCCACCTCTTCTTCCCTGCACTGCCCCACACTTTCTACCCTACCCGTGTCTCCTCCTGCTTCCTCTTTACTCCTCTTCCAAGAAAGGGAACACTCCATTCTCTGACTGCCCAGTCAGTTGCTGGGACACCACGACTGCCCCCTTTGCCCAGGGCCTGGCATAGGGTGAATGGCAGTCAACATTACTCCTGTTGTCCTTCTTGTACGCAGCCAGAGAACAAGCTTTTCAGTTCTATCTTCCTGCCTATTTAGTACGAATTAAAACCCCAAAGTATAACATATGAACAGCAAAAAGGCTAACATGATTGACAAGGGCCAGGGACAGTGGGGTTGTGGGTCTTGCTGTGCCCAGCGTCCAGGCCCGGGGGGAAAAAAGAAGCCTGAGCCCCACACTGTTTCCAGATATTCCCAAGTCCCAGCAGCTGTTTGCGGCAGAGTCTGATGGAGCCGAGCTTTAACAGACACCCAACAGCCTCATTAATGTTCCTGCCAGCCCCATTCCCCCTGGGCAGCTTGTAGGTTGTTATTAGGAAGCATCTCTAAAAGACTCTATCACTGCAAAGCGCTTTGCACTCACTTCATGAGAGAGACCGGGGTGCCGGGAGAATTATACAGGACTTAGCTCCATCTCCATCTCTAGGATCTTTCAGCTGCACACCTTAGAGGACTGATTCTGTCACGGCCCTCTGGCTTCCCTCTGCATGACTCCCACACCAGCCTCGCTGTGCTACTCGTTACAATGAAGATTGAAGTTCACATATTAAAGCCCTTCCACCGACAGTAAATAGTTTTCTCTTTACCAGCAGCTTTAAAGATACTCAAGGCAGATACTATTGCTCCCATTTTATAAATAAGACAATTGAGGCCCAACAGCGTTAGCTGACTTGTTTAAGGTAACAAAGCAAGTTAGTGAAAAAAATTTTCAAAAAGCATCTATGAGACTTTGTATGTGCTGAACTTTGTGCCAAATCCTTCAACACACCATCTTTGCAACAATACCCCAGGCAGTAATGGGCAGAGCTGGGATTTGAACCCAGGTCTTCTTTATGGCTAATTCCAAGATTCTATTATACAAAAACTTTTCTTTTTTAAAAAAAACTTTTATTCTAGGTTTGGAGGTACACATGAAGGCTCGTTACATAAGTAAACTCACATAACAGGGATTTGTTGTGCAGATTACTTCATCACCCAGGTATTAAGCCCAGTACCCAAGAGTTATCTTTTCCACTCCTCTCCCTTCTCCTACCTTCCACCCTCAAGTAGACCCCTGTGTCTGATATTTCCTTCTTTGTGTTCATAACTTCTCATCATTTAGCTCCCACTTAAAAATAAGAACATATAGTATTTGATTTTCTGTTCCTGCATTTGTTTGCTGAGCATAATGGCCTCCAGTTCCATCCATGTTCCTGCAAAAGACATAATCTCATTCTTTTTTTTTTTTTTTTCTCTGAGACAGAGTCTTGCTCTGTCACCCAGGCTGGAGTGCAGTGGCGTCATCTCTGCTCACTGCAGCCTCCGCCTCCTGGGTTCAAGCAATTCTCCTACCTCAGCCTCCCGAGTAGCTGGGATTACAGGCACCCGCCACCACACCTGACAATTTTTGTATTTTCAGTACAGACGGGGTTTCACCATGTTGGCCAGGCTGGTCTCGAACTCCTGACCTCATGATCCACCTGCCTTGGCCTCCCAAAGTGCTGGGATTATAGGTGTGAGCCACCATGCCCAGCCAATCTCATTCTTTTTATGGCTGCACAGTATTCCATGGTGTATATGTACCACATTTTCTTCATCTAATCTGTCATTGATGGGCATTTAGGTTGATCCCATGTCTTTGCTGTAGTGAATAGTGCTGCAATGAACATTCACATGCATGTGTCTTTATGGTAGAATGATTTCTATTTCTCTGGGTATATACCCAGTAATGGGATTGTTGAGTAAAATGGTAATTCTGCTTTTAGCTCTTTGTGGAAATGCCATACTGCTTTCCACAATGGTTGAACTAATTTACACTCCCACTAACGGTATATAAGTGTTCCCTTTTCTCTGCAACCTCGACAGCATCTGCTATTTTTTGACTTTTTAATAATAGCCATTCTTAGCACCACTGCAGTCCGGCCTGGGCGAAAGAGCAAGACTCCATCTCAAAAAAAAATAATAATAATAATAATAATAATAGCCATTCTGAAACGTGTGAGATGGTATCTCGTGGTTTTGATTTACATTTCTCTAAAGATCACTGATATTGAGCTTTTTTTTTCATATGCTTGTTGGCTGCATGTATATCTTCTTTTGAAGTGTCCATGTCCTTTGCCCACTTTTTTTTTTTTTTTTTTGAAACGGAGTCTTGCTCTGTGGCCCAGACTGGAGTACACTGGCGCAAACTCGGCTCACTGCAACCTCCACCTCCCAGGTTCAAGCGATTCTCATGCCTCAGCCTCCCAAGTGACTGGGACTAAAGGCACACACCAACATGCCCGGCTAACTTTTGTATTTTTAGTAGAGACGGGGTTTCCCCATGTTGGCCAGGCTGGTCTTGAACTCCTGGCCTCAGGTGATCCACCAACCTCAGCCTCTCAAAATGCTGGGATTACAGGCATGAGCCACCATGCCCGGACTATGGGGTTGTTTTTCTTTTGTAAATTTGACCAAACCTTTCCTTAATTCCTGAGATGTGAGCCCAGTCTCCAAATTCCCAGATCATATTTGTTCCTCTGTGTCCCCATATTGCTGCAGCTACCCTAGAGCCATTGCATATTCACAGATCTATGTCTCCTCTTAGCCAGAGAATTCCCCCAGGGCAGAGACTGCATCTTACCCCACAGGGGCCCACTGGGCTTTGCTGGTCGGAATGAATGAATGAAGAGCAGGGTAATGACAATTGGTTGATGTGAGTGTGTCTGTGCTTGCCTGTGCATGTATGCGTGCATGTATACTGATATCCATGAATGAAAACAGAAGGCATTTTATATTTAACCTGAAAAGTTAAGATACCCTGTGGGGCACTCACATGAATAGAAGGCCGCCTGAGGAAGGAAATCTACACATTTGCTATTTTTGCAGAAAGGCAGCATTGCACAGTGTGGTTAAGAGCACATTGCCAGGGCCAGGCATGGTGGCTCATGCCTGTAATCCCAGCACTTTGGGAGGCTGAGGCGGGCGGATCACGAGGTCAAGAGATCTAGACCATCCTGGCTAAAATGTTGAAACCCCATCTCTACTAAAAAATACAAAAATTAGCTGGGCGTGGTGGTGCGTGCCTGTAGTCCCAGCTACTTGGGAGGCTGAGGCAGGAGAATCGCTTGAACCTGGGAGGTGGAGGTTGCAGTAAGTCAAGGTCGCACCGCTGCACTCCAGCCTGGGTGACAGTGAGACTCCGTCTCAAAAAAAAAAAAAAAAAAAAAAAGAAAGCACACGGCCTGTTCTGCCACTTCTCAGCTGTGTAAACTGAGGCCAGTTTCTTAACTTCTTTCTCTGTGTCTCTAATTCCTCAATTGTAAAGTGGAGGATATTGTGAGTGGTAAATGAGTTAATGCATGCAGGGGCTCAGAAAGACCCCTGACACCTGGTAAATTCTCAGTGCTAGCAATTACACGAACGAGAGAGACAGCACAGCAGTGGGGTTCTGGAGCAGGTGCCAGAAACTTGCCCCTCACACACACTATCCACAGCTTTACTGAGGCCCCTCCTCCCTTAGGTCCCTGGTCCAGCCGGAAGACCCCAGAAATGTGAGGTAGGGTTGGACACTCAGTGCAGTCTCAGATCTTGCGTCAAATAAAACCAAATAAACATGCCTCGTCTCTATGGTAAGGTGAGAATGACCCAGGAGAGGGCCCATAATAAAGCATTATGCAGATACATGGCCAGGAGAAGGGTGGGAGAGGCCATTGTACTTTACAGGTACACTAACTGAGGCACTCACGGGAGGTGGATTGACTGATGGGCAAGAGAAGCAAAGGGACAATGCTCCCATTCCTCACTAGTCACTCAGCTCCATGGGAGCACAGAGACTGGGGTAAACTCCTCTGGACCAAACCAGGGAGACCAGGATCCCAGGCAGATGCCAGAGATAGTTCCTCCCAAGTTACCAGGCAATGCTGGATCACTTCCTGGCAGTTCACCTCCCCTCTGCCAGCTGGGGCCCTATATGGGTGGAGTGCATGATGAGGCATGATGCTCAGAGTCCCAGCTGGGACAGGGCCACGGGACAGCTCTGGGTAATGTGGGGTCAGCAGGTTCCTGTGGGGATGCTTCAGTCCCTATCCTTTCTCTAGCTGAAGGCTCTGCCACTCATGCGGGGGTGAGGGAAGGAGGGGCTGGGAGCTACTGCCACCGCAAAAGGCTGGCTGTGATTGTCTAGCTTCTGCTGGTTTTCACATCAACAGCAGGTGCATGGCCGGCATATGACTTTCCCAGCAGCCTAACTACAACCCCATGCTATGCTCAGGTATAACAGTTGTCGATTGTAGAGTACAGCCAGGCTCAGGCATTTTATTAAAATTCTTGAAGTGGAGAGTAGGCTCAGAAGGGAAGGAGAGTCAATCTACACCTATGTGATGCCAAACATCTGATTAAATCTGCAAAAGTTCAGCCAATTGTCCATGTAGTCCACATCCCAAGCTGTTCCGTGTAATGCAAACCAGCCATCTGTGTTTCCCAAACACAGCCTTTGGCCACCAGATGGGCTGCCCTGGTGGATGAGGTTGGGGCATGTGAGGTCAGCTGGCTGGAGTGCAGTCCTAGGGCAAGGGTAATGGGTTTGGTCTGTGTGTGATCTTGTTAGTGGACTCTGTTTGGAGCCACAAAAGTCACCTCTGGTTTAGGCCCGCCCTCTGGATATTAGACAGATGTGTGATTGTACCAGATCAGCGTAAATTATCACAAATGCTAGAAACTGCATATGCATACTGACACTGAGCATCGTCACCTGAGGACAGAAAGTCCGAGACACACACTCACCCCTAGATCTTGGGACTCCAAAGTGCCCCGTATTGCAATGCAGAATTTTGCTCTGATAGGTATATGTTGAAATAAGAGATGTCTAAACATGTTGTCTCAGAGAAACACAGAATGACAGAGAAAGTTCTAGAAGCAGTAGAAAAGGATTCCTTCCCTGTGGGCCCCAGTTTTCTCACCTAGAAAATCATCTCCATGGTCCCTGCAACTCTAACCTCATTGGGCAGTGAGCAGTCCTAATGTACAGACTCTCACCTCCAAGGGAGCTCTGGTCCATGAAGCAAGGCCTGGAAGAGGCCCAGGCTCAGACCTGTGGGAATGTCTCTTGAGTTTCTGACACAGAGGGCAGCAAAGCAGGCAGAGCCCATGGGAAACTCAAGGGGGCCAGATCAGCTAAGATTGGCCCCATTTGTGTGGTAAGCACTGCTCTAAGCATTTTAAGCATAGGAACCCATTTCTGATAGTAATTCTACAAGCAGGCACTACTATTATTTCCATATAGATAAGGAAAATCAAGCCTGGCTGGTTAACACCATGCCAACCTACTAGAATGCCTCTGCCCATGGGCAGGGCAGGTGGCTACAGGAGGGGGGATTGAGCCTTGGAAACTCAACTAAGAAGGGAGGACACCAGGCTGGTGTGGACCAAGGGCTACAAATGCTCTTTTTATATTGCCAGGCTGCTCTGAAGAGAGTATCCAGCCCTGCTGTGAAACTTCTCTGCTTCAACTTTTTGGCTCTGATCTTGGAATGAACAAAAGGCTACTCTGCTCCTCTCTGCCGACAAGCCAGAGTCCGCTCCCTACCGGCTGCGTCTCCAAAAGCTCTGGCCTGCGTCATCTTCAGGTGCCAGCCCCTCCTCCCCCATCTCACCAGGATGAGAAATGGCTGTGACTGAGCTTCAGAGGGAAGGCACGAACAAGACACAGGGAGAATACATCCTCTCAACTTTGCCAAGGCAGGTGGTGATGGGGATCAGAAATCCCAGCTGACGGCTTTGATCTGCTTGGCATCCTGTCTCAGCAGTTGGCTGCTGTTGCCCGCAAGCATGGTGCCTCCTGCCCTTCAGGCCCTGCTTGCCCTGCATGTAGAACAGCAGCTGGCTGCTGCCTGCCCTGCTGCAGGTCTATCTTCAGCATCATGCACTGGGCAGAGCAGCGCATGAGACAGGGTGGGTAGGGGGTGGGGGATGAACGGTGATGGACTTCAGCAGAACACACCATGTAGCTCATCTTCCAAGCAGAGTGCCCTGCCATTGGGGCTGAGTCTGACTTGTATTGTGCCTGGCACTAAGACAGTCAAGGGCTTTCCTGACCTATCGCTTGCCCTCTCCTTTGCATCACTCAAGGTTCCCTTGAAACTATTGCCTCCATCTCACTCCCATTCTCACCTGAACCCACTCTGCTAGGCTATTGCCACCACTCTGAGACGGTGCTTACTGAAGTTACCAATCACTTCCCTTGCACCAAAGTCCATGGGTAATCTATGCTCACTCTAGTCTGCAAGCAGCATTGAGCAGTTAAGGCATTTACTCCATCTTGAAATACTTTCTTCTCTAAGCTTCCCTGATATCTCATTCATCTGTTCCTTTATAGCTACCACTTTGTTTTCTTGCCTCCGTGGCGGCTCCCTCTCAATCTCCTCTTACCAGACGTTCAAACATTGGAGTGCCCCCAAGGCTCAGTCCTGGGCTGTCTGCCCTATCTATCCTCTCTCCCAAATGAAATTATCCATTCCCAAGGCTTTAAATTCCGCTTATGTTTTCATCACTTTTTCTGGTTTTGATTTTTTTACCTGTTTATTGTAAAATAAAACATAGATACAGAAAACCACACACACAATATAAATGGTTTACTGAATCATTATAAGGTGAACACCTCATAATAACTATGCAGGTTAAGATATAGAAATTTGCCAACCACCCAGAAAGCCCCCCATGTCCTCATCCCAACCGTAGCCTCTACCTCCTCTCCAAAAGTAACAACTTCCCTGACTTTTAGAGTAATCACTTCCTTGTGGTTTTTTTTCTTTTATGATTTATCACCCAAGTGCATTCCTAGACACTAGTCTTGCCTAGTTTTTGAAACTTTATGTCTTCTAACTCTCTTTTAATTTACGGATTCCTCCTTCATCTCTTTCCTTTCCTTACAATTTATTTGTTCGTTTGCCCAATGGAATTTCTCCCAGTCTGGATTCTGTGGCCTGCATACTTCCGTGCAGTTCAACACGTTGAACTGTCTCTGTATTCTTGAAATTGACAGCTGGATTCTGAGGCTTGATCAGGCTCAAGTTCTATTCTTTTAGCCAAAGCTATGCACTTCATTAGGAACACACAATGCCTGCTTTTTGCTCTGTTTTTAGTATTAGCAGCTATTGGTGCTCAATGTCTAATGTCTAGACTTTGGATCCATAAATCATTTAGATTTCATTTATCAGCTAGAATAATTTTATGCAGAGATGCTGCCCCTCATTTATTATTTGGTTATTCAAATAATACATTCAAATAGTAGTGACAAGAAAAGTGCTCATTTCCTGTATTTACTCAGTTTTCAAGATAAAGTGGTTCCCGGCCATCCTCAGGAGATAACCAATTAGATAATTTTTAAAATGGCATTATGAACTCATGAGTATAAATATACTAGACCATGTCTAAACATCGGTTCCAATCCATTGCAACGACTATCCTTATTAAAGCTCAAGTTGTCATCTTCGGCTAGTGGGAATCCTCTTACGTTGGCTTCTAAGTCCTTTTACATGACCTATTCCAGGCTTATATTGTACATCTTCTGCCCAGACCTGGGATCAGCCATTTCTCCAAGATGCCCTGCCTTCTTTCAATGGGAAATGGTATATCACAACCACATCTGGGGATAAGAGGCTCATTGTATTTCTTGGTCATACTTTCTAGGCCTTTTTCAGTGAACAGAGGTGGGCAGGGTGAGGGGAGAGAGAGAGAGAGAGAGAGAATATATGTAATTAAAAATTCAAATTCAAGTCCAGATCTACAACCTTACCTCTTCTATACAACTATGTATTTCCATTCTTTTGAACTGAGAACTCTGGTCCTCAAGAACACAGAAATAATAGAATTAGAATTAGAATGAACCATAATTATTCTAATTATTCATTTGCTTTATCCTACATTATACATCCAACAGCCTCAGAATAACAATAACAATACTAATACCACTACCAGTAAATTATGATTACCAAAACAGTGTAAAATGTCTTAGGCTAGTTCTGATGCTGTGCTGGGCTTAGAGCCAGTGGACTGGAGTGACCTAGGTAGACACCAGTCGAAGTGACCAAGGGAGTGCTTGGTCCCCCAACCCCACTCAGCACAGCTGGCAGCAACAAAAGTGACTCCTTCCTTCTGCTTGAGGACAGAAGAGAGAAGAGTAAAGACAACTTTGTCTTGCATCTTAGTTACCAGCTCAGCCACAGTAGGATAGGACTCTGGGCAGAGTCATGAGGTCCCCATTCCCGGCCCTGGCTCCCAGATATTTCTAGACACACCGTGGCCCAGAAGGGAACCTGCTACCTTGAAGGGAAGGACCCAGTCCTGGCAGGACTCATCACCTGCTGACTAAAGAGCCCTTGGGCCCTGAATAACCAACAGTGATACCCAGGGAATACAGACCATGGGCCTTGGGTGAGACTCTAAGATGTACTGGCTTCAGTTACTAGCTCGGCCACAGGAGGATAGAGCACCAAACAGGCTCTTGGGATCCCTGAGTCCAGGCCTAGGCTCTTGGACAGAATTTCTGGACCTGCCCTGGGACAGAAGGGAGCTAACTGGCCCTAGGATTGTGTCCCAGACCTGGCAGTATTCACCACAAGCTGACTGAGATGTCCTTGCGCCTTAAGGGAACATTAGCAGTGGTCTGGCAGAACTCCCCATGGGCCAGTGGTGGTGGAGGCCATGAGGAAAGGCTCCTCTGCCTGTGGAAAGGAGAGGGAAGAGTGGGAAGGACTTTGTGCCAGCTTAGCCACAGAAGAATAGAACACCAGGTAGATTTCTAAGGCTTTTTTTTTCACTCCAATCCCTGGCTCCCAGACAGTATCTATAGACCCACTTTGGGCCTGGGGGAACTTGTCGCCTTGAAAGAAAGGATGCAAACCTGGCTGGCTTTGCTACCTGCTGATTGTAGAGCCCTAGGGCCTTGATCAAACATAGGTGGTAACCAGGTACTGGTTACAGTGGGCCTTGGGTGAGACCCAGTGCTGTGTTGGCTTCAGGCATGACCCAGGGCAATTTGAGTGGTGGTGGCCATAGGGGTGCTTCCATCACCCCACCCCCAGCTCCAGGTGGCTAAGCACAGAGAGAGAAATATGCCATTTGTTTGAGAGAAACTAAGGGAAGAGAACAAGAGTCTCTGCCTAGTAATCCAGATAATTCCTCTGGATCTTACCCAAGACCACTAAGGTGGTAACTCTGTGAGTCTGCAAGAGCCACAGCATTACTAGGCTTGGGGCCCAAGTCCCTTTGAATACCCGGAAAGTCTTCCCAAGAAGAATAACACAGATTGCGAAGTCCAAATTGTGAAGACTACGATAAACACCTAACTGCTCAATGCCCAACATTGACAAACATCTACAAGCATCAAGACCAGCCAGGAAAACATGACCTCAGCAAAGGAACTAAATAAGGCACGAGGGACCAATCCTGGAGAAACAGATATGTGACCTTTCAAAACGAGAATTCAAAATAGCTGTGTTGAGGAAACTCAAAGAAATTCAAGATAATAGAGAAAAGGATTTCAGAATTCTATCAGATAAATTTAACAAAGGGATTGAAATAATTAAAAAGAATCAAGCAGGAATTATATACTTCTTGGGGTCCCTGAGTCCAGGCCTAGGTTCTTTTTGCATTTGAAAAATGCAATTGATATACTGAGGAATGCATCAGAGTCTCTTAACAGCAGAATTGATCAACCAGAAGGAGGAATTAGTGAGCCTGAAGACAGGCTATTTGAAAATACACAGACAGAGGAGAAAAAAGAATGAAACATGCCTACAAGATCTAGAAAGTAGCTTCAAAAGGGCAAACCTGAGTTATTGGCCTTAAAGATGAGGTAGAGAAATAGACAGGGGTAGAAAGTTTATTCAAAGGGATAATATCAGAGAACTTCCCAAACCTAGAGAAAGATATCAATATCCAAGTACAAGAAGGTTATAGAACACAAAGCAAATTTAACCTGAACCAGACTACCTCAAGACATTTAGTAATCAAACTCCCAAAAGTCAGAAATAAAGAAAGGATCCTAAAAGCAGCAAGAGAACAGAAACAAATAATATACAACTGAGCTCCAATATGTCTGGCAGCAGACTTTTCAGTGGAAACCTTACAGGTTAGGGGAGAATGGCATGACATATTTAAAGTACTGAAGGAAAAAAACTTTTACCCTAGAATAATATATTCAGTGAAAATATCCTTCAAGCATAAAGGAGAAATAAAAACTTTCCCAGACAAACAAAAGCTGAGAGATTTCATCAATCATCAGACCTCTCCTACAAAAAAATGCTAAAGGTAGTTCTTCATTCTGAAAGAAAAGAACGTTAATGAGCAATAAGAAATCATCTGAAGGTGCAAAACTGACTGGCAATAGTAAGCACACAGAAAAACACAGAATATTATAATCCTGGAATTGTGGGATGTAAACTACTCTTAAGTAGAAAGACTAAACAATGGGCCAGGCGCAGTGGCTCACGCCTGTAATCCCAGCACTTTGGGAAGCTGAGGCAGGTGGATCATGAGGTTAGGAGTTCAAGACCAGTCTGGCCAACATGATGAAACCCCGTCTCTACTAAAAATAGAAAAATTAGCCAGGTGCGGTGGCGGGTGCCTGTAATCCCAGCTACTCAGGAGGCTGAGGCAGGAGAATCATTTGAACCCGGGAGGTGGAGGTTGCAGTGAGCCAAGATCGTGCCACCATACTCTAGCCTGGGTGACAGAGCAAGACTCCATCTCAAAAAAAAAAAAAAAAAAAGGGAGAAAGACTAAACAATGAACCAATAAAAATTAATAACTACAACAACTTTTAAGGCATAGTACAATATGACATAAAGAGAAACAAAAAATTAAAAAGCAGGGGGTCAAAGTTAACATGTAGAGTTTTTGTTAGTTTTCTTCTTGCTTGTTAGTTTGTGCATTCAGTGTTGTCATCAATTTAAAATAATGAGTTATAAAATAGTATTTGCAAACCTTATGGTAAGCTCCCCCCCCAAAAAAATACAACAGATACACAAAAAATAAAAAGCAAGAAATTAAATCACACCACCAGAGAAAAGCACCTTCACTAAAAGGAAGACAGGAAGGAAGGCAAGAAGGACAAGAAGATCACAAAAAAAAACAGAAAAAAAATAACAAAATGGCAGGAGTAATTCCTTACTTATCAATAATAACATTGAATATAAATGGACTAAATTCTCCAATAAAAAGACACACAGTGCTTGAATGCACAAAATAACAAGACCACATAATCTGTTGCCTACAAGAAACACACTTCACCTATAAAGATACACATAGACTGATATTTCATGCCAATGGAAACCAAAAAAGAGCAGAAGTAGCTATACATATATTAGACAAAATAAATTTCAAGACAAAATCTGTAAGAAGAAACATAGAATGTCATTATATAATGATAAAGAGGTCAATTCAACAAAAGGATATAACAATTGTAAATACATATGCACCCAACACTTGAGCACCCAGCTATATAAAGCAAATATTATTAGAGCTAAAGAGAGAGATAGACCCCAATATAATAATAGCTGGAGATTTCAACACCCCACTTTCAGCATCGGACAGATCTTCCAAAAAGAAAATCAACAAAGAAACACTGGACTTAATATGCACTGTAGAATAAATAGACCTAATAGATATTTACAGAACATTTCATCCAGTGGCTGCAGAATACACATTCTTCTTCTCAGCACGTGGATCATTCTCAAGGACAGACCATATGCTACGTCACAAAACAAGCCTTAAAACATTCAATGAAATTGAAATAATATGAAACATATTCTCTGACCACAATGGAATAAAACTACAAATCAATAACAAGAGGAATTTGGGGAACTACATAAACACACAGAAAATAAACAATATGCTCCCGAATGATGAAAAAATTTATTTAAACAAACGATAATGGAAACACAACATACTAAAAGCTATCAATACAGTGAAAACAGTACTAAGAGGGAAGCTTATACCTGTAGGTGCCTCATTAAAAAATAAAAACAATTTCAAATAAATAACCTAATGATGCATCCTAAAGAACTAGAAAAGTTGGCTGGGCATGGTGGCTCACACCTGTAATCCCAGCTTTGGGAGGCCAAGGCGGGCAGATCACAAGGTCAGGAGTTAAAGACCAGGCTAGCCAATATGGTGAAACCCCGTCTCTACTAAAAAATATACAAAAATTAGCCGGGTGTTGTGGTGCACACCTGTAGTCCCAGCTACTTGGGAGGCTGAGGCAGGAGAATCGCTTGAACCCAGGAGGCACAGGTTGCAGTGAACCAAGAATGCACCACTGCACTGCAGTTTGGGCAACAGAGTGAGACTCTGTCAGAAAAAAAACAAAAAACAAAACAAAACAAAACAAAAACAAGAACTAGAAAACCAAGAGCAAACTGAACCCAAAATTAATAGAAATAAAGATCAGAGCACATATAAATGGAACTGAAACAAAGAATACAAAAAAATCAATGAAACAGAGAGTTGGTTTTTTGAAAACATTTTTAAAAATGACAAACCTTTAGCCGGACTAGGAAAAAAAGAAAGAAGATCCAAACAAACAAATCAGAGGTGAAAAAGGAGACATTACAACTGACACTGCAGAAATTCAAAGGATCATTAGTGGCTACTATAAGCAACTATATACCAATAAATTGGAAAATCTAGAAGAAATAGACAAATTCCTAGATACGGCCTCCAAGATTGAACCAGGAGGAAATCCAAAACCTGAATAGACCAATAACAAGTAATGAGATCGAAACCATAATCAAGTCTCCCAGTAAAGAAAATCCTGGGACCTGATAGCTTTACTGCTGAATTCTACCAAACATTTAAAGAACTAATACTAATTCTACTCAAACTATTCCAAAAAACAGGAAAAGGGAATACTTCCAAACTCATTCTATTTGGCCAGTATTACCCTGAGAACAAAACCAGACAAAGACATATCAAAAATAGAAAACTACAGGCCAGTATCACTAATAACTACTGATGCAAAAAATCCTCAACAAAACTAGCAAACCAAATTTAACAATATATTAAAAAGATCATTCATCATGATCAAGTAGGATTTATCCCAGGGATGCAAGGGAGTTCAACATATGACAATCAAGCAACGTGACATTATATCAAAAGAATGACAGACAAAAACCATATGATCATTTCAATTGTTGCTGAAAAGCATTTGATAAAATTCAACATCCTTTCATGATTAAAAAAAAAAAACTAAAAAAAAACAGGTATAGAAGAGACATACCTCAACACAGTAAAAGCCATACATGACAGACCCACAGCTAGTATCATGCTGAAGGGAGAAAAACTGAAAGCCTTTCCTTTAAGATCCAGAACACAACAAGGATGCCCACCATCCCCACTTTTATTCAACATAGTACTGGAAGTCCTAGCTAGAGCAATCAGACAAGAGAAAGAAAGAAACAGCATCAAAACTGAAAAAGAAAGGAATCAAATTATCCTTGTTTGCAGATGATATGATCTTGCATTTGGAAAAACCTGAAGACTCCACCAAAAAACTATTAGAACTGATAAACAAGTTCAGAAAAGTTGCAGGATACAAAATCCACATATAAAATCAGTAGTATTTCTATATGCCAGCACTGAACAACCTGAAAAAGAAATCAAAAAGTAATTTCATTCAAAATAGCCACAAATAAAGTTAAATACCTATGAATTAATTTAACTAAAGAGGTGAAAGACCTCTACAATGAAAACTAAAAAACACTGATGAAAGAAATTAAAGAGGACACCAAAAAAGGGAATGATGTTTCATGTTCATTGATTGGAAGAATCAATCATTTTAAAATGTCCATACTACCCACAGCATCTACAGATGCAGTGCAATCTCTATGAAAATATCAATTACATTCTTCACGGAAATAGAAAAAAAAACTAAAATGTATATGGAACCACAAAAGACCCAGAATAGCCAAAGTTATCCTGAGCAAAAACAACAAAACTGGAGGGATCATATTACTGGACTTCAAAGAGCTACAGTACCAAAAAGTCATTGTATTGGCATAAAAACAGATACATAGATCAATGAAACAGAATTGACAACCCAGACAAAAATCCATACATCTACAGTGAACTCTTTTTTCCTTTCTTTCTTTGAGACAGGGTCTCACTTTGTCACCCAGGCTGGAGTGCAGTGGCGCAATTGCACCTCACTGTAACCTCTGCCTCCTGGGCTAAAGTGATCCTCCCATCTCAGCCTCCCGAGTAGCTGTGACTACAGGTAGACACCACCACACCTGGCTAATTTTTGTATAATATTTCATAGAGACAGGGTTTTGCCGTATTGCCCAGACCGGTCCTGAACTCCTGAGCTCAAGTGGTACACCCACCTCAGCCTCCAGAAGTGCTAGGATTACAGGCATGAGACACCGTGCCCCACCTAGTGAACTCATTTTCAACAAAGGTGCCAAGAATGTACACTGGGGAAAAGACAGTCTCTTCAATAAATGTTGCTGGGAAAGCTAGATATCCATATGCAAAAGAATGAAAGTAGACCCATATCTCTTACCATATATAAAAATAAAATCAAAATGGATTAAAGACTCATAGCTAAGACTTCAATCTATGAAACTACTACAAGAAAACACTGGAGAAACTCTCCAGGACACTGGTCTGGGCAAAGATTTCTTGAGTAATACCCTACAAGCACAGGCAAACACAGAAAAAAATTGACAAATAAGGATCACATCAAATTAAAAAACTTCTGCACAGCAAAGGAAACAGTCAGCAAACTGAAGAGATAACCCACAGAATAGAAGAAAATATCTGCAAACTACTCATCTGACAAGAGATTAATTACCAGAATATATAAGGAGCTCAAACAACTCTATAGGAAAAAGTCCAATGATCCAATTAAGAAATGGGCAAAAGATCTGAATACACATTTCTCAAAAGAAGACGTACAAATGGCAAACAGGCACATGAAAAGGTGCTCAACATCACTGATGATCAGAGAAATGCAAATTAGAACTACAGCAAGATATCATCTCACCCCAGTTGAAACGACTTTTATCCAAAAGTCAGGCAATAACAAACGCTGGCAAGCATGTGGAGAAAAGGGAACCCTCACACACTGCTGGTGGGAATGTAGATTAGTATAACCACTAAGGAGAACAGTATGGAAATTCCTCAAAAACTAAAAATAGAGTTACCATACAATCCAGGAATCCACTGCTAGGTATGTACCCAAAAGAAAGGAAATCAGTGTATCAAAGAGATATCTGCACTCCCATGTTTATTGCAACTCTATTCACAATAGCCAAGATTTGGAAGCAACTTAAGTGTCCGTCAACAGATGAATGGATAAAGAAAATGTGGTACATATACACAATGGAGTACTATTCAGCCATAAAAAATGAGATAATATTATTTGCAACAAAATACATGGAACTGGAGACCATTATATTAAGTGTAATAAACCAGGCACAGAAAGACAAACTTCGCATGTTCTCACTTGTTTGTGGGATCTAAAAATCAAAACAATTGAACTCATGGAGAAAGAGAGTAGAAGGATGGTTACCAGAGGCTAGGAAGGGTAGTGGGGAAGTGGGGAGAAAGTGGGGATAGTTAATTGGTGCAATAGAATAGTTTAAAAGAATGAATAAGACCTAGTATTTGCTAGCACAACAGGGTGACTATAGTCAATAATAATTTAATTGTACATTTAAAAATAACTAAAAGAGTTTAATTGGATTGCTTGTAGCACAAAGGATAAATGCTTGAGGGGATGAATACCCCATTTACCATGATGTAATTATTATACATTGTATGCCTGTATCAAAGTATCTCATGTACCTCATAAATATATACACCTACTATGTACCCACAAAAATTAAAAATAAAATTGTGAAAAGATATTTTTAAAAGCTTAAAATGTTTTGCATATACCATCTCTATTCTCCCCATTTTTAATATTATATCTATATTGTCAGATCATAATATATCCCTATTAACTCTCAATCTTGTTTAATGCTCATCATTGGTTTTATGTCAATCTCTCTCTAGTTATTTTGTTGTCTGAAATTCATTCGTTAGCAGATTCCCGAAGGAGGGCTCTTGGGAACAATATTCTCTCAGTTCTTACATGTTACGTTAATATAAGTGTGTGTTCTTCACACTTGAAGGTCGATTTTACTGAATATAAAATCCTTGGCTCATGTTCACATTTTCTTTTTTGAATACCTTTAATATGTTATTCCATTTTCTTCTCTCATAACATATGACTGTAGAAAAGTCAGAATGACAATGTCATTTTCTTTCTCCTATATGTCACTTTTAGCTTAGATGTCCAAAGTATTTTTTTTCTTTTTCTTTAAAACCCAGTTATATTACTAAAATATGTCTTGGTTCTTCTGAGTTAATATTCTGAGGTGCACAGTGTGCTCTTTCAATATACAAGTTTAAATTTATATATGTTTAATTTCATGAGGCTTTTTGAATTATAATTTTTAGGATGTTACTTTGGTTTTTGCTTCACAGGGATGCCTATTGTTCACATATTGGATCTTCATTGCCTATCTTCAATATTTGTCATTTTTCTCTCAAACCATATTTATCACATTCTTAATTTCTTTTTGATTCTAAAATTTTCCTCCCTTTGTGCTTTTTGTTTCTCATAAGCATTATTTATAGTGTTTATTGGTTCTTGTGCTCCTTATAGTTTTATTTTCATTTATAAAATAATGTTTTTCCTTCTATTTCTAATTCTTTCTTGAATCTGCATCCCATTTCTAAGTTTTTCTACTTCTGATTTATGTTATCTTTCATGTCTTTTATCATTTTAAAATGCTTTTGAGCTCATCGTGAAACAGTGTGCCATAGGTTTTTATTTTTTTCTGCTTTTCTGAGCATGAGTTTCTGGTGTGCTTTCATGCTCAGCAGGATGTTACTCATCTCATTCTCTCTTTCTTACAGTAACTTTTATTAAAGTTGGATCCAATCATTTCATTTCTATGTAAAATAAGTTTTCCTGAACCTTTAGAATGAGGTTTCTTTCATATATCCTTTCTAATTTCACAGAGCTCCCATTTCTGTTGTTTTATATAGCGTTTAAAAAAATTTCTGGTGGCTTCCTTTCTGAGATTTCCTGGTTCTGTTCCCCTCCCCAACTTTTATCTGGACTTTCTCTTTGTTTAGTCTTTATTTTCCTCACCCTGTTCAATTTCTATTCCATTCCCAGTGGTTTCTCTTCAGTGGGAACTCTGGAAGGAAGCCCTGAGAGGTCAGTCTGGAGAATATGCAGGAACGAGGCTGCTCTCGCCCCTTTGTTCCATCTGGTGGACTTGTTGCACATACCTACTACTGAAGTGGGCCAAACCCCTCCCAACTGCAGTTCCTATCCTCAAATTGGCCCATCACATTTTCCAGTGCAAATCTGTTGCTAGTTTGTGGTTCTCCTGTTCTCAGGTCTGTCTTCCCCTTGCTTCTTTCTGCTTTTCATTTTTGGACACAAATAACAGAGAAGTCTTTTATTTGTTAATTGTTTCTCCCCACCCTATTGTATTTGGAAGTTCATGGAAATACTCCCGTCACCTAGTTTTATTGTAAATGTTGTCTATGGATTTTTGGTTTTGTTATTTTGTTGTTTCATCTGTCTTATGTGGGGATTTGGGAAGATCCACAAACCATGCTGCCACCACTGCTGCTATGTTACCAGAGGCTCTCCTGTTGATGACTTTCAAATGTTTATCCCCAGCCTGCATCTCTCAACTTCTATGCCCAACTATTAGTTGACATGATCTATGTCTAATAGATGTCTCAAATTTAACTTAGCCAAAATAAGCCAATTTCCCCCTTAAAATATACCATCTCTATTAATTTTCCCATCTCAATAAATGGCACCACCTCCTTCCCAATTGCTCAGGCCAAAAACTTAGCAGTCAGTCTCTTTTCCCCACATTCCAAAATTAATCATGTCCATAGGCTCTGGCCAATGGACGTGATTAATGGATGTGGAGTATTCTATCTCCAAAATACATCTCTAATTCAATTGCTTTTTACCATCAACACTGCTTTTACCCTGGCCTGGGCCTCCACCATCTCACTTCTGGACTTCTGCATGAGCTTCCTGACTGGTCTCTCTGCCTCTATTCTCCCTGCAGGGCAGCCACAGTGGTCTCTCTAAAGCATAACTCAGATATATCATCCCCATGTTTAACAGATCCCAAAGGCTTTCTACTGCAAACAATAACATTCCAACCTCCACTATGGCTTACAAGACCCTACATAATTGTGACCATGCTGTCCTCTCTGATTTCCACCACTCTCTCTATAATCTCTATGTTCCTGACCTCTGGTCATCCTTTTGTCCCCAAAACATGTTCAAATGCTTCCCATCTCAGGGCACTTGTCCTTGCAGTTCCCTGTGGTTGGAATGTCTTTCTGCTAGGTTTTTGTAACACTGCCTCTTTCTCACCATTAGGTATAACTCAGAGAAGCCTTCCTGAATACCCTAAGTGCTACCTATTTTGCCTTAGCACTCATCAGTGCCTGAAATTATCTTATTCATTTATTTGTATATAAAAATATTGTCTGTCTGTATACCCCCCACCACCACCATCACTAGAATTCTCTTTGTGGAAAAGGATAACACCTGGTATGTAATAAGTGGCCCATAAATATTTGCCTGCCAAATGTATTTCCAAATGCCTCTGGATATGGCCAAGGGAACAGAAAGTGACCCAATAGTTCCATAGATTTTTTTTTTTTATAAACATAGAAAATGACCCTTCTGGTCCTAAAGCTTGCAACTTAGTTTGTTTTATCTGAGTTATTCCTCAAGAAAGGACCCCCAGGGCTCTCAAGAAAAGAATCAAAGAATTGAAACTCACCAGATGACCACATCCAAGCAATGAGATGCCAGACCCCTCATTCCTCATGACTGCTTCCTTGCCCCTCCCTAGTTCCTGTTTTCTTACACACTGTTACATTTCTTCCCTGCTGTATAAACCCCTAGTTTTAGTTGGTCAGGGAGATGGATTTGAGACTGATCTACCATCTCCTTGGCTACAGCACCCAATTAAAGCCTTCTTCCTTGGCAACACTAGTCATCTCAGTCACTGGCTTTCTATGTGGGGAACAACAGGACCTAGACTAAAGCCCTGGTGTTTTGGTAACAGAACTAAGCCCTGGGCCATAGCAAGTTCTGGAACATGAACATTTTCCTAAAATTACCAGCCACCAACCTAAACCTTTCACTCAGGACATGGGCCCTGTCTATGCTGCTGGATATGGAGACCAGCTAACTCTTGTAAAGAGCAATGGTTCTCAACTCTTATTCAAATCAAAATTCCCTTTCTATAACAGATATTTTGTAAGGCCCCTTTTCTATTCTGAAATAAAATTTATTTGTAACTGCATACCTAATTGTTTTCAAAAATCCACATAATCCCTAATTATATAAAGAATAATAAAAAGAAAATTTGCAATAGAATAGTATTTTATTATGCGAATAGTTGAGCAAGACTAAACTAGAAGACATAATGAAAGAGTCAGATGTTTGCACCCTTATATAGAATCACTATAAACACAGCAACCACAAATTCAGACTAATACAGGAGTATTGTGTTGGCAACACAAATACCACAAACCAAGTTGGCAAGAGTGAAGAGGGTGATATGATTTTCCAAAATGGTGCACAATTTTGGTAAAATTCAGAACAAAACAAAGTATAGTCTTGTCAGTTTACTTAGTAGTTACATTAATGGAAAATCCAATGCATACTAAACCTTGACAAAAATTACTCTGAATTTACAAATAAATAAAATATAGTTAGTTTCTAGGCTTAGACATTTATAAACAGGTTTGTCACTTACATGAAGGTCCAGCAGAACATGCAAAAGTCTTGGAGGAAGCAGGAAATGCCTTCATTGTGTTGGACTGTCCTGAATCTTGAGGGTACCCAGTACCAGGCCGGGCACATTCAATGCCAATAACATTCCTTCTCCAATCATTGTAAAAACACAAAGTTCACCTAACAAACTGACAAAATGCCTCTTCAGTTTATATTATTGTGAAATAGCAGCCTTATTCATGGTCACCAGGAACTGGATACAACTCAAATGTCCTTTAACTGGTGAATGGATAGATACATTGTAGTCCATTTGAACAGTGGAATACTATCCAGTATTAAAAACGAACAGGCTGGGTGCTGTGACTTACACCTGTAGTCCCAGTTACTTGGAAGGCTGAGTAAGGAGGATCGCTTGAGCCCAGCAGTTCATGGTTACAGTGAGCTACGATCATGCCACTGCACTCCAGCCTGGGCAATAGAGCAAGACCTTGTCTCTCAAAAACAAACAAACAAAAAAAGGAACAAACTTGTGATACAGGCAACAACATGGATGATTGTAAAATGCATTACGCTAACTGAAAGAAAACAGATGAAAAGGCTACATACTGACTAATTCCACTTATATGACGTTTTAGGAAAGTCAAAACCATAGGACAGAAAACAGATCAGTGGTTGCCAAGAGCAGGGGGTAGGGAGAGGGGGCTGAGCACAAGGGAGTTTCCAGGGCACTGCAATGGTTCCAGATCTTGATTATGGTGATGGTTACATGCTTGCATGCATTCGTCAACACTCATAGAAGGTACACTCATAAAAAGTGAATTTCACTATATGTAAATTATACCTCAATTTTTAAAGTGTTAAAAAAAAAACAGGTGCTACCCTTACCAAGAACCACTGGTTTGGAGCGTCACAGCTTATAAAGCACTTTCAGATGTCCTATCCACTGTGAGGAAGGCCAGGCACACTAACTGGCCCTGTTTTAGAGGCAAACATGGTATGTGAGAAACTTTACATGGGACTTCATGTGGGCAAATCAACACTTGGGCTGAAGGTCTGGTTCCAAGGCCTGGAATCTACCATCTGGGTACATCTGTGTGACCTTGGGCAAGCAACTTTCTCCTCTAAACCTCAGTTTCCTAATTGTGGGTCTTGACCTTCTTTGATTCAGGGATTTGCCCGAGGCCATAGAGCTGGTTAATGGCAGATCCAGGGCTTCTGGGTCCTGGTGTTGCTTGTCACCCTCACAGTGGGGATAACTAGAATACCTCTCAGGGCAGGTGATGCTCAATGGAGGCCGATCAGCTGTCCACCCTCTTGGGGAGGGGTCAATGCAAAGCACAGGGGCTGGGAATGAGGCCTGGAAGAGTGGTGGGTGGAAATCACCTTCAAGTGTGAAGAACACACACTTATATTAACGTAACATGTAAGAACTGAGAGAATATTGTTCCCAAGAGCCCTCCTTTAGGAATCTGCTAAAGAATGAATTTCAGACAACAAAATAACTAGAGAGACATTGACATAAAACCAATGATGAGCATTAAACAAGATTGAGAGTTAATAGGGATATATTATGATCTGACAATATATTTACAGTATTAAAAATGGGGAGAATAGAGATAGTATATGCAAAACATTTTAAACTTCACATATGCTTCTGCTACGAAGCACCATTTACGGATGAGGAATGGCTGGTGTCAGGATAAAGCCCTGTTAGTTACCACCCCTTTTAAACTTCATTAAGGAAAACATAATTACCAAGTGAATCTCATTTGGGTTCACTCCATGCTCCAAAGGCCCCAGCACAGACTGCCCTTCACCACTTCTTTATAGAAAGAACAGTAACTGGGCTTGCAAAAGATTCCCTGAAACCTGAGGACACTTGGTATACATGCAAATGAAGGAAGAGCAACGTGTAGCCAGGGGGCCTGCTGGTGTTGCCTAGAGAAAGAAATTCCAGTCCCTTTCAGAAGAGCCCAAGTCGGGAGTCAGCCTTCCAGACTGCATCAAGATGTCTCTTTGGAAAAGCCCCAAAATCTTTTTTTTTTTTTTGATGGAGTCTCGCTTTGTCACGCAGGCTGGAGGCTGGAGTACAATGGCACGATCTCAGCTCACTGCAACCTCCGCTTCCTGGGTTCAAGTGATTCTCCTGCCTCAGCCTCCCAAGTAGCTGGGATTACAGGCATGCTCCACCACGTCCAGCTAAATTTGTATTTTTAGTAGAGACGGGGTTTTACCATGTTGGTCAGAACTCCTGACCTCAAGTGATCCACCTGCCTCGGCCTCCCAAAGTGCTGGGATTACAGGCATGAGCCACTGCGCCCGGCCCCAAAATCTTTCTGATCCTCAATTAATCCTACTGCCAAAACACCATTACCTCCATCATGGCGGAAGTAGTAGAATCAAATTGGAAGTTTTTGAAAGAAGAATGCCATATATAAACACAAGAAATTTTTAATTTTAATTAAAGTTGCTATTGCTGAATGAGGGATCCACACCCTTTGTGTGCTGGCTTGCTCAGCACCCACTACAGAAGCCGCAGAGCACACAGCTGAGACTACCAGCCTGGGAGCTTGCCTGCTACACTGGACCCCAGGCCCAGACACTGACTAGCTGTGTAAACTACCTCAAGTTACTTAACCTCTCTGAGCTTAAGATTCCTCCTCAGTAAAGTAGTACTTAAGTCCAAAAGACACCATGAGAAGTGAGTTAAAACATGTAAAACATGCCTCACATATAGTGTCCAATAAATGTTATCAATGATGATTCCCTTAACTGCTGGTATTAACCGTGTCTTTCATTTTCTGTATTTTGATGCTTCGACATCTTGGGGTCTTGCTGACCCGGGAGAGACTGCCCCTCCCAGGGTTAGCCAGTTCCTAGAGATAGGTACACAAGGGCATTTTCTGAGAACAAACCAACCAATCCAGAGCCTATAGCCCAACTATTTCCTTTATTGAATCTCCCACTCTGGACCACCAGCCACCTGCCCTAATCACCCCGGGCCAGGTACCACACAACTAGGATGGCACCTATACCCCAGAGCTGCTGGAATTATTCAAACAAGCCCACCCTAAATCTGCTTGCCTTGCTTCACCTGGTTCTTCCCACAGAAACCACAGTAAAGGTTCTTGCTTGCTCCTGAGTGATCCCAGGACCTCCCATGTGGCTCCCCGTGGCGTGGCATGGTCCCTCCTCTTGGGAACTGTGAGGAACAAACTATCTCTTCAAGGGCAATTGTCTCCTGACCTGCTGGCCTTACTGCACCTTGATTTTTCTATTAATGCACAATACTTTAAAACATTGCCTTTGCCATGGTTCTAATTCTCTTGAAACTGCACTCTCAAAGGTCATCAATCATGTCTGCTTGCCAACCAGATGCCTCATCCACATTTGTTTTCCCTCTATGGTCTAAGGATTTGATTTTGTTGACTAGCTGACAGCTTAGAGATCACCTGCTCCAAAATGCTGTCTTGAACCACTCCCCGTAGCTCCCAACCAGGGACCCCAACTGCTCCCACAGATGTTGTAATTGCCCATTTTTGTATCCATAAACCCTTCATTAGACAGTTACCTCCAGAAAAGCATGTCTTTCCCTCCAGTGTGTAGCACCCTGACTGGTGCTGCTCAGTTACTCTTAGGTGAATGAATGATGAATGAATGAATGAATGAATGAATGAATGAATACGTGAATGAACAAACTCATCCAGCTTTGGAACCTAGAATCATCTTTAACTTCTTGTCCCTCTCTCTTCTGTCTTTGCATTCATCTCTCTCCCTTTTCCCTCCATCCTCACCCTCCATTCCTCTAACCTTTCCATCACACACTGAGACAGAGCAATGATTTCTCAATTCATTTTAAAAATTCCAGTATCTTCCCCCTCCAAGCCATGTTGCACCCTTAACTTCTTAAAATATAGCTAAACTCTTAAATCTACCTCCCTCCCTATTCCTCCCTAACCCCCACCCTTGCAGAATAAATATCAAATCACAATTGCCTATCCTGGTGCCAGCACCTTCTTCCCCTCCCAAATTTCTCTGATCTCCAACTACCCATGGCTGTGCACCAGGAGCTCCCATCTGAAAGCTTAGTTCCTTTCAGTCCTGAGCTAATCTTAACCAAAGCAGGACACATCAACACCATCAGTTCCTACCTCCCACGTGGTCCAGGCCTGGCATCTGGAGGCCCAGGTACCATCCCAAATAGCTCCTTATCCCCACCCCAAAGGTGCTGGACTGCAAGGGAGTCAGCCTTGAGACCCAGAATGCAATGGGAAAATCTATATTACTTTGCTCACAGCCAAACGCACATCAAAGGATGTCTGCAGAAAACAGTCTACAATAAACCAGAATCAAACACAAAATGCAGTGCTTATCGATTTCATGACCAATCCCACCTCAGCAGACCTTAATACGCTGTGACTGTGACCAGCAGAAGTTGTTCTAATGGTCATGCCAATGAGCTCTCAGTTCGAAATCTCACCCTCTCCCCTCCTTTCTCTTTCTTTACCACCTCCCCCCACAACACACACAACCTGCTCCACATTCTAGGTATAAGGCAGGGCAGTGCTCCCCAATCCCAGGTGTAGTTTGCTTTAAGTAAAAGTTATTTCCTGAAACAGCTTGAATTTTTACAAATGAAATGTTTCCCCAAATCTTTTTTTTTTTTTTAATCTACCTTATCTCTTTCTTGAATTGATCTTTAGGGAACAAAGGTTCCTAACATTTAAGCCGTTAGCTCTCAGCCTCTTTTCTCGGCTTCTCTGTCAAATGGATAACAGCAGCAGCTAATGTGGAGAGAAAAATGCTCTGCGGTAGAAGTGCCTTAGCAAATACCTATACATAAAAAGAAGGATCCTTCTGGAATAAGGCTAGTCATTGTTGCTTAGCTTTCTATTTTATAAATTCTGGTTTTGAATATTGGGCAGGAGAGAAGCTTATGTAACTATTTCATTTCAGATTAAATACCTCTTTACAGTGGGAGAAAGAGTATGTATGAATGACTCTGGACTCCTGAGACCTGAAGGAAAGGGGGAAGGGTCAGGGGAAGGGAGTGACGATCTGTGGGAGCAGCTCACTAGGCCTCTAGGAGACTGACTCACAGGCTGTATCTCAGATCATCTTCAAAACAACTGGGAAGCTGGTATCATCAACAGTCTGACTTTACCAGAAGAGGAGCACTCAGAATCCAAGGGAAGGTAGCTGGCCCAAGGTCACACAGGCAGTGAGTATCAGAGCCGATTTGAATCTAGATCCGTCTCACTCTAAAACCTTCATATTCTACCAGGTTATCTCTGGAAGGAAGCCACCTGGTTAACCCCTCACACACACTGCCTTCAGTTCCCTGCCTCTACCCAGAGCAGATTATAGGAAATACCACTTTATGTGTGGCTGTAGAAGTTGCTACAGCCTATTATTTTTAAAAGCTTATTTTTAATGAAGGACTCACCCAAGCATGCATAAAATGCTATGAAATTATTGATGGTGTCTCTGCAGAAGAATGTGAGATCTCTGATTTGTTGGATTTCTTTAAAATCTTGTTTATTTAAAATTCAAAATATTCATTATACACTTTAAAAAAAACTCAATTATGCAACTTACCAAAATAAAGAGTAAATGTGTATCTAAAAAAAACCCGCAAAACCTGTTGTTTTACTTCTTTAAGCCTGATTCTATACCTTATTCTAGAAAGGGGAGGGCCACCTTCTTTCTTAGCAAACCATTCCTATGGTTAATAACTCTTGTTCTTAAAAACAGGGCTTAGCCAGTCCTGAAACCATTCTGATTGTAGTCAGCAAGGGACTGAACGGGCAAGTACGACGGGAAAGGGTTAAAGGTCCAAGCATCCCTGAGGTATGAACCCAGGCTAAGTCAAGGCAGGACCAAGGTTGGTACTGGCAGGTCCTGGGCACAGGCAACAGCGGCCAGGCTGGCCCTCCCAGGCGGCAGACCCACAGCCCTGGACATCCACCTGCCCACCTAAGGTGACTTGGATATGAAAGTGCCTTGCTCAGCTTCAGCGTACAGACAATGCTCAATACATGTTGGATTCTCCCTCCTTCCTTCCATCTCAAGGACAGGATTGGTCCCATGCCGGGGCAAGGCTGTACTTGCGGCTGGAGGTTAAGTGTCCCTGGCTTAGAACGCTAGAGAGGAGAGTGGCAGGGAACCACATTATTATCCAGCGACACCAATCTCTTGTCTAACCCAGCCTAAATCCACTTGCGGCTGCCTAAGCCTATCTCTTCTTGCTCTGTCCTCAGGGAAAATGGAAACTGGCAAGTATCCTCTCCTGAATATGGATGCCTCCATGACTCAGAGACGCTGGTCACATCACTCCTCAGGCTACCGGGAGTTGGAGCTTTTTCTGCTGTTTCCAGAAAGCCTGGGTAAAGACGGGGAGAGGAGGGAGTGGCTGGGAGGTCCCTGATGGACTTACAGACTTGAGGGGACATATTAGGAACTCCAGGGCTGAGTCCTGTCTTTGCTCTTGGTGAGGAGAGGGAGGAACACCCTGGAAGAGAGGGAAGATGGCAGGAGGGAGAAGTCAGGCTTCTCAGCACCCAAAGCAACAAGCAAATGGACTTATGATCCTTTCCTGGAATCAGGTGTTGTGTCTAGACAGACACTTAAGGGGAAAACCATGGCACTGACTTAATTCTTTTCGGAATCTTTTCAAGCCCTCTTGCCACAGACAGCCGCCTCAGCTTACAGACGCGGGCAGGGAGGTACAGGCTGGCCATTTCCTACCCCAGCCTTGCTGGGAGGTCTCCCCATCCCCCAGCTGCTCAGCCTCCAGGAGGCCTAAGCCCGTGGAGCCTCAGCTCCAGGGAGAGCACATTCCTGCCCACAAAGCCCAGAGCTGGAAGGGCACCCCAGGCTGGGCGGCTGGGCTTCCCTGATCAGAATCCCACACACCCCCAGCAGGCTTTCCCCACCCAAGCCCTCTCTTTCTTCATCCCATGTAGTCTCCTCTCCTCACCTTGGTGATGCAGGAAGCAGGAGGATTCTTATTTCCCCTCTTGTAAGTAAGGAAATGAGGACCAAAGAGGTCAACTGATACAGCCAACATCACAAATCAAGTTCTCCCATCGCTTTTTTTTTTTTAAACTTTTAGGACTCAGATTTCCTGGCCCTGCGGTGTCTTTCTATGCAGGCTGGGACATGTGTGTTGGCAGGATGGCAAAGGAGATAGTGGGCCCATCCTTCTCCAATCCCTAAGCACTGCCAGATCCTGGGCATGCTCATCCGCCTGTGAGCAGGTTCAAGGGACAGGAGAAGTAGGGAAGAAGCCCCAGGGGGCAGTAACATCTCACCTCGTGATACTGTAAACATTGCCAAAGGATGCCCCACAGCAGCTGCCCTTCTGAAAGCCTGTTCCTGCAGCGTTGCCCACCACCCAGGTGTGTGCAGTTGCTTCCTCTGTCCCAGCCATTAGCTACCTTGCAATGGCTGTGACCCCAGCCTGAGGCTCACACTAAGGTGACCAAAGGCAACCAGTTCCGCGATGAGCACAGGGCACCTGGCCTCCATTTACAGGCATTCCGTCGGCAGGAAAAATCTCCTGGCTGGACCCCAAACTGCCTGTCAGAGCGACGAGGAGCCACCGCCGCAGCATCCTTTCCCCTCTTGGGTATGAAGACATCCCCACAGCAAATATTTAAAGGATTTGGATCCTAGTCCCTAAGCACGCCCTCTCTAACCATCTGAGCTAAATTCTCAGTCCATGGCTGTGCAAATAGATTTTATTACCAGGGCCCTGAGCTGATAAATGGAGTTCAGGGACAATCATGCTGCAGAACCACCCTCTCCTGTGGATCCATCCTTAGCACTCTGATGAGCAGAGCGGTGGCAGCTGGAAAAGGCTGTCTCTCCTGGAAACTTCAGGGAGAGAAGAATTCCTTCTTCTCTCACTGCTGGAAGGATTCCTGTGCAGAGGGAATGTCAGGTCAGGGGTGCTGGGGGCCTGGGATTCCTCCTCATCTATTTATACTCAGTTTCTGCTTCCCCAGCCAGGCTGCCAACACTTAGAAGGCAGAGACTGCATCTTAGTTCTCTTTGCACCTTTTGTACCATAGCTCTGAGCCTGCACATAGCAGTCACTCAATTCACATAGAGCGTAGCCAGACGTAGTGGCTCACACCTCTAATCACAGCACTTTGTGAGGCCAAGGTGGGTGGATCACTTGAGGTCAGGAGTTTGAGACCAGCCTGGCCAATATGGTGAAACCTCATCTCTACTAAAAATACAAAAATTAGCTGGGCACAGTGGCAGGCGCCTGTAATCCCAGCTACTTGGGAGGCTGAGGGGGGAGGATTGCTTGAACCCAGGAGGTGAAAGTTGCAGGGAGCTGAGATCAGGCCACTGCACTTCAACCTGGGCAACAGAGTGAGACTCCATCCCGCCCACCCACCCCCCAAAAAAATCATGTCAGGTAGTGAATGAGCTTTATAACTACAGAAATCCAGGTCTGGACTTCTGCAAATCAAGCTCTGGTTCCTTCTTCTCAGCTCTGATAGAGTCACTCCCAGTTCAGAAGCCTTAGCCAGCTCACCATTGCCTACAGAACAGTGGAGGCTCCGTACCCTCCCTGCATTTAGGAGTGCTGACATCAGGCTCCAGCCTGCCTGTTAGCCGCCTTCCCCCACTGCCCACATGCCCAGTTCCTGAACTACACAGAAGCCCACTCTCTGCTCAGGATGAGCCTTTGCTTGGGTGACTTCCCCCACCTGGAATCCACTGTGCTTTCCACCAAGAAGGGGCTCAGGAAGAATATGTTTAATTCATTTAAATTAAATTAAGGCTGGAACCCAGAGGAGGCTGCGTCCTATTTTCTGCTTCAGTCTCCCCAGTTCTATCTCAAAAGTGGGAACATTTGCCGCCAGTACAGCAGCCCCACAAAAGGGAGCGGGTGTGGCGCCCACGTGGCCTGGTGTGAAATGAAGCTGCAAACACGGGACGTTTTCTTCCCAGAGGTTTGGGGCCACAGGAATTTGAGAATCCCCAAGCCTTTTGCAAATGTCGTTCTCCATACCTGACTGGGAAGGTGTTGGTGGGGAAAACGAATGTCTAGAAAAGGAAACATGGAGGGGAAAGAGGAGAGAGAGGGAGCGTTGGAATCAGACAAACAGGAAAGAAAAGGAAAGGAACATGGAGGGGTGGAACACACTTTAGGCCAGGGGTCCTTCATCTGCATTCACAGAACAACCTCTAGGGGGGTTCATGAGCTTCCAATTGCTTTTGTTTCGTTTTACTTTGTTTTTTTGTTTTTATGAGACACGACCCACCGCTTTCCGACAACGGATGCTCAAACAGGTCTGTGATTCCAAAAGGGCTTCCTTTTCCTGAATTAATTGCAGGGTCGACTTTCTTGCCTGCCCTCGTAGGTTGGGGCTCCTCGGGACTGTGCCCCAGGGCCCCTTCTCCCTCCCTTGATCACACATATCCTTGGCTTCAATTATTGCTCCACAGATAAGCCGAATCCCAGCACCTGGCCCAGGATAAGCATTAGTGCCCCCGTGCCAGCAGAGATACAGTGAATTCCTATTTCCAGCCTATACCTGTCTTTTGAGCTCCAGTCCCACGGATGAAGGTAGTTACCTACAGGGTGGACACCTCCAGTGCAAAGCCCAGAGGCAATTCAGAATCAGCAGGACCCACACCAAACACCTGCTTCCTCCCATGCATTTGCCACTCTGCAGCTAAAGGAGTCTCTCCAAAATAGAAATCTGATCATGTCCCTCCTTGCCTGTAACTCTCCAGTAGCTTTCCCTTATACTAGGCTAAAGCCGAACCCTCCTTAACAAGACTCCTAAGAGCCTTTATGATCTGACCGCTTCCTACCTCTCCAGGCTCATCTGTTCCCACCTCCCCCTCTCCCTACATTTCAAAAAGAATCATATTCTCTCTTGACTCAGGCCCTGAAAAAGCACTGTTCCATGTCCCCTTCATCTAGAGTAACATCTACCTTTTATTTAAACTCCAGTCTCAGCTTGAGTCATTTCCTCTAGGAAGCCATCCTTAACTCCCAGACCAGGTCACAGGGCCTTGCTATGGGACGCTGTAGTACTTCATACTTCCTCTATTAGGACACATTTGATACTTTTCAGTAAGTGCTTAATCTTCTGTGTCCTCTCCCTAACCTCCACGAGATTTAAGTTCCAAGAAGCAAAAAACCACTTCTCCCCATGTACCACTAGATTCATAGCACATGGCTCAGTGCCTGGCACACAGTAGGTGTTCAATAAATAACTGCTGAAAGAAAAAATAAATAGCGCGAGTGGATTAAGAAAGGGAAGGCAGGAAGGAAAAGGTTAGTCCTTTCCTTCTGAAAGCCCCTCATCTTTACTCTGGCTTGCAATAATCACACGCACTAGCACTTTCCTTTCTCCAAAACCCCAGAGCTGTGGATTGTAAGTCACAATGAGCCTCCAGACTGGGTGAATTCCCGACATTATTAAAGTCACCGCTATTGAAAGGCTGGGAGAGCATAGCATACACTTTTGCATCCACATGGTGTCTCAACACAGCTAAGTCCTCAGTCATAACAACAGCAACTATGGATAGCACCTTTAGACTTTAGTTTACAATGTGCTGTCATAGACATTATCTCTTAAATAATGATGGAAGAGGAATGAGTGATGAGCCAGGATGAAATCCTGTGAATAATGCTGGAGAAGCAGGTGCTCTATGGTAGGAAGAGCAGAGCACAAGACCTGATTCCAGCCCCAATTCTATTCATGACTCTCAATGGGACTTTGAGTCCGCAGCAAATCCACTCTCGACTCAATTTCCCCCTCTGTAAAATGGAGAATTGAGCCTTCCTTTCCCTATCTTCCAAAGCTGCTGTGAAGAGATAAAGCTAGCAAAGCAGTCACCTAAGTGAACAGAACTATGAATATTCATGTTGTACATCTCTTAGGGCAACCTTAGCAACTGCGACTCATCAAGTCCCTCGTAGCCACCTCTCTACCTCACCGAGTTTCCCAGTTCCAGCCCCACTTGTCTTTCCTCCTCCCTTAAAAAATCCTCTGTAGCCAGAGAAGATAAAAGAGACACAGCTACATCTATTACCTCCTACAAGCTACGGTCATAAATCCCATTGCAATTAAACCTCGCCTGGTAAAGAGCTCTAAGCACAAAACATGCTGGTGCTTTCTGCATTTGCCAATTACAACATGACAATGACTGAAGAGCCCAATGTCAGTGACGCAAGGGTGGCCCCCCTCTGTCTTCCTCCTGCTCTCTTTATGGAGTTTACCTGCCTGGGTTCGGGGGGCTTTTCAGGTGCCAGGAATGACAACCCACAGAGCATGCTGATAAAATCTGCAGAGGGCACAAAACTGGGAGGGGGTGTGCTTAGCATGTCAGGTGGCCGAATCCAAACAACCAATGAACAGCAGAATAGAACGCTGAGAGAAACCAATCCAGTGAAATCTTGGATTCAAGAAATACAGCAGACCTATAAACAGGGGGACACTTGACTTGGACAAGTTTATTAAAAGAGGAAAACATGAGCTTTGTTTTTTCATTTGTTTTTAGAACCACACGCTTGACATGAGCCAGCTGTGGCAAACTGCTGCTTATAAAAAAGTGCAACCTTGGGCTGTGTAAATAATAGCAGAGTGTCTCAAAGTTGGGCACTGCCTCTCTCATCCCCACTCCAGCCAGGCTCACGCAGGAAACTGTGACCAGTTATTGTCATTCCTTTCAAAAGGACAATAACAGACCAGCAAAAGAAGGGATCCAGGCTAGTGACACGGGTAAAAATCAAATCACATAAGAAGGGACTGAGGGGGCAGGAAAGACTCCTTCTAAGGAAGAGAAGATCGGAAGTAATGTGGTTGCTAACTTCAAGTGTATAAAGGGCCATCGTGAAGAATCTGGAGTCTTCCTTCTCTAGGCCCAGGAGGGCCAACCGGGGCCAGCAGAAGGGAGTGATAAGGCTGAGATTTGGACTCAACATTAGGAAAAACTGACGACCAGGCAGTGAGCTCCCTGTCCCTGGCAGAATTTAAGTAGAAGTTTTTTTTTTTTTTTTTAAGAGACAGGGTCTTACTATGTTGGCCAGGCTGTTCTTGAACTCCTGGGCTCAAGTGATCCTCCAATGCTGGCCTCCCAATGTGTTGGGATTCCAGACATGTGCCACCGTGCGTGGTCAGAGGATAAATTTAGAAGAAAAGCACAGAAGGGTGGGTGACCTCTGTTGACACTGCCTCTGGAAGGCAAAAAATGACTAAGTTTGAGGGAGATTTGCCTAAAGGAGCTGAAAATGGTTACAGACTGCCTTGGCTAAGGTCCTTCCTAGGCCAGCAGGCCTGGTTTCTTTTCCTCTCTTAAATCCTACCTGTCCGGTCTCATTTTCTGTCACGTTTCCCCCTCTCTTCCCAACCCTCGCCCCAGCACACCGCATGGCTGGACATCAGGACCTGGCTTCTCCATCACCTCTGAGAAGCCTTCCACTACCCCCAAGGGCAGGCTGGGTGCCCCTGCACCCCAGGTTCCCTTAGCACCCTGTATGTGTGCTAGTGGAGTATTCACCTTACTTTACAGTCACTATTTATTGACATGTCCATTTAATTTCCCTGCTGGGTGTAAGCTGCGTGAAGCAGCGACCTTGTGTGCTTTGTGTATTATTGCATCCACAGCACCTCACAAAGAGCATGGCACAGTGCAGTGTATAATAATCATTTCCTGAGTGCATGGATATATGAATGAATTGGATTCTTAATGAAGCTACTCAGACCACGGAATGGGTAGGATTCAGTTGCTAGGACTTCCAAGCTTTTCATCCCGTACAGAACCCACCTCCTGTCTCCTCTGGGCTACACGTCAGCTTTAAAGCCTTTCTGTCCTGGCCTGAGGGCACTGGGGAGAAATTTCCAGCCCTCTCCAGCCACAAAAGGCCTTCTGCAGGTTCAGGGTACATTAGCTTCCCTCTTTCTATTGGATCATCCTGCAATGGACATTTTGGGAAGTTCTTTTCTGGAAAACATTAAGGATCAATCTGTTTGGTATAGTTTTGCCAGGTGGCTACAGATTCAAAAGAGATTGGTTAGGATCTTGGAGGCCCCTTTCTGCCTTGGGAGTCTCTGCTCTTAGATTCTGAAAGAGCCTGTCCTCCTGAACTTGGGCTATCCTGAGAGACACCCCTTGAAGAGAAGCATGACCCATGCCAGGGTGTGCCTCAGCACTGATCCCCAGACCAGGGGGATGGGTCCCGCCAGGATGAATTTGCTTCTCTCTGCACACCTTGGGCTGTGGCAGAGGCAGGTGATGGGCACCAGGAGGTCTCTGACTTGGGGCAGCAGATGAAGCGAGGAACATCTCGTCCCACCTTGGTGAGCCCACTGAGAAAGTTAAGACCCAAGGTTTAATGCCTTTGCTCTGCTCTTGAAATGCTCATTCTACTCTCACCCACTGTTGCCCTTAAAAGGAACATTTATAACTCGCTTTCATTTACCCTCTGCCTCCACTGCTGCCATTAGTATTTGATGTCTCTCGAGGAAGGCACGCTTTCCTGACATAACAAGCTGTGGTGCAGGATTCATCAGAGACACTGACTTGGAGCTCACTGTCTCCTACAGCTCAGCATGGCCCACCCTGCATGGCCCACCCTGAGATGGAATGGGAGAGCAGGGCCCTGCAGCTGCTCACACCCCCTCCCCACCTCACAGGGGCAAGCGAGGCTGGCCGGGCCGCCTGGTGCTCCAGTTCTGCACTGCCTTCTGGGAATGACAGTTTTGTAGTCAGCTGAAGACTCCCAGTTAATTTATTTACCCACTTCCTTACTTTCTGGGCCTCTGGCAAAGAGGCCTCCAGGCACACAAACAGATTTTAAAATAATACAAATCATTAACATTTAAAATGGTGATGCAGCAACAGCTTACTCTGCTTTCCTGAGGTAGCAAAGCAGCTCAGAGAGGAGCAGGGCGATGTGCAAGGCTCAAGGTCAAGCCCCAGGCCCTCTGGGCACAGAATCTGGAGGAGGTCTGCTTTCTTCCCTGGAGAAAGGGATCGCCTTTGACCCCTGCACAGAAAAACCGCAGGGCGCATTCCAATCTGTGAAGAAAGACTCTCTATTGTGAGTCACGTGCCCAGAAGAAAGAGCCCGCACCACTGCTGCCTCACACAGCTGGAATGGGGGGGCCGTTATGCCCACAGAGCAGGCCAGACTCAGAGCCTATATGCACTTGGTTACAGAGGGGCCAGAGTGAGTCAGTGCCGTCGATCAGAAGAGCCACCCCTGGGGTCCACCAGGAGGTCCGAACTGTATCTTGACTTCTGCCATGCAGGAGCCATGTGGTCTCAGTCAGACCTCCTAACCTCCCGGTGACTCGGCCCAGCTCATCTCAGCTTTCTCATCTGGCAAATTATAGAATTGTTCTATTGTAAAAATGGAACAGGTCCCAGAAAATATCCAGTTCAATCTCCTTACTGTACAGATAAGTCTGTCCTACCTATTTCTCCGAGTTACTAGAAAGATTAATTGGAATACAGGGAACCTTCTGTATTTGTGGATCCAGGACTTAAGATCTGACGTGGTGTCAGTCATTTCGTTTTGTTTCTGCCTTGTCTCGCGCTGACTACTGTTCAACTGGGACCTACAAGCCACTCTGAAACCAAGGTACAGCATTCTGGTTATGAATCACGATGCTTTGTATGTGCGTGGCTGCTTCTTGGTTTCCAAAGCACCCTCGCCTGCGTTAGCTACTTGATCCCAATGATGCAGACAGTGATGTATTAATGTGGCAGGTGGGAAAATACAGACAGAACAGTACACTCTGAGTCTCACAGGTGGCTGAGAGCATCCCGGCCATTTTATTCCTTGTCCAGGACTCTGTCTTCTACACTACTCTGATTTTTTAGTTCAGAAAAACTGGGACTCTCTTTGGTATAATCAGAAAACCTAAAAGAGCCTCAAAAAGGAAGAGGCTTTGGGAACTGGGTGAACAGCTGTCCAAAGCATACACAGTGTATGCAACAAACACTTATAGAATAGTCTATTTGCAGGGACAGTCAGAGGTGTCATATAAAAGTAAACTAGGGTTATTATTAAAATCCCACATTGCAAAACCAGATGGCACCAATTCTCCAGTACTCCTATCAAACTGACCTTTTATTTTCTATAAGCTAGTCAGCATTTGCAGAGAATCCCTCAGGAAGTAACTCCAAAACTGCAGTAGAAGATAAGGAGAAGGGCTGGGGAACTGAACCCCTATTTTCAGATGACAGAACTTAGTCCAGGGACTTCTGAAAGCAATCATCCCCTCCCTGTCAGGTACCATGTCTTATTTATCCTCATGTCTCCGACATGTAACACAACACACGGCATAGAGCAGGTGCTCAACGGAGGTGAGCGGAACTGCCATGAGATTGGGGGTAGAAACTAGATCTAGAATGAGCATTCTAGATGAGGGTAGGGACAAGAAGTGGGTCTCAAACTTTAGAATTCCTGTGACTCACTGGGTTGCCTGATTCAGACATTTGAGATTTAGTAGGTCTGAAGTCTACATTTTTAATAGAGTCTCCAGGTAAGATTTTAAATAGGTGATCCTTGGCCCTCCCTTTGAAAAATATGCCTTGGAAAGGACTCCGGACTCCTGACCTGGCAGGTTCTCCTGAGGGCTATTTATACATCTCACATCCATACAGTTTGTCCCCAAGCTCTTGGGTTTTATAAATGTCTCCAGGCCAGACCAGGTAAAGGTTACTGCCCTGCCTTTGCTTATGCTCTGGCCCATCGAAAGCAGCCAGCCGGCTTGCTGGAGTCCTGCAAGCAAAAACCAACCTCCAACAGCACGGGAGGGGGTAAGAGGTGGGAGACAGAAGAGAAGTGTCTCTGTGCAGCAGTCCTGGCCTCCCAGCAGCAGGGCCCTGCGCAAAGCAAAGACTTCAGCTGGTGCAGCCTGAGAGCAGAGTATCAGGAAGACAGCAGGTCTCGGCAACTGCGTTCTGGCCCAGCCCGACTGAGGGTAATTAACCTTTAGGCGGGCAGCTTCATTTCTGGAACCAGCAGCTGCCTCTGTCCTCTGGAGCCCGTTCACGTTCCCTTAGAGAGCACCAGGCTGGGGGCATCTCCCTGGATGTGGCTCTGTTCCAAGGCCCAGAGATGCAAAAGGAAAAATACCCATACTGACCAGCCTGCCAGCTGCCAGGGCTAGCACCTCCGAGCCCCACACTCAGCCCCGTCTCTGCCTGGCTGTTAAGTAGGAGGCTATTTCTGGTCTCTCTCTGATGAGGATTATTCATTAGGGACCTCTGTGGAGCTGAGCTAGAGGTGGGAGGGGATGTATTTTTCTCACAAATGGTCTCTCACAGACATCAAGGAAGCAGATCAAAAGCTTTGCTGCCCCCACCACCACACCCAGGGTAGAAACACATCAGGCGCTACAGTTAGGATCTTTCCACGTGCCCATGGCAAGATTCACTTCTTCAGCATCTTATCCTTGTCCCATTGCCATTCTACAAGTCCCTCAGGGTTCTAAGTATGTGGTAATGTCAAAATATGGCCATTCCTTCTCCATGGCTCATATGGAGATGGTATTATGTTTTCCTAAAATGACCACCCACCACACTATCTCCCATCCCAGGTATTCTTATGATGTGTCTCTGGCATTCCTCCCATTAAGAGGTGGCATCTATGATCCCCCTTCTTGAACCTAGGTGGGCTTGTGACTATGGTGCAAGTAATGCTATATGACTTCCGTTAGGTCAGCCAAAAAAGGCAAAACAGCTTCTGCATGGTTCTTGTGGGTTGCTCAGTCTTAGAACTCAGCTACCATGTTGTGAGGAAGCTCAAGTAGCGTGCAGAGGGGCCCACATGCAGCAGTCCATGTGGAGAGGAACAAAGACCCCTGACCCTCAGTTCTGACAGCACCTCCAGCCTGTAGCCAGCACCAACTTGCCAGCCATGTAACTGTGCCATCTTGGGTCCTCCAGCTCCCTGTCTAGCTGCCCATTCAGCTGATGCTACATGGAGCACAGATTAGCCTTTTGAATCTTCCCTACTGAGCCTTGCCCAAAGTAAAGATTTGTAAGCTAAATCAATGATTGTTGCTGTGTTAAATTATATTTTCAGATGATTTGTTATAGAGTAATAGACAACTGGAAACAGTTTGGTTAGGCCCTGGGAGTCCAGCCTCTTGATTACTCCCTTTACCCTTGCCAGTCATCAAAAGGCAACTCTGAGGTTACAGAGCCACATGGATTTATAGATCCATGTGTAGACACACAAATGTGCAGGATCTGCTGGGGGACAGAGTTCAGAATTGATTTTACCCGCACTGGCAGGTGCTTCCTCAGACCTTCCCCTCAATGGTTCACCCTCAGCAGACTGGCTGTGCCTGGCAGACTGGCGGCCACAAGTGTGAGTCTCAGCCAGTGAAGTGATACACTGATACATCGATGGCTCCAGCTCCCACAGTGTGTGGTCCTGACTCATGTACTTAGCCTCCCTTCCATGGCTTCCCAGGGTTCTTGTCTCATTACTTTCTCTGTCTTCTTGCCTCCAGGCCTCTGTAAATGGCCATCACACTGCCGTATCCTCCTGAGCAGCCCTGTCCTGGCAGCTCATTCAAGCCTGGTCGTTCAATGTTGATGAAAACAAAAAGGCTCTGTGTGGTTGTCCCAGGAGCTCTGAGGTGCTGCAGAATCTTGGCCCAAGTCAGAGAGGATTGGTAGCTATTCGCTCTTTTCATGGTGCCTGACATGGTATCAGGTCACAGCACCATGGCACCACTGTCAGCACTGTCAGTCCGTTCATATGGTGATCCTAACAAATAAAGACAGTACTTGCAGGAGACACAGCCACCAAGCAGTGTGCATCTGCAGACTAGGGACCTGAAATTAGGAGGCCTGCTGGGACAGCAGCTACAGAGGGGGTGAGAACCAGTTGCCATCCCTACTCACAGCTTGGTCTTGGTCATACGCTCCCTTCTCTCAACCTCACATATTGCTTTGATACTGCATGCAGCAGACTACCTATATGTCTTAGGTGATAAAGATCCCCATAGGTCGAACGTTTTCTAGGCCAGAAATCAACCCAGTCCTTTAAGGGGTCCCCTGTGCCCCTAAAATGTCAGAGCATACCACCCACCAACAGCCCCTCACCTGGAAGTCCAGCCATCCATCCCATTCTCTACATGACTCACCCCTGGGCTCCATGCAAGGACTCCAGGCCTGCAGGAGGGGAGAGACACAGGGCAGACACATGCTCCCCCATGCCACATCCACACGTGCACACTCACACTCACAGAGCCCAGGCATGCCAACGCAGTCGGAATGGAAGAGGTGGCCACACAGCACTCAGGCTGGATCAGCCAGGAGTCCAGAAGAAACTGGGTCTAAACAAAGACAAGACAAGAAATCTGTTCTACATAGGGCAGCTATGGGTGGAGTTGGTGATAAAAATGTGTTAGAAAGAATTACAGGCAGAGATCAGGGTCAGTCCTAGAACCCACAGCCCCTTCCTAGGAGAGCCATGGACTTCAGGACAGACCATCAAACTCCTGCAAATAGGCAGGAAGAGGTTCCTGTGTCTCTCCTGAGCTGACATCCAATGGACTTGGTCATGGTGGCTGTCCAGGGTCCCTGGAACTCTAGAAAGCTCAAGAGCAGGCCCGATGCTGGAAAGCAGTCTTCTAGTGTTTAGGGTGATATGCCGGAGTGGAATGTCCTGGAAGCCTCACCAGAGCTAAAGGAGAATGTCAGACAGGAGCCTGAGATGCTGGGGCCTCCAGAAAATCCCAGAGAATCCACGAACACTACTAGAGCTAATAAACAAATTCTGCAAATTTGCGGGATATGAGATCAATGTGCCAAAATCAGTTGAGTTTCTAGATACCAGCAACGGACAATCTGAAAAAGAAATTAAGAAATATTTCCATTTACGATAGCGTTAAAAAGAACAAAATACCTAGGAATAAATTTAACTAAGGAGGTAAAAGACTTGTACACTAAGAACTACAAAATATTGCTGAAAGAAATTAAAGACGACTCAATTAAATGAAAAGACATTTCGTTTTCATGGATTGGAAGACTTAATATTGTTTTGATGGCGATACTCCCCAAAGCGATCTACAGATTCCATGCAATCCTTATCAAAATTCTAGTGGCTTTTTATAGAAATGGAAAAGCTGGGCGAGGTGCAGTGGCTCACACCTGTAATCCCAACAATTTGGGAGTCCAAGGTGGGCAAATCACCTGAGGTCAGGAGTTCGAGACCAGCCTGGCCAACATGGTGAAACCTTGTCTCTACTAAAAATACAAAAATTAGCTGGGCAAGGTGGCAGGCACCTGTAATCCCAGCTACCTGGGAGGCTGAGGCAGAAAAACTGCCTGAACCCAGGAGGCAGTAGTGAGCCGAGATTGTGCCACTGCACTCCAGCCTGCAAGACAACAGTGAAACTCCATCTCAAAAAAAAAAAAAAAAGAAAAGAAAGAAATGGAAAAGCTGATTCTCAAACTCATATACAATTGCAAGGGACTCTATGAACAGCCAAAACAACATTGAAAAAGACAAACAAAACTGGAGGATTCACAGTACCTGATTTCAAAACTAACTACAAAGCTACAGTAATCAAAACAGTGTGTTATTGGCATAGGATAGTCATACAGTCAATGGAATAGAATTGAGAGTCCAGAAAAAACTGAAACATCTATGGCCAATTAATCTTTGGCAAGAGTGCTAAGACTATTCACTAGGGAAAGAACAGTCTATTCAACAAATGGTTCTGGGACAACTGGAAAACCACATGCCACCTGTTTTTGTAAAGTACATTTTTTGGAACATAGACCTGCTCATTTGTTTATATGTTGTTTGTGACTCCATTTGAGCTAGAATGGCAGAGGTTAATAATCTCAACAGAGATACTATAGTATACAAGTCTAAAGTACCTACTCTTTGGTCCTTTACAAAAAAAAAAAAAAGTTTGCAGAGTTATGTTGTACAATATTGCTTCCCATGCCCCACCTGTGTTCATTCCTTCATCTGACATTTACCGACCACATACCATGCCCCAGCCCTGTTCTAGACACAACAGCAAGCAAAAATGTCTATCCTCACAGAGCTTACATTCTAGTAGAGGAATTATCTATGACAGCCCTGCAATCTAAAGAATTTAAATGGCCACTTGAGAAACAGAAGGAATGAGACTGTAAATTACGTGCAGGCTTCGAAGCTGAGATAGAGGCTGTGACTGCTCTAAGCTTGGGCACTCCCAAATGTTCCCTGTTGGCCCTGGGTCATGTCTCATTCAGCTGCATCTCCTGAGCTGCGACCAGAGGTATCCAGCAAGCAATAAATCCAATAGCTCTTCCTAAGAACCTAATATGCTCAGGGCACTGTGTGAGTGCTATGGAGGACAACAGTGAGTAAAATACAATCCCCATTTGCCATAAGACCACAGTCTAGTGAAGAATAAACCGCATATATATCATCATAAGAAAAGTAAAGAAACATTAACACTTAATAAATAAGCACCTACTATGTGCCAGGCACTGTGCAAAAACTTCTATGGTTATTATCTCATTTGACCCTCACGAGAACACAAGAAATACACTGCTTTTGATAGATGAACAAATTGACAGATGAGCAAATTGGGTTTCAAAGAGTTTCGTTTTTCGCCTTTGGCAACAAAGCTAGTGAACGGAAACTCAGAAATCTAAACTAAAACTATGTGGTTCTAAGTTTAGCCATTCAGTTATTAAACAGACATCTGTTGAGGTCCCACAATTTTGTAAGCATCATTCTTGGCTTTAGTGCTACCAAAGATGATCAAGACGAGTGCTCTTTATACCACCCCATCCTGTACCTACCATGTATAGGAAACAGGACATAATTCACCTGCCTCCAGGAGTTTATAAAGAGATTCAGAAAGCAGCACACAGACACAACCGAAATAGTAATGGTAATAATAGGTACAATCTAAGTGTCCAAAAACAAGTTTAAGTAACAGTATTTCAAAGGAATTTAAATGATTTGCTGCTCAGGAGATACGGCTGAGTGGACAGGGGAAGTTTCATGAAGGAAATTGACAGACGGTAGGATTTATAAGTGGTACATATACTAGATATACCCTCCTGTCCTCACCCTTACTCCTGGGTCCTCACCCTTACTCCTGTAAGCCCAACCTTACAGCCTGGGTTGGGCTGACAGTGGAAGAAACAGGCTTCAGGAGACTTTAGAGAGCTTGTAAACTGGCTAATAAACCCTAGAACTTTAGACCACGCCTAGGTCACATACATTATCTCCTTCTCCAAATCCACCCTCCAAGACTCATCACCTCAAGCCAATCCAGCCCCCTTTAGAACATTATGCTACCTTCTTGGGAAGCAGAGGGTAGGTTGAAAGACCCCAGGCCTTGGATCAGAACACCCAGGTTTAAATCTAGTGTAAATATGACCACTTAGAATTGTTCTGTCCATTAAGGTAGCCACTTGCCACAGATGGCTCTTTATATTTAAATTTAGATGAATTTAAGTCAAATGCAATTTAAAAACTAGCCAAAAAGTCACATTTCAAGTGCTCAGTAGCCACAGGTAGCCCACAGATTCAATGCTGGACAAAGCAGATACAGAACATTGCCATCATCGAGAAAGTTCTATTGACCAACACTGATTTCAAAGCCTCTGAACTAAAGGCAGCTATGTTGCTTTTTTGCACCTCATTTTCTTCATCTTAAATTGGGCAAAGCACTACAAATACTCCCCTAAAAGGACTTATGGAAATAAAACAAGACAGTGAACTTAAAAGTGTGCTGGTAACTTCCTTTTTTCTTTTCGATACAAATACATCTTCCTTCCTGCTTTCTGCAGGGCTGAAGCCTCAAGCTCTACTCAGATAGAAACGTCCTCAGGCCATGACCCATGGGATATTGTTTTAATGTGGAGCATTAAAAACAAAGTGAAACAAAAATCTCCAGAGCAGTGAGCCCACCTGTCAGTCCTCGTCTCCCTGGGCCTCTCAAGAGGTTTGTGACACTGATCACTTCTTCCCTTGGCTTCCAGGAGACCATGCTGACCCAGCTTTCCTCCTGCCCCTTGGTTGCTGCTTCTCATCCTCCTCTATGGGCTCCTCTGCATCCCTCTGACCTCTTCAGTTCAAAGCACCCCCGAGCTCTGTCCTTGTCCTCTTCTCTGTCTGTACAAACCCAGTCTCGTGGCTTTAAGTACAATCTGTATATTGATTACTCCCAAATTTACGTTTCCAGTAGAATTCTGTCACTTGAACTCTAGACTCACATTCTAGCTGCCACCCTGCATCTCCACAGGTTGTCTAACAGGCATCTCACATTTGGCATACCAAGATTCGGCTCAGACACCTCTTACCCCTAAACCAGCCCAACCTCCTTCCCTACTGCAGCAAATGCCAACTCTACCCTCGTAAGTACCAAGGTAAAAACCTTGGAGTCGCCAGGCGCAGTGGCTCACGCCTGTAATCCCAGCACTTTGGGAGGCCGAGGCCTGCGGATCACAAGGTGAAGAGATCGAGGCCATCCTGGCCAACATGGTGAAACCCCATCTCTACTAAAAATACAAAAATTAGCCAGGCGTGGTGGCGTGCACCTGTAGTCCCAGCTACTCGGGTGGCTGAGGCAAGACAATTGCTTGAACCTGGGAGGCAGAGATTGCAGTGAGCCGGTATCGCACCACTGCACTCCAGCCTGGCAACAGAGTGAAGCTCCATCTCAAAAAAAAAAAAAAAAAAAAAAAGCTTGGAATCACCCTTGATCTGTCTCTCTTACACATACACATCTCATATCCAGACCATCAAGAAATTCTGTTGGCTTTACCTTCAAAATCTATCCAGAATTCCAACCTTTCTTACCACCTTTACTGCTGCATCCTGGACAAGCCAGCAACCTCTCTCACCTGGATTACTGCAAGAGCCTCCTAAATGGATCTCCCTTCAGCCTATTCTCAATGCAGCAACTGGAGTGATCCCTTTAAAATCTAAGTCAGAAAACAATATGGAGGTTCCTAAAGAAATTAAAAATAGAACTACCATATGACGCAGCAATCCCTCTTCTGGGTATATACACACAGGAGATGGAATCACCTTGTAAATATATCCACACTCCTATGTTCACTCCAGCATTATTCACATTAGCCAAGATATAGAAACAACCTAAGTGTCTATCAACGGATGAGTGGATAAAGAGGATGTGGTATGTGTACACAATGGCATACTACTCACCCTTAAAAAGGAGATCCTGCCATTTGCCACAACCTGAATGAACCTAGAGGAAATTATGCCAAGTGAAATAAGCTAGACACAGAAAGAGAAATATTGCATGATCTCACTTAAATGTGGAATATTAGAAAAGGAGCTCAAACTCACAGAGAAGGAAGCAATGGTTATTATGAGTGGGCATGGTAGAGGGGTAGGAATTGGAGAGATACAGGTCAAAGGACACAAAATAGCAGAGATATAGGAAGAACAAGTTTAGAGATCTAGTGTACAAAATGAAGATTAAAGTTAATAAAACCGTATTGTACAGTTCTGTATTGCTTAACAATGGGATACGGTCTGAGAAATGCTTTGTTTGGTGATTTAGTCATTGTGTGAACATCACAGAGTGACTTACACAAACCTAGATGGTATAGCCTCCTACACCTAGGCTACATGAAACAGCGTATTGCTCCTAGGCTACAAGCCTACACAGCATGTAACTGTACTGAATACTGGAGGCAACTGTAATACAGTGGTAAGTATCTGTGTATATAAACACACCAAAATATAGAAAAGGTACAGTAAAAATGCAGTAATATGGCCGGCTGCGATGGCTCACATCTGTAATCCCAAGCACTTTGGGAGGCTGAGGCGGACGGATCCCCTGAGGTCAGAAGTTCGACACCAGCCTGGCCAACATGGTGAAACCCTGTCTCTACTAAAAATACAAAAATTGGCCAGGCGCAGTGGCTCACGCCTGTAATCCTAACACTTTAGGAGGCCAAAGTGGGCGGATCACGAGGTCGGGAGTTTGAGACCAGTCTAGCTAACATGGTGAAACCCCGTCTCTACTAAAAATACAAAAATTAGCCAGACATGGTGGCGCGCACCTGTAATCCCAGCTACTCAGGAGGCTGAGGCAGGAGAATTGCTTGAACTCAGGAGGTGAAGGTTGCAGTGAGCCGAGATCACGCCACTGCACCCCAGCCTGGGCAACAGAGCAAGACTCTCTCTCAAAAAATAGTAATAATAAAAAATAAAAATACAAAAATTAGCCAGGTGTGGTGGCACATGCCTGTAATCCCAGCTACTCAGGAGGCTGAGGCAGGAGAATCGCTTGAACCCAGGAGGCAAAGGTGGAGGTTGCAATGAGCCAAGATCATGCCACTCCACTCCAGCCTGGGCGACAGGGCGAGACTCCATCTCAAAAAAAAAAAAAAAAAAAAAGTAGTAATATAATCTTATAGGAACTTTGTCATATATGTGGCCATTTGTGGATGGAAACATCATGATGTGGCACGTAACTATAGTAGGAGTTTTTGTTAAATAAGTAGATTTTAGCAGCTCCTGTCACACACAAAAAAACCAACTATGAGATCATGGGCATGTTAACCTGCTTCACTGTAGTAACCATCTTACTATCTCTACGCATCTCCTAACATGCTGTAAACCCCAAATATACACAATAAAGTTTATTTCTGTAAAAAATTTGAAGTCCAATCATGGCCTTACTTTGCTCAAACGTTCTACCTGGTTCCCATTTTACCCTAAAGAACCCCTGTGGTTTGACCTTCACACCTACATCTCTGACTATCTCCTGCTGCTGCGGCCCTTGCTGATACAAACTGGCCACATGGACCCCCTGGGCATGCCCCGAGCTGGCCAGGCCCATTCCTGCCTCTGGGTCCCTGCACGTTTGCACATGCTGTTCCCTCTCTCCAATATCTTCTTCCCCAAACATGTGTGCAGCTCTTCTCTCATTTCCTTGAAGTCTTTACTTACATGTCACTTTCTCAGAGAGGTTTTCCATGCCCACCCTGTCTACAATGTTAACACCCTTGGACATTCCCTATCACCTTTCCTGCTTTATTTTTCTCTTTAATACTTATCAGTCACAGACTATATGGGTACACACACACACACACACACACACACACACACACACACACACATACACACACCTGACTTACTGTTTATATTCCTCATGAAGCAGGGATTCCTATTCATTTCAATTCACCAATTTATGCTCAGTGCCTAGAACAGTACCTGGTCCGTAGCAGGAAATAAATATTTATTTGTAGAATGAACTAAAGACTGCAGGCCATGGAACTAAAGACTTGGTTTGTCATGGGGCTGTGCAGGTTACAGTCATGGCTGTGACCACCAGCCCTCCATGCTCAAGAGCAGGACCCCTGGAGGAGCTAGTTTGATCTTTCCTTAAAGCAGACAATTTGATCCAGGCTTTGGAGGAGTAGTGCTGGGACCGCGAGCCACCAAGAGAGATCAAGGCAGGTAGGTGGGCAGTGTGCTGGCCTCGCCTTGCCACCTGGGCCAGAGGCTCACACGCAGCTGTGATGAACTGAAGCAGCTGGCCCTATCACCATCCAGTGGCAACGGGAAATATGACACGAGAGATGCAGTGTGTAGGGGAGCTGCCACAGGGGCAAACAGACACAGGTGGGAGATCATCCCTGAATCCAGATAGAATTTATCCCCATTTTAACAATTATGGCAGGGAGAGTGATGAAACATTTATGAAGGACACTTACCTGGAGCTAGGCCTCACAGGGGACCAACGAAATCCAAAAGCCCACTTCTCCTGATTAATCTAATGCACCAAAAATAGAGAAAAATGTTTGCACTTAGAGTGGGGGTAACTGGGCTCCTAAGATCTGTGTTATGCCTCCCTGCTGGGTGGTGGAGCCAAACAAACCCCAGGAAAGTCAGAGACTTGGGAGTGCAAAGAGGATGGGGGCAGAACTCCAGGGCAGGGAGGCAGCAGGAACTGCACTGCAAACTGGCAGCACAGGAAGCCACAGAGCCAGGGGGAAGGGGCAGCAGGCCGTGATGGCATGATGGAGGCAAAATCGCTTTCAAAGATGAAGGACAGAACAAAGGTGAGGCATAAGGGTATTGTGAACATTACTAAGAGATGGTAGTGGGAGGGGAAAAGTGTGCCCTGTGTAAAGAACTTAAAGATACTGCATCTCATTAATGCCTCTCATCCACTCAAGGGGCAGCCATAGTTCTGTGCAATTTACCTATGAGGAGCCCAGGGCTCAGAGAGGGTAACTCACCTGCTCAAGGTTACACAGCCAGCAGTGGCTGAAGACAGACCCAAACTTCTCTTAATGCAAAGCCATTAGTTCTTAACAGGGACCCTGTGGAGCTTTCTGGAAACTCGGGATATTTCACCCTGTTATGTGTAGTGATGCCCAAGGATTTAAACATTGAAATTAATTTTATTATGTTATTTTCTTTTTATTCATCCTTTATATTATATTTAGGACATTAAATATTTTAAAAATCATGTATGTAGAAACGTTATACTCTCTTTAGGTTTCATCTTGACAGAGTAAAGTAGGTTTTTTCAAAACACTTGTAAAATGGACAGGGTTGAGTGGAGAAACGCCACACCACACAAAGCCAGGGGGGACACCTCTTGGCACACTGCCCCCCTGCCTTGATGTCACCTTAGCTCTGGCCAAACCACGCCACCCCACCCCCAGAGACTCGGGAAAGGGGAGATAGTGGCCTCTTCTATGAGCAGGAGGAGGTAAGGAGCAGTGCATCAGTGATGTGAGAAGACGGCACGGCAGGTGCAGGAGCTGTGACCCTCCATCGAGGCCACTCTAGCTTCCCTTCACCACTGCCAGCCTTCCCCAGAAAGGACCAGCCCTGCCTTGACAGCCCCAACTCTCCACACCGTCCCCATATAAATCACGCCCTAGGAGTATGCAGAGGCCAACACACCCGGATCATGCCTTCATAAAAGCCACCAGAGCTCTGCAGCCCATTGCTAGCTCATTTGGAGCCTCAGAAGCTACCTTTCCTCTGGCCATCCACTGTGCTAAAGGAATACAAATTCTTTTTTTTGGAGACAGAGTCTCACTCTGTCGCCCAGACTGGAGTGCAATGGTGCAATCTCGGCTCACCACAACTTCTGTCTTTCGGGCTCAAGCAATTCTCCTGCCTCAGCCTCCCCAGTAGCTAGGATTACAGGCGCATGCCACCGTACCCAGCTAATTTTTGTATTTGAGTAGAGACGGGGTTTCACCATGTTGACCAGGCTGGTCTTGAACTCCTGACCTCAGGTGATCCTCCTGCCTCAGCCTCCCAAGATGCTGGGATTACAGGCGTGAGCCACTGCGCCCAGCTCCATAAACTCTTATAGGTCAGACTTAGCAAACTCACTTCCAACACAGGGGGCATTCAGGATTTGGGGTTAGCTGATGCTGAGGACTGTCTGCCACTGTTCCCCTGAATCAGCACAGCCAACCAAAGGCTCTCTCTCATGGTCCCTCCTTCAAGAATAGAACCTACTGCGTAACTCATGTTGAACCACAGGCAGGGCGGAGCAGCCTGGGGTGGAACTGGAGTGATACCGTCAGGAAGGCAGAGGAAAAGAGCTGGGAAGCGAACGGGTTGAAGGATGAGCTGAGGAGGCAGAGGCAGATCCATTCATAAGAAGAAACATAACAAACGTCATGGGGTGTGGCAACGAGGACACTGAATAAGGGCTGGCTGCCAGGGTTCCAGACATGGGGCTGCCCCACAACAGTCATATCTTTGCCCATAGCGCAGTTTATCTTCTGGAAAATGAAGGGGCTGGACCTGTTCTGGGCTCTGACAGCCTAAGAGTTAGGAAGCTGGTTGGCAAGGAGGGTGCAAAGAGCAGAGCCCTGGCCCTCTAGGGGGCGCTCCCATTGGCAATGGTACCATGTTGAGGGAGTCCCCCTCAGCTCCCACCTCTCCCTCCGGTCCACCCCTGCTGCCGCTGCCTTGGCCAGACCCTCATCCTCTCTCACCTGGCCTGTGGCACCAGCTTCCTCCAGGTCCCCCTTTCCCAACCCCAAGGCCATTCTGGCTGCTTCTATTCTCTTCCAAAGGGAAATATAAGGAAGCCACCGATGAACTCAGAGCTCTGAGTCCCCTTCTTCAACCCCAGCTCTCTCACCTTGGGCCCCCCCAGATTTAAGCTTCACAGCCCCCTCTACCACATGCCCCCCCACTGACACCTCTATCTAGAACCATTTTGCTCAAAACATAGCTCAGACTTCACCTCCCCTAGGAAGCTCTCCCGGAAAGGCTGAGGCTCTTTTCAAGTCTGGACTCTTGAGCTGGGGTGGGCCCTGCCCCACCCAATCCACCAAACAGGACTCTGTGGATAGCGTAAGTCTGCTGTACAGGACACATCTCTTCCCTGGTTGCCACTGGGACAGACACACTTCGGTGCATATGTGCTCACGGGCAACCCCTGCAGATTCTTCCTCTCGCTCTGCACTCCCAGGGTTAATTAGCCTGCAGCATCTACAGGGCTGCTTTCTCCTTTAATAGTCAATTAGATATTGTTAGCTCTATTGTCATTTATAGGACAAGTGACAGAGGCACTCCCAGGGTCCCTACTCCATCTTGCAGAGGCAGGCAGCCCAGATCCCTCTGCTAGAGGAGGGAGAGCTGGGGGCCTGCTCCTGGAAGTGGGGTTCTCCTAGGAAGAGAAGGTCACGAGGCCCCTGGGAGGAGGCATGTGAGAGCCTGGGCCCTCCTCCTACTGGTCCATGGAGCAGGCCTCTGTGTGAGGGGTGCAAGGTCACCCAGGCCCACTCTGGTCTTGTCCCTTCAATTGCTCCTTCCAGAGGCTGCACTCAGTTGGGTCCTTGGCTGCCCTCAGTTATCTGCATGGCGGCTCCAACTGCCAACCTGCCAGGCCTCTGCAGGGCCAATCAATATCCAGCCAGGCGGCCCTGCTAATGACACTGCATCTCACCTTGGTCATAGGGGTGTCAGCCTACTGTTGCTGCAGCTCAAAACAGGACCTCAGCCTCACTAACAAGGCAAAGACAGCCCTGCCTCCCACCCGTGGCGGCCGTCCAGGCCTGGGAGGCAGTGGGTAGGCCAGACCCCGCAGGCTGACCTCTTCTTCTTCTTCTGCATAAATGAAAGTTCTGACAAGCGTGGCCTCAAGTGTCCTTGGCGCTGAAATGCTAACATCTTGATATGGGCAAAGAAACCTTTCTGGCACTCCTCTATGGAAACAGAGTTTGTCTTTCTCACAGGGGCCTGCATGAAATGTGTGTCTTCGAAGCAATCCCTTGGCGAGCCACAGAAGGCCCTTCACGGTAGGACATGGCAGCCACCTGGGCCAGAGGGAGGGCCAGGGCCTGGGTGGGAGAGCTGCCCAATGCCAGGATGGGCTGGAAGAGAGCTTGGGCTCCATGGGTGGCTGAAGGCCCTCAGCCTACTCACAGCCATGTTGGGGTGGCCCTATAGCTGGCAAACTCACAGCAAGAAACAGCCCAGCTCGTGAGAATGAACACCCCCCATGCTCCTGGGTCCCAAGGCTCCCTGACCTCCAGCAGGAGGAGAGGGCTGGGGGCATCCCTGGCTCCCCCTCTTTGAGAGTGTGGATTGTAAGTAGCACAGGGCTTTGAAAGGAGTGAGAGAAGGCAGCAGGACTGGCTGAGGCTGAGGCTCGGGATTCTTTTTTTAATACCTTCCTAAATGCTCTGAAGGGGAAAAGGAAATAATCAGGTTCCTGTGATGAAGCCAAGAATGATAATCTAGGAGGAAGTAAAGCTGCGGGAGCCAATGGGAAGTGTTACGGGCTGCAGTGTTTTATGACCTGTGTTGCTTGCCTGTCTTCTTCTTTTTATAAAGGGAAGCAAATTAAAGGGCTTAGATATTAATCAGGCCACTGAAAGACAACAATGAACCCGGGCACTTGCAGGTCAAGTGGGCTCCAGACAGCCTCTTCTCCCAGGCCCCCTGGAGCTCTGCTGCATCCCAGGAGACCTAAGCCTCAGTGTTCACCTCCTGCACCCAAGGCTGGGCTGTTAACCAGGCTCCTAGAAGTAGGCGCTAGCTGGCAGGGACCTCAGGAAGCTGGCACATTTCTGGTTTCCAAACTATGCCCCCCAGAGCACCCTCAGTGGCTGCAGTGAAATGTTGAGAGGTTGGGTTGGGGGGTGGGTGGGGAAACAGAGCTCAACCTCCAATCTCTTGTCATTCTCCTCCTAGAGCAGCTCACTTTTTGCTGTTGGGATTCTGTGTGTGATTTTATTTGAACAAAAGGTTCAACCACTAAAAACTAAGTTTGGAGACCACTGATCTGTTCTGATCATCTCATTCTACAGATGAGGGCCTCCAAGGCTGAGAGGCGGAAGAGCCTGTCTTAGGTCGCAGGATATGAATGGCAAATCTAAGACTCAGACCAAGGTACCTTGACATTTAGCCCAGGGTTCTTTTCCCTACTGCACTCTTCCTTCAATAATTTCATCTGCTCTCGTGCTTTCTGTCACTGACAATGCCAAAGCAATTCCTCCAGCCCAGATCCCTCCCTCATGCTTTAGGCCTATGCATCCAGCTGTCTACTGGACGTCTCGTCCAGATGCCATGGGCACTTGCAGTCCACCCAAGCTCACCATCTGCCCCCTGCTGAATGTCTCCCTTGGTTGGTGGCCCACCTAGTCACCCAAGGCAGCTCCTGGATTTCTACAGGAGGGAATGAAAGGCAATTGGGCTGACAGAAAATGGTGCTAAGACAATTTTCTGTCTTAAGACAGAAAAGGTGACGCCCTTGTCTCAGAGGTGCATCTACACGGCAAATGCACCGCTCTCCTCTGCTTCTGTGCTTAACTCAGGGGCTGAAGATGCTGGCAGGAGCCCCTCCCGGCTCAGCCACTACAGCCCTCCAAGGTGGAAAATGGGAGCTATTTATGCCTCCTCCTTCATGCCCACTACCCCACATCCAATCCATGGCCAAATCCTGATAAACTGGCTTCCAAAAGGCCTTTTTACTTTATCTTCCTTTCTCTATCTGCTCTACAAGAGAGGTCCAGGCCTCCTTACCTTTTCTATGTCACCTTTGGTGGGCAGAGACTGTCTTTCTTATCTACCTCTCTATACCCAGGACTTTCCCAGTATCTGACACATACTAGGTACCCAAGAAATATTTATTGAAAGGACTAACTGATAGACGGATGGATGGATGGATGGACAGACTACTCCAACAGTCTCTTAACTGGTCTCTCTTTAAAGCTGTTTCCTTCATCTTACTGCTGGGCTGATGTATCTAAAATATAAATTGCCAGCCTGGCACGGTGGTCATGCCTGCAATCCCAGCACTTTGGGAGGCCACGCCAGGCGAATCACTTGAGGTCAGGAGTTCAAGACCAGCCTGGCCAACATGGTGAAACCCTATCTCTACTAAAAATATAAAAATTAGCCAGGCATGGTGGTGCATGCCTATAATCCCAGCTGCTCAGGAGGCTGAGGCAGGAGAGTCGCTTGAACCTGGAAGGCAGGGGTTGCAGTAAGCCAAGATTGCACCACTGCACTCCAGCCTGGACAACAGAGAGAGACTCTGTCTCAAAAAATAATAATAATAATAAAATAAAATCATAAAATGTAAATTGCCAAGACAGCCTCTTTACGTAAAACCCCTCTTTTAAGAGTTGTCTGGGCTGGGCACAGTGGCTCACGCCTGTAATCCCAGCACTTTGGGAGGCCAAGGTGGGTGGATGACCTGAGATCCAGAGTTCAAGACCAGCCTGGCCAACATGGTGAAAACCCATCTCTACTAAAAATACAAAAATTAGCTGGGCATGGTGGTGGGAGCCTGTAATCCCAGCTACTCAGGAGGCCGAGGCAGGAGAATTGCTTGAACCCAGGAGGCAGAGGTTGCAGTGAGCTGAGATCATACCACTGCCCTCCAGCCTGGGTGACAAGAGCGAGACTGAGTCTCAGAAAAAAAAGAGTTGCCTGTTTCTCCAAAACAAAGTTCAAGCTTCCTACTAAGGCACACCGGGTCTCCATCGTTTGGGTTCCTCTCCAGTCTCGTCTTCCCGACTGTCTGTCCTCCTTGTAACTCTCCTCCGGAGCAACCTTCCCCTTCATCCGGCCAGCTTTAACTCAGCTCCAGGGACGTGTCTCTCAAAAACCACTTCTGCCTCCACCGCTCCTGTTCTGGGATGTTTGGTGCCTCACCCCCGGGCTCCACAGTGCAAATCTCTATCCCCGCCATGGTCACATGAATTGTCAAGATCTGTTTATGCACCACCTCCCCCACTAGCCTGCTCGCTCCTTGAACACAAGCTCCATGTCTCACCCATCTCTGTATCCCCAGCACTCAGCACAAAGACAATGGTTTAGGTTTTAAACGAGTAACTGTGCCCCGGTGGGGCTAATTCTGAGAAGCAGAGCCTTAAAAATCTTCCTGGTGCTGAGTATGCCCTGGAGGGTTGGAGCCAGCTTTCCTTGGGCCTGCCCCAGATCATCACAGGCTCTGGTCACCTCCCCAGAGACAGATGTCTTCCTACCCCCAAGCAAGTGCCATGGAAGACAACTGTCATGCCAGGTACCACTGACACTTGGCCACTCTGCCTTGTTGGGCCCAGCAGCCATCACATCCTCCCCTGGCTGGCTGGGCACAGGGAGAGATGGAAGGGACATCACCCATAGAGGGGCTGTGTTCAGTGCAATCCAACCACATGCACATCATAGGAGGGTATTGCTCACCGAAGACCTAATCAGGCGCAGCAAAGGACTGGGGCAGCATCCACCAGTGGAGAAAATTCCCATACTCTAAACTGGAGAATGCTCCCCATCCAGCTTGGGAACAGGCAACAGTACAGCAGTTCCTAAATACTCCCCTTAAGGCCACTGGCAGGGGATCAGCAGGCACATGAGCCCCACTGCATACAAGGCAGGAAATAAGCAAAGTTCAGGATAAAGGGAGAGGCATTTGGAACAAATCAAGTGAGTTTTAAAATTTCAGGCCATGCCAGAAGAAAGCCACTGGTCTCCAGGACCTGGGTTCAATGGGGATGAGGAAAACATTCCCTCACCTAAATGCTACTCTTACATTGCTCCCACTGCAAACCCCTCTCTCCTACTTTCTTTAAAGGAGGCTGCATAGAGTGGAAAAAATACTTTTGGGGGTCATCTCACAGCCCATGTCCAAATCCTAGGTGTTATCATTTATTAGCTATATGGTCTTGAGAAAGTTATTTAACAATGCTGAGCCTCAGTTTCCTTAACTGCAAAGATGGGGCAATAATCTACATCTCACATGATTCTGTGAGAGTTCCCTGAAATCACACATCGAAGTGTCTTGCACAAGGCTGGTCACATCGCAGGGGCCTGGTGTCTATTGGTTCCCTCCTCCTTCCACCCTGAATCTTCCCAACCTTAACTTCTGAGCTTCTGAGCTCTCAATGTCTCCCAAGCCTCCATCCCAGGCCTGAGGAGTCGGCCACAGTGAGAATAAGACCATTCCCAGAAAAGGCGAAGTTTAGGGTAGGTGAATTGAAAACAGTAGATGCCGAGATAAAATGAGAAACATGCAACAGCGTCATCAGAGAGAAAGCAGCAAACACTCCCCAGAACAGGGGTCCCTGACTGCCCCCCTATTCAGACCATTCTTGAAACACATTATGGAATTTTGGCTTTCTTGTTCTAAAAAGAAGCCAAGGAGGGAGACTGAATGCAAAGAAAGGCAATAAAAATGATTAAAGGAATTAGAAGGCTTGACCTATAAAGGGAGGTTAAATGAACATAATATGTGGAACCTAGAGAACGAGGGCCTACAAGGACGTGATAACTTCCCATAAATATGCGAGACAGAGCCACATAAAAGAAGGGCAAGAATTATTTCAGGCAGCTTGGGACACCATTAAAAGAAGAAATGGCCTGAAACTAAAATAAGAGAAAGTTAAATCTGGGCCTTAGGAACATTGGCTGGTGAGGAGGGTAAGGAACAAGACACCTGGCTGTTGGTGCAAAGTCATCAGAAAGCAAAGCCACAGGTCCCGGGGCTGCTGTCCCCATTTGGGAGAAATGGCCCCTCTGGGACCCATCTTGGTTGCTCAGGTGGTATTCTCACTCTGCAGGTTCAACTACTGTTACCCGGCTTCCAATTCATGACAGGTAGGGCCCTGGCTCCAGCTGCCTGGCTGCCCATGCTCGACTTCACTCTTAGAATAAAAAGAGATTGGCGCAGCCAGTTCTTGCTGCAGTGTGGGGGCTCAGCTGGTGAGAGCGTGAAACCAGGAGGCAGGGTCACAGGTTTCAGCCCCATGTGTGCTTTGCCAAGGATTGCAGTGGGAGAATGTGGCTGGACAATAGAGATGTGCCTAGAAGCACAAGCCCACACAAAAGATCATTCTCGAACATCAAGCTGCAGGGCATTCTATGTGAACACTACCCACAAACATCTTACCATGCTCTCAGGAGTGAGCATTTTTTATTCAGCACTTCAACACCAGACACTAAAGCCACTCACGCACCAGGACGACAGGGCAGCTATGCTTCAGCATTTAGGGTCTGGAGTGACGAGGGGAGCAGGTAGAAGCTGACTCTGAGCATTTTCCTAACCTGTTTGCACAGATCTCCTACCCAACCATAAATCACTTTTACAGTCCTTCTCAAACCTCACATAAAATTTATGTTGCTTTTTGCCTGAAATTGACTAAGGAAAAAAAAACTTTAATTACAATAAGAGACACCTGGAGCAAAACACATGGAAAGCCCATTCGATACTCATTTACTCATTCGATCAATAAATATTTATCGAGCACCAGGAATGCACAAGGCACCAAAGGAGCTGTGGTGGAGACCATGGAGATGAAAGGGTGTTCTCCTGCCTTCAAGGAGTTTGCCCTGGCGGGGGTGTGGGAGTAACCAACAGACAGAGACAAAAGCTGCTATGAGATGAGCAGAGTGTGATTTATTTTAACAGAGGAGGAAACTATCAGGTAACTCAGAAGAGAAATGACTCATTTGGACTGGGAGGATCAGGGAAGTTTCCAGAAAGGAGGTGATATGTGATCTGGGTCTGAGGTAAAGGGTAGACTTTTCATCAGGTGAAGATGGCAGGAAAGGACATTTCAGGCACAAGGAACACCACCAAGAAAGCCAAGGGACAAAGAAAGTGCTGGTTGTCTACAGGAATACTGAGTGGCCAAGTGAACTCTAGAACAGGGGTGCAGTGTAGGGTTGGGAGGGAATGGAGGAAGATGATGAAGGAAAGGAGGGTGGGTATGGCTGGATCATGGAAGGGATACTGCACACTAAGGAGTTGGTATTTCATAAATAAGAGAAACCCTAAGAAATTCCTGGGCTGTCAACAACAGCCAGGTCTGTATTTTGGGAAGAAAAGCATGGGTTCAACATTTAGAATAGGCTCAAGAAGTGAGGGATGGGAGGCAGGTAGGAGGCTCTTGCCAGGCAAGAGGTTATGAAGGCTCGACGAGGGTAAGGGCAGAGGCAATGGAAACTTCCGGTTTCCATAGAATTATGTCCGTGTTATCTCAATATTGTAGCAGCACTATTCCTCAACCTGTTCCTTCTGCCTGGAAGGCCCTCCACCCATCCCTGTGGCTTACCCAAGCCCTGACTGGGCTTGGTGCTCCCAATGCAGCAGGGGCCTTCTTCCATCCTAGCACCTAGGACTATTGTTATTGATCATCTGGTTACTTGTCAGCCTCTACCATCAGACTGTGAAGTCCTGAAGGGTAGGACTTTGGTCTTTATCTCTGTTTTCCCAAGACCTGGTGCAGAAAGGTTTCTGTGATGGAAGGGAATATCCATACAATGCTCTCTGCACATACAACCTCTCTTTCTTCCATACCACATCCATAAGCACACTCCATTCTGGCATATATATGGGCTACTCCCATGTTCAACCTCTCTCTTACATCTCACGCCCTTTCTGACCCCCATTGCTCTACTTCCAATGTAAAGCATCCTTGACTAGCCTCTCTCAACCCCATTAAAATGTGATTAATTATTTTCGGCTCTCATGCAGATCTCCATATTGGATTATCTGGGCTGAAACACAATCTGTTTGCTGGTATCAAAATGCTGCTACTCACCCATGGGATTAACACTCTGACAAAATCATTAGAAACCTGATGAAGTATCGAGGCCTCCTGGGCTTGCTGAACACTCATTCCTCATCCCAGTGAATGCCTTCTTCCTGGGCCCACAGTTACACTCCCATCCATTTCCCTGCCTTCTTCATGGTGAGGCAGCCCAGACACTCAAGGGAATGCCTTAAACAGTGTTTGCTCCTAGTTGGCTGGGCCAGCTACCAAGACACCCAGCTAAGAGCTGCTCTTGTAATCCTGTGGTTTTTATGTGTTAATAGTAAGCATCTGACTTCCTCTTCGGGGTAGGGTGGGATAGTTTGTGGCCAATCAATGCTTCCACTAAGAACTAGAAATGCTAGAAGAAATATAACAATCATCTGTTTCAAGGCACCATTGACCTGCTGGAGCAAGAAGGATGGGAGAGGATACAGTTACTGAGGGGGGAAAGTGTGAAGAGGTGAGCTGATATTCTGTAATCACTTCCGGAGGGTATGTCATTTCTAGGCCCAGGATGAGAGGCTGAGAACCCAGGTTTGCAAGAAGCAAAGACTGCTGCTGGGGGACAAAGAAGCCAGCAGAGCTCTGGCAGCCTTGGGACTAGAGAGAGAAAATTAAGGACTTGAGGGTCCTCAAATATAGGGTCCCAATTTTCTCCTTAAGTCATTTACAGAATTCTGAAGCTGAATGGAGGAGAAGGCCAAAAAATCTCAGCCGAAAGTCTCTATAAAGCAGAGAGTGTTTTCTGGCCATTCTGAGGCACTGAACAGCAAGACTAGAATTGAGGACCTGCTGGGGAGGGGACCCAGTAAACACAGGAGGCTCTCAACTAATGGTGGCTCTGCTCTGGGAAAGGAGTGAGCCAGAGGTAAACTAAATCTGACCAAAACACAACCCGGCAGGGACTCAGTTCAGGCTTTAATTGGATTAAGATCATTGGTTTTACTCTGCCTAGCAATGAGTAAAACACCTCTTGAGGAAGATCACAGCAGGTACAGCCTATACAATGTCGAGCATTCAATAAAAAAGTTATTAGGCAGATCCAACTACAGGATCATATGGCCAAAATCTAAGAGGGAAAAAACAACAACAACACACAATAGAAACAGATTCACAGGTGATCTAAACAGACAAGTTAACAGAAAAGGACTTTAAATGTGATAAATGTATTCCAAAAAAATGGAAAGAAAATACAAAAAATAGATGAAAATAAAGAATCTTACCAGAAATTGAAAACAACAAAAAACAATCACTTGGAAATTCTACAAGTGATTAAGAAACATCTTAAAGCGCTGGAGGTTCATTAAAGCAGTATGGTAAAGTGGAAAAAGCACTAGAACCCAAGAGTGAAAAGACCCAAGGCATGGTCCCTGACTCTGCCTGTATCCAGCTAAGACAGCCTGGGGAACCCGCTTCACTCCTGAGCCTTGGTTTCCATATCTGTCAAATGGGATAATGTCATCTACTCTATTTACATAAGCGTCAAGCAGACAAAATTAAATAACACACATAAGATCTCTTTATAAATTACTAATCATACAAATGTAAGGTATCATTATCATAATAGTCTAGCATGAATTCAAAACAGTGCTTCTGCTCCATCACCAGAAGTATTTTATGTCAATGTCAGGTAATTAGTGTGCCCTTGACTAATTATTATAAAGGATTTTAACCAGAGAAAGCTAAGAGGGAAATAATAGCACAACAGCCAACTCACTGTTACTTATGTTGGAGTTAATAACGCACTTTGGGAATTATCCCTGGACAACTGAAAACCCTAAACTAGCTTTTTCCGCTGCTCTGCCTATGCGTGGATCACCACCTTCAGTTTCCCAGGTGGTGTATGCTCATGGAATGCAAGCTCATATTAATGTATGCCGATAAAACATAATCAGCAAGGTAAATCTGAAGCAGAAATACCTAAATGCTTTCCAAAGCCAACGGCAATAACGTTGAGACAGCCTGTTATTTGGATTCTCCACATCACTGCTTCCCTCTGTTAGCATATTTAATGGAGAGTAACATGCAAGCCTTCACATATAGACGTGATGCAGCCCATCCACTACCAGCAGGACTTGTGAGCTTCCCTGGTATGGTACACAGGCACTGTGTGAGGCCCCCTGGGGAATACAACTATTGTAAGGCCATGAGCCTGGCCTAAAAGGAACTTTCAGTTTTTAGGAAAGATACCGTGTGCTTAAATAATTATAATACAAGGTAGACAGTGATTTAGGTACTATAAGTGGCACAGTTAAAGAAGTACAGGTATTTGTGTGAAAGCTGATTTGGAATTGGGTTGATAATAGACTTCACGGTTGAGGCAGCAACAGAGTTTGGCCTTGAAAGACAGAAAAATGGATATTCTAAGCAGAGGGCAGGGTATGAGTAAAGTCACACTTTAAAAATGCAGGATAGGTATGAAGAATTGGGTTCAGATTGATGGATGTATCATGCTTTTTTTTAAGAAACTAACATTTATTATGCGCTTACGATGTGCCACATAGTTTACATACATTATCCCATTTGGTGTCCAAAATAATCCCTTGAATCACATGTAATTAATCCCACTTTAAAGGTATACTGAGACTCAAAAGTAAATTAATTTACCCAACATCCCTCAGCTGAAATCTACAGCCTAAGTAGATCAACACATGTTGAACTCTGCGCACAGCTGGAGTTGGAGAGAGGTAGCGCTGCAGATGATTTGGAAGTTGTTTACTTCCAGGGAGGGCACAAGATTGCCCAGAAAGGGTGAGGGAGGCACAAAGGGCTTAGGGCAGAAGAATCATCAGCAAAAGAGACAAGAAAGGAGTTGTTAGCAATAAGAGAAGGACTGAGAAAGACGACCATAGCCTAATGGAAACCAAGATCAAGAGAGAGCTTCAAAAAGCTTCAGAACTGCAACTGCTGCAAAAGTGAAGGGGGATGAGATGAGGAAGACCAAGAAAATGCCATTGGGTTGGTGGTCTTCAAAAAAATGAGTTTGATAGGGAAAAGAATGCCTAGGTCCAGGTGTGTGCATGGAGAAAAAGCCGGCCTGCCCCAGGGACATGGGGCACAGCAACAGAACAGCCTAAAGCAGAGCTTTGAACACTTGTCTGATGGCATCATCTGGGGGTACCTATTAAAAATATTAACTTCCAAGTCCCATCCTAGTCCCACCAATCAGAATCTCTGGCAGGTGAGGGGTACGGGCGGACCCAGGAGGTATCCCAGAAGAGCCCTACATGACAAGGGTTAGACCCATGTTTCTCAAACTTTAATGAACATGAGAATCACCTGGGGATTTGATGAAAATGCAGACACTGATTTAGTACCTCTGGGATAGGACTGGAGATTTTGGATTTTCACACTCTCTTAGGTGATGTCAATGCTGCTGGTCTGAGGGTCATATTTTTAACGACAATGAACTAGACTAAAGCTCACTTGTCCTCCAGAGAGGGAGGTGTCAACACCTGGTTCCTCTTGGCACCTTTCCTTTCCAGTACCTGAAGACTAAGCTCCAAGCTCCTTTCCACACTCACCGACAGATGGCAGCAGATCTAAATGTCATCTTCCACAGAAGTACTGACTCAGAGGTTCCCTTCCATTCCATCTGACTTCCTTCACAGCTTAAAAAGCACCTTTATGGCCAGGTGTGGTGGCTCATGCCTGTAATCCCAGCACTTTGGGAGGCTGAGGCAGGCGGATCACGAGGTCAGGAGATCGAGACCACAGTGAAACCCCGTCTCTACTAAAAATACAAAAAATTAGCCGGGCGCGGTGGCGGGCGCCTGTAGTCCCAGCTACTCGGAGGCTGAGGCAGGATAATGGCGTGAAGCCGGGAGGCGGAGCTTGCAGTGAGCTGAGATCGCGCCACTGCACTCCAGCCTGGGCGACAGAGCGAGACTCCGTCTCCAAAAAAAAAAAGCATCTTTATTTACTCCTCCAAGATGAATCACCGTGTCAGGTAAGCACAGAAAAGCTTTCCTTGACTACTCTGGTAAAGAAAGGGTGAATTCTCCTGCACCTAGGCTCTTTACCATATATTTAGAGTCTGCATCATTCATTGAACACTTAAATATGTTTTGCCTTGCTAAAGTAACTAAACGGTCTTGCACTGTCATTCACTTTTCATGTGTGTTCGTATTGTCTCCACAAACTCTTAGAGGTTAGGGATCAAATAATGTCAATTTTCTTCTTAACCCTGACTTACAATGGCTTGGCCATACTATGAATAACTGAATGGGCCAACCGACCATCAATTAAATCAAATTCATATTCCATTTGTTTCGCTTTGATTTCTTTCCTTTTTTATTTCTTAGAAACTGGCTCTTGCTCTGTCACCCAGATGGGAGTGCAGTAGTGAGATCTCAGTTCACTGCAGCCTCAATCTCCCAGGCTCAAGTGATTCTCCTGCCTCAGCCTCCCAAATAGCTGGAACTACAAGCATGCACCATTACGCCCAACTAATTTTATTTTTTTGTAGAGCCAGGGTCTCCCTATGTTGCCCAGGCTGGTCTCGAACTCCTGGCCTCAAGCAATCCTCCCACCTCAGCCTCCCAAAGTGTTGGGATTACAGGTGTGAGCCATTACACCCAGCCTCACTTTGCTTTCTTCCCAGAGAAACAAAAACAAAAAAAGTCTTGCCAGAAAGTGTTAGTGGTCTGGAAAAGTTCTGTACTTATTTGCAAGTCTGTGTTCAGAATCTTCCAACACATTGCTAGGGATAACGTTTTCTAGCCTGGCAAACGGGTACTCCAGAGCTTGTGCTGACTTTATCTAAAAACCTGCTGGTCTGTCAAGACCCTTCTTTACTTTTCTATGGCTAGCCTCATCATTGACCAATATGCCCCCTAGGCACAAACTTCACAGCTTTCCACTCTTTACTTCCAGTTACAATGTCTTGGCTGGTTAAGTCTGGTCTATACTTTAGTCCTGCAGTTCATTATGCATTCACTAGACAATGTCTATTTTGCAAATCTTTCTTTTTTGAGCAAATATTTAGGTTGCTCAGTCCTGGGCTCACCATGCCACTTTCCAGACATTCTCTCCCTAGGACACGGCCTGGTCCCACGGCTCTGAATACCACTTATATGTCAAAGATTCTCCATTTATGTCGCCACCTGGGACCTCTTCTTCTAATATCTTATGTCCATCTGACTCCCTGACATCTATACTTGGATGTTTTACAATCATTTCTCATTTAACATGTGCCACATAGAATTCTTGATCTCCCCGCCCCTACCCCAAGGTCTCTCCTCCCTTCTTCCCCTTCTTAATAAATGATACTTTGGCTACCTACTTGGTCATTGTTGAGCTTTCCTTCATCATTCACATCCAGCCTACTACCAAGACTAGTCAGTTCAACTTCAAAAAGATGTTTACTTCTCACCATCTCCATTGTTACCCTCCAAGCCAACATCATCTCTGGCCTGGATTATGAAATAGTACCTAAAGCCATTTTTTTAGCTTTACACTCATTCATCTATCGGTTCATGCAACAGTTTATGGAGTGTCCACTCTGTGTTAGTCAATGCTCTTAAACCAGGGCAGCAAGCCCAGGAAAGACCAGTGAGTAAGTCTGCTACAATGAAGGTATCTCTGAGGAACGATGACACACAAGGAGGGTATAAGCAACAAGAGAGAGGGGGAGCAGTATCAGGGAGCGTGTCACAGAGAACACGACACTTAACCTGGGTTTTAGAGAACGAGTAAGCATTCACCAGGCAGACACTTGGAACAAAAGCCTTCTAAGTGTAGTGACAGAGGTGGAAAAGTGTGTCATGTTCAGGGATCCTCAAGCAGAGAAAAGTTGAGAAGGTCCATGGAGAGGTGGCTGGTGAGGTAGGGAGGGGCTTGGATCCTATCCTATAGGCAGTGTGAGCATGGGGAAGGGTTTAAGCAGGGAAGAGGCCACATATCTATGCAACCCACTTCCCATGTATAAGATGGAAACTGTGTCGGGCACTGGGAATATGGTTCAAAATGCAGAAATGGCATTTTACCTGTAGGATAAATAGGAGTTGGCCAGATGGGAAAAAAAAAAAAAAAAGATGGGGGCAAATAGTGGTCTAGACAGAGACAAGAGCATGCATGGATACGGCCCTAAATCAGGAAGCCTCTTGGTGCACTCAAGAAACTGATACTAGGCCAGTGTGGGCAGAACTTGGCGAGAGAAAGAAAAAGCATCAAGAGCTGCAAATGGAGGGAGTCAAGACCAGACCATGCTACAGGCCAAATAAGCAAGTGTGTCTCCTCTTTGAAGGACTCTCCTGGGGACCCAGACCCACTCCCTGCTCAAGTGAAGCCTCGCTGGGCCTCTGGCTGCCACCATCTTGCCTTCTGCCAGCAGCAGGGAAGCCCTCCCGCCACCCGTCTGCCTGTCCATTGGCCGCCAAGGTGACACCACCAAATGCATTTCTTTCCAGCCTGTGCTCTGAGAGACACCAGGATTTGCATTTCAATTCGACTTCCTTCTGACGATTCCAGCCAAAGCTTGGAAATCACTGCCCCTGTCACTGTCTCAGCAGCTCGGTTTTTCTTCTTTCCTCCCTCCACCTCCAGGGAGGGCTGTTTTTATCTTGACATCTCACTCCTCGATGCTGAGAAAAGTCATCCTTAACAGCAGTTTTATTGCCCAGTGATATTAACACAATGAAGGAAATCATTGCTAATTTTTATGAATTATCTCATCATCTGCAACTAATTAACAGCTGCTGAAAGAGCAGGCATTATGCTTCCCCTTGGAGAGCCTTTACCCGGAGCACTTCTGAGATGGCCCTGCCCCTGCTGTCAAGGGGGACCCTCGGCTACAGACAGCTCCTCCTCTTCAACAGGGCTCTGTCCATCTCTGTCCCCTCCAGCCCATTTCTGCCCCTTCCTGCCTGTTCCCAGCCTGGGGGACTCAGTGGTTGCTGGGCTGCCTGTGACGGGGATGATTTAGGTTAGCTGGAAACTTTATTAAAATCCAAACTAAGTGGGCCGCCGCTGTTCTCTGTTCTCATTACGCTCCCTCTCCAAAATCAGGCCTTGGCCTCTGTGCCTCACCGAATGCATCAAACTGAGTGAACAGGCAGCCAGCAGCTAATTGGCACTTAACCAGGGGATAATCTAGACCAGGGTGGAGAGTAAATACTTAGCGGGGCAAAATGAAGAGAGGGAGGGAAAACAGCAGAGGAGAAGGACAGGAGGGAGGCTAAAGGCGCAGCACCTGTTGCAGCCTCGAGAGAGAGGAACCGCACAGGAACATGGAATCCCAGGCTGGGCAGGACCTCAGAGGCCACAGGAGGAGAAAACTGAGGCTTGGAGAGCTGATGTGAGCCTTGCAAATTCCACAGTCTCAGAGCCCAGGACTCACCCCACTCCTGCGCTTCCCTCCTGCACCCTGAGCTTTCCTGGTCACCAATCCTCCCTGGCCCCTTACCCCAGGCCCTCTCTAGTCTTCCTCCCCAATCCCTTTCTTTTTGATGATCCTGTCTTTGAGTTTCCTGACATCTGGCTAAAGCCCTGGCAGCCACTGGCTGTGTCTTAGAGATGAAGGGAAGAGCACTGAGGAATGGGGTAAAAAGGTGAAAAGGCCCAAGGCCAGCCCACTCTGTTTGTGGGGTGGTCTTCCTTGGGTGGAGTCGGGCATCAGGGCCAGGCAGTGCAGGGGCCCCTGTGATGCTGGGCCAAGCACACACAGTCCTCCTTCTAAAGGTCAGTGGCTGCCCATGATATATTTTGCCGTAACTGAAAAGGCCAGAGACTCAACGTTAGTGTTACAGGGAGAAGAGGGTCCTTGGAGAGAGACCCTGAAATCCTACTTTGGTATTGGCCAAGGTCTCCTTCTCCTCTCTTCCAAACTCAAAGACAAATATCCAGCTCCCTTCGCCTCTATCCAGCATGTTCCAGGTGCTTTGCTGTCCTATTTCAGGTTGCATAACTTAGCTCAGTTAGTCCCTGTTTCCTGCCCTGATGTCCCCATTTTCAAGCCAGTGAGTATGTGGCCCCAATTGAAACAAACACCTTTTCCACAGCAGCCCAGGATAAGAATGAGTCATTCCTACATTCACTTGACTAATGTTTACTGAACACCTACTATGGAGCAAGGCCGAGGGAGTCAGAGGTAATGAGACATAGTCTTTGCCTTGAGAGACTGATGCTGAAACTCATGTCACCACGCCATGTGGGGTGAGGCTGAGGTGCAGTCACCCATATGGTGGCACTGGAGCCCCAGAGAGGGCAAGATCCACTCTCAGAGGAGATAGAAAAGGCCATCGGGCCAGGCACAGTGGCTCACGTCTGTAATACTTAGGGAGCACTTAGGGAGGCCGGGGCAGGTTGATCACCTGAGATCAGGAGCTTGAGACCAGCCTGGCCAACATGGCAAAACCCCATCTCTACTAAAAATATAAAAATTAGCCAGGCATGCTGGAGCGCACCTGTAGTCCCAGCTACTTGGGAGGCTGAGGCAGGAGAATCACTTGAGCCTGGGAGGTGGCAGTTGCAATGAGCTAAGATCACGCCACTGCACTCCAGCCTGGGTGACAGAGTGAGACTCTATCTCAAGAAAAGAAAGGGCCATCAGAGAAGGGCCTTCAGAGGAGGAGGTCATATATAAGCAAGGCCTTGAATGGTGAATAAAATTCTGCTGGGCAGGCAAGGTGAGAAGAAGAGTATTCTAGGCAGTGGAGACAGCAAAGGCCCAGCGATGTGAGAGGCAAGGATGTTCTAGGGACTCCAGCGTCTGCAGTACAGAATTCATGGGTATTGAGTGTTTACGGTAGGGATAGGGATGGGAACGATGTTGAAAGATGAAGCCACCTGGATCATCTGCAGCCTGCCTGTGAAGGCTTCCCATGCCCTGAAAAGGAGTTTGAGCTTCCTCCTGCAAAGACAGAACTGAGAAAGAGTGAGGATGGGAGGCATGAGAGAGCCCAAAGGTTAGCATGTCTGAGGTGGGCAGGGGAGGTTCAGTTAGACAAGTCCTCCCTGCCAGGAGGGTCCCTGCTCTCTTCATGTGTCCAGAGGGTGGAGACACTACAGGTTCCCATCTTGGTGCCTCTGGGCCTGGCACTGCCCAGCTGCTCCCTGCACCATCACAACTCTAGGCAGACACCCTGCCTGCCATGCAGTGGCCTGTCCCAGGACTGTATTAGATGGCCCTGCATGGGCCATGCTCCAGGGACCACTGGCAGCTCCTTCCCAGTGGGCTGCAAAACACTGGGGAAAAGAACAGAGAAGCCAAGAGCTGCATTCTCCATACTCTTTCCTGGGCTCCGGGGGCACTAGGTTTTCCATTCTTTTCCTGGGCTGTTTACTCAAAAAGTTAAGCTTAACCAAAAGAGAAGAAGGGCACTGACTCTGACGGAGGGCAGGGCAGTATAAGGGACATGTGGTCTCTCCAGAGGCAGACAGGGCTTGGATTTGAACACCAGCTAAGTTATGAATTTCTCTGAGCCTCTGGTTTTTCATCTGTGAAATGGAGGTGGTGGTAGGATTAATCATTTTGAAGAGCATTTACCATACTGCCTGGCACATAATAAATACTGAATAAATGCTGCTGTTATTATAAAGCTAGATATTTCTAGCTCCAGAAGTCCCAACTCTTATCTCAAACTCTTCTCTCCCTTTAGGGTGTTCTCTGCACTCCCACCCCTATTCCCTCTATTTTAAGGATTGGCTCTTTAAAAACAAAAACAAAAACAAACAAACAAAAAAAAAAAACCAGGCCAGGCGTGGTGGCTCATACCTGTAATCCCAGCACTTTGGGAGGCCGAGGCATGTGGATCACAAGGTCGGGAGTTCGAGACCAGCCTGGCCAAGATGGTGAAACCCTGTCTCTATTAAAAATACAAAAAATTAACCAGGTGTGGTGGCACGTACCTGTAATCCCAGCTACATGGGAGGCTGGGGCAGGAGAATTGCTTGAACCCGGTGGGTGGAGGTTGTAGTGAGCCAAGATCGTGCCACTTTACTCCAGCCTGGATGACGGAGCAAGACTCCGTCTCAAAAACAAAAACTAAAACAAAAAAAAAAAAACCCTTCTAGTGGAGCCCCTCGCCTGGTCTATAGGACCACCAGCCAAGCCACTCCTCTATTTTGGCCCCTTCCCTTGGTGCTTTCCTGAAAGAGAAGCACCCGGTACACTTAGCTGGCTGAATAAATAGCAATAATAATAAATGTTCAGCTATTAGCCGCATAAGTAATCAAAGATCACTGCCATATGATTCCTGGTTAAACATCATTTGGAATCTAATAAATAAGCGACTATAAATAAAGCCAGCATGCAGACTTGGCCCTTCTGAGCACCACAGCCTCAGCTCTCAATTTTAACCTAACGGTGCCTTTAGCACTAACCCTGTGGTTCCATTTTAAGTTAGTTCCTCTCTCTCAAGTGTCTGAAAAGGAAACCAGCAGAGGTGGGGACAAGAAGGGGGATGAGGTGTGGGGTCTGCCCTAAAGAAACGGAGGTTGTCCCATGGGTCTTGGGCAGACCTCAATCACACCTACCTTCTCTTGCACCTCCAGAGCCACAGGCACTGCCCAGAGGCCTCGGGGTCTCTGCAGAGGGGAGCACAGCAGGGAGGAGTCTAGTGTAATAGATAGAGCATGGGGTTGGCGCCAGGGAGTCTGGCTCAAATCCAGCATCTTCCATGTTCTGCATGGGTGACCTTGGTCCCTCCACACCTCAGTTTCCACACCCAAATAGCAGACATTACCAAACCTACCTCTGGAGGTTGTTATAAAAATTAATCATATAACTTATGGAAGTGATGGGCACAGTAGATGCTCAATAAACATGAATGTCATCCCCTCTCCTGTGATGTACAGTATCTTAAAGGGATGGTCCACTGCCCTCTCTCTTACTCTGCTCTAGGCAGCAACAAAAGAAATATCAAACAGGGAAAAGGAGGCGCAAAATGGCAATGTCCCCACGGTCCCTGGACCACCACAGTCACCACTGCCTAACTCCAGAGCTGATGTCTCAGCACTTAATACTTCCTTATTTCGTATCGCCCTCTAGTTCCTTCATGTCTGAGAGTCTGGCCTTTCCACATTTAGAACATGTACCAACAAAATATCCTATTTCTTTGTATTTTCCATAGAGCTGAGCCCTAAACAGGGCATTGTCAGTATTAAGTAAGTACCAGAGAACAGAGGAACAGGCAGGACCAGCTTCAGATCCTAAGTGTTCTCATTCTTCACACATAGCAGTACTCTCCTACATCACATTGCTTCTTAAAGCACACATAGATCTGTGCCCTTCTGGAAGGATGGCAGGCAGAATAAGACAGAGTCTGCTGGGACTGTGGCGGGATGTTATTCTCTCTAGACCCCATGGCAGGAAATAAACACATCATTCTGAGCGGAGCCCAGCGGAGCCCACACAACACAGGCTCAGATCACACTCAGCTCTCAGGCTACTCCTTTAGTGCCCTGACATGTTAGGAGTGGCGAGATTACTAAATCAACGTGATAAAATACTTCCTGTTACACAGCCCCTTCCCAGCTGTCTCTTCCCTGGTGGCATAATCTCAGTTGCAGTAATGGAAGAGCCAACATGTCCAGTTCCCTCTGTCCATTGAAAAAAACACATCAGCTTCGGTGCTCTGGGATGCCTGGTTCTTATGCAAAATGGTTGATGATCACAGGAGTAAGGCAACTTGGGCCAAGGATCGAGCTATGGACAGTTTCCAAGTGTGCAGTCCCTGCACATGGAACTGCTCATGAGAAGGTTTTCCAGCGGCTTAGCCTCCCACATTACAAGAACAGTTGTTGTAGAAAGAATAATGGCCCCCAAAGATGCCCACATCCTAAAACCCAGTCCCTGCAAATGCATTACCTTCCATGGTGCTATGGTTTGGACATGGTTTGTTTGTCCCCATCAAACTCATGTTGAAATTTTATCCCTAATGTGGCAGTGCTGGGAAGTGGGGCCCGGTAGGAGGTGTTTGGGTTGTGGGGGTGGATTCCTCATGAATGGCTTGGTGCTGTTCTGCAGTGAGTGAGTTCTTGCTCTCAAGCGACAGGACTATTTATTGCAGGAATGGATTCCTTCCCAAGAGAGTGTGGGTTGTTAGAAAGTCAAGACACCCGTCAGGTTTTTCCCTCTTTGCACATATCTGCCTCCCCTTTTGATCTTCTCTGCCATGTTGTGATGCAGTACGAAAGCTCTCACCAGAAGCCAGGGCCACGCCCTGGAGCTTCCCAGCCTGCAGAACTATGAGCTAAATAAACCTCTTTTCTTTACAAATTGCCTAGGCTTGGGTGTTCTTTTACAGCAACACAAAATGGACTAAGACACGTGGCAAAAGGAGCTTTGCAAATGTGAGTAAGGTTACAGATCTTGAGGCAGGGAGATGATCCTGGCTTATCCTGGGAGATTCAATCGAATCTCATGAGTCCTTAAGATTGGAGAACCTTTCCCAGCTGAGCTCAGTGAGCTTGTGAGGCGAGAATGACTCAACCCACCATTACTGGCCTTGAAAATGGAGGAAGAGGAAAATGGAGCCAGGGGATGCAGCGGCCTCTAGAAGCTGGGAATGGCTCTCAGCTGACAGCCAGCAAGAAAATGGGGCCCCCCATCCTATAACCACAAGGAAATAATTCCATCCACAACCCAAATGAGCAGGTTCTCTCCTAGAGCCTTCAGACAGGAATGCAACCCCACTAAAATCTTAGCTTTAGCTCAGTTAAGACTTCTGACCTACAGGCTGTAAGATCATAATTTTGTCTTATTTAAGCCACTAAGTTTGTGAAAATATGTCATGGCAGCAATGGAAAACTACAGTAATAATAATTATGGTAGAACTATCGATAATAACTATTATTTATGGGCTTCCTACTGTCAGGCACTGTCCTACCTATTTTCCATACATTAGCTCATGTAAACCTCAACAATTCTATAAGGTGAGTATTATTATCCCCATTTCATAGTAGGAAACAGAGACCAAATAATTTGCCCAAGATCACATGCTGAAATTGCAATTCAATTGCAGGTTTGTACATCAATAAAGCCCACACCTGTCTCACTACCCTATGATGCCATCCAGTTGCTTGAGCAAACTACTATTTTTTAAATAAATAAAAAAATAGAAACTAATATTTCTTATATGCCACACACTGTGCATGCTACTTCACCTGTGTCCTCTCAATTAATGCAACAATTAAAGATAAGCTCTGTTATCTCCAGTCCAAAGATGGAAAATTGAGTGTGAGAATGGATGAGTAATTTGCCTACAAGCACTTAGCTAGTAAGTGGGATTCAGGCACACAAATTTTGGATCCAGGCCAGACTAGGCTATGAAGACTTGAATGTGAACTCCAGACCCAGAAGGGAGTCCCACCCAGGCTGCAACTATAAGCCAACTGCAGCAACTCTCCCAGAGAAGGTGGCCCTGCCTCCCCTATGGGACCCTCCCAGGGGCCACCGTGCTCTTTGGGAGATCATTCCTATGGCAGATGAAGAAGAGGTTGGTTAAATAAAGGGAAAGCGCCAAAGGGGGCAATCCACAGATGATTTCACTTACATACATCCAATTTCATCTCCACCAACTCCACTTATTTCCATTTAGCAAACTTAATTCCTTTAGTGCTTTAGGTTTTCCAAATTGACTCTACAGGGGAAACTGGCATTCAACCATAATTTCCAGATAAAGGCCCTTTTAATTTCAGAAACTCCAGCAGCTCCAGGAGGTGCAAGGAAAATTCCTTAACTGTGGCCTCTGGAAAGTTCTCCCTCTTCTCCAGGCTGCATGCCTGAGATTTCTGGGTGGCTGCCCAGAGGTCTGGGGCCACCTATTGCAATTCTACTCAGGCTTGTGGTTGGTGCCCCCTTGGAGCAGCTCCATAACAGAGATTCCTGTGGGGGCCCCCAGGGCTATATGTTTCCCTTTTCTGTCATTGCTGGGAAAATCCCTGTTCTTTCATCTGGGAGCTGAAAGCTCAAAGTCTCATGTTGTTAGATCCCTGCCGCTAAGGGAAATTTATAACTGTTGCTAGATAACTGGCATTCCCTCCCCCACCTGTGTCACTCCATGCTTCAAAGACCATGTGCTAGAAAGGATGGGAACAACACAGCTTGGAGGAAGCCAAGGAGGTGATTCCACTTAGGGAAGCTCCCAGCACCTGGCCCTTCAATGCAGTGATTTTTAGACACTGGGCAACCTGCTGCAGTGGTTTCAAAGAGCAGCCTTGCTTCTGGCTACTGAAAGCAAAGCCCAACCTATGAAGAGCCAGGGCAGGGGGATGTGTTTTATAGGCACGTGTCGAGATCTAGATTGGCTCTCTTTAACCCAAAGACTGGACAGCCAGGGCTGGGTGGGAATGGGTTCAACAAGGGGCTCTGAACCTAGAGGCCAGATCCCCACCAGGCTGGAGCAGATACCTATAGTGGATGAAAAGCAGGTGAAAAGAGTGCCTGCTTCTGATTTGGGGGATCACATCCTAATTAGGATGGAGAAAAAAGAAAACTGATTTAGAGGAGGGTGACCAGGTTGATGAATTGGATCCAATCCATGAGATGGAAGGAACCATCAAAGGCACTAATGGTGCATCTCTGGAAGAAAGAAGATGCCGGGAGCCATGAAATGATATTGCTGCAGGTCTCAGAGGGGCCATCACAGGGAAGAGCACCAGGCCTGTTCTGTATGGCCCCGAAGAACAGACAGAGCTAGAACGGTAGGCACAGAGAGATAGAGTCAGGCTCAATAGAAAAACCAATGGTCAGAATGATTCAAAGGAGGAATGAGTTACTTGAGGGCCCTGCCAGCATGCAGATTTTGTGAATCTAAGGAAAAGCAAACAGTCAGAACTGGTCAAGGCTCCCCCAGTTTCCTGAAACTACCAACAATGGCAGTTTCAGGAAAGAGCTGGAGGCCAGGGGCAGTCCCAGCTGAGATGCTAGGTCCAGGTTCCGGTCTCCAGGCTCCTGCAAGACTGAGACAAAAAGGTCTGACCATAGTCCCAGAGGAGCTTGGGCACAGCCAGAGCATCAGAGTGAAGTCTCAGACCTGAGGAGAAGACTTAGGCACTGCAGGGGAAACACAAGCGCTGGTGGACTTGTGTTTGCCAAGTCCTGGTGTTTGGATCTGAGGGACAAGGTAAGACCAACAGTCAAAACTCAGGTTGATGCTGAGTCATTAAACTGCTGGCTTGGGCTTCCTCCAAATAGGAACAAGATTTGCCTCAGGACCTGGGGTTTGGCTGCAGGGATCAGACAATATGGGGACAGGGAGCCAGCAGCATCACTGCACAGTCCTCGGCAAGCAGCACTTGTTAAGGGCTGCCTCTGTGTCCGTGAGACCGCCCATCTCTGCCTTCCAAAAGCTTTCAAATGTAAAGCTCCTTTGGGACCTCCCTTGGGTCTCCATCATTCATTCATTCAGTAGATATTTAGTGGACACCTACTATACACCATGCACTCAGTCTTAAGTGCTGGGGAAACAGCAGAGAACTAAACAAAGGGTTTTTCCCCATGGGAGGACTCAGACAATAAACAATAGGACCCATATGTCAGATGATGATGAATGTTATAGAAAAATAAAGCAGAGAAGAAGGACAGAAAGTGTCAGGGGCAGAGGAGGGGATAGAGGATGGTCTCACAGCCAATATCATACCGACTGGGCAAAAGCTGGGAGCATACCCTTTGAAAACTGGCACAAGACAGGTATGCCCTCTCTCACCACTCCTATTCAACATAGTATTGGAAGTTCTGGCCAGGGCAATCAGGCAAGAGAAAGAAGTAAAGCATATTCAAATAGGAAGAGAGGAAATCAAATTATCTCTGTTTGCAGATGACATGATTATATATTTAGAAAAGCCTGTCATCTCAGCCCAAAAACTCCTTAAGCTGATAAGCAACTTCAGCAAAGTCTTAGGATACAAAATCAATGTGCAAAAATCACAAGCATTCCTAAACACCAATAATAGACAGAGAGCCAAATCACGAGCAAACTCGCATTCACAATTGCTACAAAGAGAATAAAATACCTAGGAATACAACTTTAGAGGGATGTGAAGGACCTCTTCAAGGAGAACTACAAACTGCTGCTCAAGGAAATAAGAGAGGACACAAACGGAAAAACATTCCATGCTCATGGATAGGAAGAATGAATACCGTGAAAATGGCCATACTGCCCAAAGTAATTCACAGATTCGATGCTATTCCCATCAAAGCTACCATTGACTCTGTTCACAGAATTAGAAAAAACACTTTAAATTTCTTTTTTCTATTTTTTTTTTAAGACAGAGTTTCACTCTTGTTGACCAGGCTGGAGTGCAGTGGTGCAATCCTGGCTCACTGCAACCTCTGCCTTCCAGTTTCAAGTGATTCTCCTGTCTCAGCCTCCTGAGTAGCTGGGATTGCAGGTGCCTGACATCATGCCTTGCTAATTTTTGTATTTTTAGTAGAGACGGGGTTTCACCATGTTGACCAAGCTGGTCTCAAACTCCCGAACTCATGATCCGCCTGCCTCAGCCACCCAAAGTGCTGGGATTACAGGCGTGAGCCACTGTGCCTGGCTTAAATTTCATATGGAACCAAAAAAGAGCCCGTATAGCCAAGACGATCCTAAGCAAAAAGAACAAAGCTGGAGGCATCACACTATGTGACTTCAAACTATACTACAAGGCTACAGTAACCAAAACAGCATGGTACTGGTGCCAAAACAGATATACAGATCAATAGAACAGAACGGAGACCTCAGAAATACAACATACGTCTACAACCATCTCACCTTTGACAAACCTGGCAAAAACAAGCAACGAGGAAAGGATTCTGTATTTAATAAATGGTGTTGGGAAAACTGGCTAGCCATAAGAAGAAAACCTAGGCAATACCATTCAGGACATAGGCATGGGTGAAGACTTCATGACTAAAACACCAAAAGCAATGGCAACATAAGCCAAAATTGACAAATGGGATCTAATTAAACTAAAGAGCTTCTGCACAGCAAAAAAACTATCATCAGAGAGAACAGGCAACCTGCAGAATGGGAGAAAATTTTTGCAATCTATCCATCTGACAAGGGCTAATATCCAGAATCTACAAGGAACTTAAACAAATTTACAAGAAAAAAACAAACAACCCCATCAAAAAGTGGGCAAAGGATATGAACAGACATATTGCAAAAGAAGACATTTACGCGGCCAACAAACATATGAAAAAAAGCTCATCATCACTGGCCATTACAGAAATCCAAATCAAAATGAGATATCCATGAGAAATCCAAATCCACAATGAGATATCATCTCACGCCAGTTAGAATGGCGATCATTAAAAAGTCAGGAAACAACAGATGCTGGAGAGGATGTGGAGAAATAGTAATGCTTTTACACTGTTGGTGGGAGTGTAAATTAGTTCAACCATTGTGGCAGACAGTGTGGCGATTCCTCAAGGATCTAGAGCTAGAAATACCTTTTGACCCAGTAATCCCATTACTGGGTATATACCCAAAGGATTATAAATCAGTCTACTCTAAAGACATATGGACACGTAAGTTTACTGCAGCACTATTCACAACAGCAAAGACTTGGAACCAACCCAAATGCCCATCAGTGATAGACTGGATAAAGAAAATGTGGCACATATATACCATGGAATACTATGTAGCCATAAAAAAGAATGAGTTCATGTCCTTTGCAGGGACATGAATGAAGCTGGAAACCATTCTCAGCAAACTAACACAGGAACAGAAAACCAAACACCACATGTTCTCACTCATAAGTGGGAGTTGAACAATGAGAACATATGGGCACAGGAAGGGGAACATCAGACACTGGGGCCTGTCGAGGGGTGGGGGACAAGGGGAGGGATGGCATTAGAAGAAATGCCTAGTGTAGATGGCGGATTGATGGGTGCAGCAAACCACCATGGCACATGTATATCTATGTAACAAACCTGCACATTCTGCACATGTATCCCAGAACTTAAAGTATAATAAAAATAAAAATAAAAAAAAGAAAAAGGAAGCAGAGAAGGACAGAAAGTGTCAGGGGCAGAGGCAGGGCTAGAGGATGGTCAGGGCATGACCTGCATGGCATGAGAAAGTGAACCACACAGATATCCAGGTGAAAAGTGTTCCAGGCAGAGGGCACAGCAGGTGTGAAGGCCCTGGGGCAGGAGCACACTTGGTGCATTTGAGGAAAAGCAAAGAAGCTGGTGGAGCTGGGGGTGGTGTGTGGCATGAGTGAGAGGCAGGGTGGTAGGAAATGACAATAAAATTCATCAGAATAAAGGGCAGTTCATGGACCGCCCTGTGGGCCACTGTGAGGACTTCATCTTTTATTCTGACATGGGAAGTCAGCAGAGGACTGGAGCAGTGGACTGACACAATCCAATTTACATCTTAAAAGAGTCATTTTTGCTGCCATTTTGAGAATGAAAAGTGAGGGGCAAGAAAGAGGCAGGGAAACTAACAGGAAAGGTTTGCAGTAATCCAGGGAGAAATAATACTGGCTTGGAAAAGGGAAGCACCTGCTGAGGTGGTGAGACGCAGTTGGGTTGTACTGGATATACTTGGAAGGCAGAGCCAACAGGACTGTTGATAGAGAGGATGTGGGTATCAGAGAAAGATGAGACCAAGGATGACTCCAAGGTTTGGAGCCTATGTCCACAGAGATAGAATGGCATTACCATTTATGAAATGAGTAGACAGTAGGAGAAGCAGGCATGGAGGGGAGAATCAATAACTCGATTTTGGACATGGCAAATCTGAGTTTCTGTTAGACATCCCAGTGGGGATGAATCTGGAGTTCTGGAAGGGGTCAGAGCTACAGATGAGATTAGAGAGTCATAAGCATATTGATGCTTTAAAGCCCTAAGACTGCATGAGATCACCAGGGAGTGGGCATGCAGAGAGAAGAGGTTTAAGGACCGGGCCCTGAGGCACATCCATCTTCAGAGATCAAGAGATGAGGAACGAGCAAAGGAGACTGAGAAGGAATAGCCAGAAACAGTGCAAGAACAAGATGGGGCGTGGTCTAGAAGCCAAGTGAAAAAGTGTTTCAAGGAAGAAGGAGGAAAAGACTATGTGAAATGCTGCTGCTAAGTCCAGTAAGATGGGGCCTGGGGACAGATCACTGGATTTAGCAATCTGGGCATCAATGCCCGGGACTGAAAGTCTGGTTGGAGAAGGTCCTATTGATAGGGAAAGAGAGAGAGGAGAGGAAATAGAGACAGCTTGAATAGGCAATTCTTTTGCAGAGCTTTGCTGTAAAAGGAAGAAGAAAAATCAGGAGCCCACTGTAGAGGGACAGCAGCTAAGGAAGGTTTTTAAGAAGCGGGAATCATTCAGCTCCATCAGTCAGTACCTGGGACAACTGCTCCTGTGTGAAGAGTCCACCAGGCTAAGAGGGTAGGAAAGACAGAGCTCTCTCCTCAGGATGCTCTTAGCCTCCCAGGGTAGATGGAATTCAAATAAGGTTTCAAAAAATGCTGCACAGAAATGGGGGGTAAGTGCCCAGAAAGAGTGCCACCCACACATGAGTGTGTGAACACACACACACCCACGCTTTGGAAGGGAAAGTTCCCTAGACAAGGTGGGGATTCTCATCTCCCAGAACAAGGTGAATTTAAAGCAGGGTTTAAAAGAAGAGAAGAGACAAGATTTGGTGGAGAAATGAGGAAGGGTGATCCGGGCAGGCAAAGGCTAGAGATGGAAACAGGCTGGCCCAGTAGTACTATTATCAATTACAGATGTCACTTTCATAGCACTTACTGTATGCCTGACACCATCCTAAGTGCTTCTATGCAGGAACTTATTGAATTCTTATAAAAGCATAAAACAGGGACTACTATTAGCCCATGTTATAGATGAAGAAATGGAGACACTGAGAAATTATGTTCTTGCCCAAAGTCATACACTAGTAAAGGGTGGAGCTCAGATTCATATCCGAGCAGTCTGGTTCCAGAGCCCACGCTCCTGGTGTTAATATGTGCACTGTGCTAGAGCCTCCCGGGAGCCAACTCCAGTGTTTCCCCACAACACATCTGACTCCATTCCTCAATCATATGAAAAGCCACTGAAGGAACCTGGGTGAGTCCAGGTGGAAGAGACTGAGAGGAGAGGGAGACATGGGGGACCCCCTTGTGGACTACCCTAGAGGACCAGTCAACCCCGTTCAGGTTGATTCCCCACCTGAAACACAGGGAGTGATGGGAGCTTAAAGGGCTGGGGCTGACGTCTTCCCCGGGGTAGGGTTTCAGAGAGGTAAGCCTCTTTCTTTTCATTTCTTTTCTTTCCTTTTTGTTTTCTTTTCTTTTTCTTCCTTTCTTTTTCTTTCTTTTCTTCCTCTTTCCCTCTTTCTCTCTTTCATTCTTTTCTTTCTTTCCTTCCTTCCTTTCTTCTTTTCTTTTCTTTTTTCTTTCTCTCTTTCTCTCTTTTTTCTTTCTTTCTTATTTCTTTCATCTGCCTACCTATCTCTCTGTCTGCCTACCTCTTTCTCTGTCTGTCTGCTTACCTACCTACCTACCTCTCTATCTACCTACCTATGTACTTATCTACCTACTTATCTATCTATCTATCTATCTATCTATCTATCTATCTATCTATCTATCCATCTATCTATCCATCTATGAGACAGGGTCTCACTCTGTCACCCAGGATGGAGGGCAGTGGTGCTACCATAGCTCACTGCAGCCTCAAACACCTGGACTCAAGTGATTCTTCCCTCTCAGCCTCCCAAGTAGCTGGGACTACAGACACGATGAACCTTTTCTAAAGGGGTCATACTCAGATAGATAGAGTCTCAATTCCAGAGACCTCCAGTCAGGGTTGAGCATTAGACTGAGTCACAGTGCCTCTCGAGTCCAGCACAGTGGCACTGTCTGCCCAGCTATAGGACTGTGTTTGCCACTGCGTGCACATCTGCACCTGACTGGTCAGTGTCCTCTCCACAACACCCCTCATCAGTGTGGGTTTAATGGGCCTCGCTGGCTGGGTCCACCACGAGCTGCCCAGGTACCATATCTCAGCTCAATGGGAGGAAACACACACCAATGGGACAGCCTGACAGCTGTCTGCAGCACCCTGCTGCCCACACTACCCACCGAGCCGAGCCCCAGCCCCCGTAAAGCTGATAGGGAACGTGTGCCTGTTTATCCAGACTAATGAGAGCTAAGTGTGACCACTGTCTTGCCTGCTGACGAGCCGCGAGGCTGTGAGTGGGATGTGCTGGCTCCAGCGATGCACACGCACGCGTCCCGCCCACGCAGGCACTCGGCTGAGGTCTAGCAGCAGCTTCCACATTGCCTGTGCTTCTCCAGCTCTGCCATCAGTGGCCACAGGGAGGAAGGAAGCACCCAGACAGCCCAGGTCTACATCAACAGAACAAAAGAATTAGCAGGGTTCTTATGTCCTACCTGGCTTATCCAAAGGATTGGAGCCAAATGGGGTCATGGCTTAAATTAGGCAGCTGGTTGCCTCAATTCTAAGCTCTTGTTAATGGTTATTAATGAGGACACAATGATAATGAAATGTCTCCCTATGAGAGGATGAGAAGAGACCAAAGGTGAAAAGATTGTATCACCAAATCCCAGACTGAAGGGGGTCTTAGAGGTAACAGGTCCAATACCACATTTGAGGCTGAAATCCCTGTCCGACCTGTGTGGCCCCCTCCGGGTATGGGGACCTTGGTATCCAAAAAAGCCCATTCCATCTGCCTGGAAAACACTTTTTTACAAGGAATCAAAACCTCTTTCCATAATTTCCACTCCCAACACCCCCCACCAAAATAGAGCTTGCTAGTGACTCACTCCACATCCCAAGACGTTTTGTAAATGACTTCACAGAGCTGGAGACAGGCTTTTGAAATTCTCATGAAATATCACCATCACTCTTTCAATATGGTGTTCATCCCTGTTGAATCCAATACTGCCAGTCAGGTCCACTGGCCACGCTGCTCGATCCAACTGAATAGATACCATCAGCCCATAATATTCGTTGAAAACCTGGAGATACTCAGGCCATTCTAGCACAAATGAACACAGGCAGCCACATACCAAAATGATATGGAAATCAGCTCTGTTACCTAAGACTTCAGATATGGAACAATAGCCCCATCCCTTCATGTCTGACACTTCTACCAGTGGGATCCTTACCAATGATGGATCACAATATGCTTAAGAAAACAAAATAGAGAAGCAACACTTACTAACGCTCACTGCCATTACCTATGTGCTTTTTCTCTTTAGCTCTGCCTCGTTTTGTGAGCCCCCAGGCGTCGCCACACTGGCCCCTGGTGGCATTCAGATCTCACTCATCGAGAACACACTGCCAGCAGGCTATTCAGGACCCTGTCCCAACGCTGTCCTCAGATGCTTATCGGTCCATCCCCTTTGATGTGACCACTCTTCCTGACCTGACCACTCACCTCTATGCAAGCTTGGGGAAGTCACAAACCTGGGAGACTCAGGCTCCTCTCCACAAGATGTGCTCACTTCAACCTGCCTTGCAGGTCACCGGGGAAAGTGAATTAACATGTGTGTAAGAACACGCTATACACCACAAACCATGGCACAAATGTCACCCAGGCGGTTGGGAGTCAGGAGTCCTGGCACCACCAAAAGGGCATTCACCAATTCCTTTCACCTTTTGGGACCCCGGGATTTCTTATCTGTAAAACGGAATATCTAGGCCTAATTCATCTCTAACCTCTCAGTAGAAGAGATTACAGATGAAGTTACAGTGCACAATGGGTTTTGGAAAGGGCAAAAGAGAGAATAAACATCCCAAAACCACCCTTGGCTCCTGAAGACCAAGGGAAGACGGATGACACCACAGCATGCCAGCCTGAATATCTCTCTCACTACAGCCACACCTCCCTCAGTCACCCCAAAATGTGTTGGTGGCAGGGGAGGAGCAAGGAGGAGAGGAGAGATAGCCTTACATAAGCACAAGTGTGTGCAGACACACGCGCAGACTTTTTTTTCTTTTGGTAAAATATTTACTCTCCTAATTATGTATTTTATGGGCTGACAATAACATTGGTTGGCATTTTTAAACCTTGACCAATTCCTGGGGGAAGAGAAGTTTGCAAACTGACGGGTCAGCTCAAAATTCAGATCTTGCCACAGTGAATTCATTTAGCAAACATTTACTAAGCCCACTACTGTGGGCCAAGCACAGTGCTAGACTCTGGAAATACAGACATGAATAAGAAAGACACAGCCTCCCTAAGGTGCTTACCAGGGGAGAGATTTATGTCCTAGAAATCCTTCTATATTCCCCCCCTAGGTGACAGATGAAGGAGAAAGTCATCAATTTCTATTTGTCACTAATGTGAAAGACCAATTGATTGTCTATATGGGTGACTCAATTTGGAAATGAGATGAAAAGTTGCATGCTGATCAAAATTTCATAAATCAAATCATGTGCTAACATGATCAGAGGAGCCCACTGCTCAAACAAACCCATGGTGAATCCTCTACAAGGCAAAGAATTCAGCTGGTATATTTGAATCTCGGTGGATTAGATGTATTTAATACACAGCATAACAGGATAAGAAACTGGTGTTTTTTATCCTTTTCCCTTGTCTCCCCCAATTCTCCTATTATCTTTATCTTTATAACATTTCAATGTTCTATGTTGAACATTCTCCGTACAGAATTGGAGCTCATTGGGGGGAAACCAACTAAGTAAAAAATTACAGTTATAAAGTGCTTGGAGGGTCCTCGTAAGACAGAGTATAAAATAAATCCAAGCTCTTGCTGCTTTACCACACAGGGAAACCTTAAACAAGAGAGATTCAATTGCTGCAATAACCTGCTGATGTGTCTAATATGCCCATGCTGAGCAGAACTTCCCTTGCCACCTCGACTGAGCCCTGAAATCCCCATGCCTCAGTTTCCTCATCTCTCAACTAGACTTTGTGCCCTTTAAGAAATGCTTTTGAGGTAAAAAGTGTCCATAAAAGAGCAGGAAACTATATTAGCCATGATGATTCCATCTTTCAACTCCTTACCAGCAGAACACAATGTATTTAATGTGATGGCTGTGATAATGGGATATCCCAAATGTTTCCAGGGGGTCATCAGCTCTAGAAGAGCAGGAAGAGACAGCTTTGGAGACAGGTTCAAATTTCACTAGCTGTGTGACCTTAGGTTCGTTATTTAAACCCTCTGAGCCTCCATTGCTTCATCTGTAACAGGGGATTGTTTGGTCCAATGAAACTGGGTGAGATATGGGGAATACTTAGCCCAGTGCCAGGCAAAGAATGGGAGTTATTATTTTGATTATTATTGGTAGCACTGCATCCTCAGTGCTTGGCACATAGCATTCAATAAATATTTGTTGAGTTAATTAATGAATGAATAATTGTGTCATTGAGTTTATTATTACTGCCAAAGCTTTCATTAGAACCCAACCAGGATCTTCAGCCCATTCCTATTCTCTTTTAAGTAAGACAGACAGATGGACATTTTCTCCTTTTCCTCTTTCTCCTTTCTCTTCTACTTTCTCCAATAAGTTTACCTCTTTATGCATAGGTAAGACAGTGCCATTTAAAACAATGATACCAAACATGTTATTGGAAAACCCAGTCTTGCAAGAACCATGGATTCATCTATCCATCACATTCATTAAACTGCACCCATATACTTCTTTGCATCATGTGTTGGGCCCTTCTGTTGGGGATCACTCTCCCATGGAGTTCAGAGTCTAGTGGGAAAATGCCATAATCTTTAGAATATAACACGGCAAGTGCTGGAACAGATGTTATGTGCTGGGGGAATGGGGGAATGGTAGGAAAAAGATGAATTCTCCCTCTTACGGACAGGATGATAACGGGAAAGGACTTTGCAGAGGAAGAGCCATTTAAGCTGATGGTGATGGAGGAGGAAGACGAAGAAAAAGAAGAGGAGTAGAAGGAGGAGCTGGATTTGTTTTGCAGGCAGAGAAGATGAAACGGGAGGAAGAGCACTATAGGGAGAGCAGGGGAATGGGTAAAGCTGGGAGTAAATCCTCCTGGTATATTTGGCTCACAGGGAGTGGTTTAGTGTAGGTAAAATACAGAGCCAAGGAAGGAGTAACAAGAGGTAGGCTTGGAGCCTAGCGTTCATTCAGTTAACAAATACTTAATGAGTCTCAAGGTGTTAGGGGCAAGGGTAACACATTTGCTAATGTCTGAAATGTTTTCTGAACAGGAATGGAGGAAACTGTAGGAGAATATAACCTTCACATACTATTGAAGGTGATTCTGCTTCTCAGCAGCTAAGGGAGCCCATGGGTGCATGGAGAAGAGAGCACTGGAAGAGGAGTCAAGGATACCAGCACCAGTGTCAGCTGCCACCAGCCAGGCCCCTACTTGTCAGGTGACCTTGGCCAAACCACTGCCTGCTGTGACCCTGTTTCCTCATTTGCAAGATGAGCAGGTTAGATAACGAATCCTTACAGTCCCTTCCGGATCTAAGAATGACAATGATCTCTGGTCTCTTTAAGTAATGAAGGGGGTGCAAAGATGGGGTGGGGTCTCCTCAGGGCATTTATTAACTTGTGGCTCCACAGTTATCACTCAGAGGACCCAGAGGGACTGAAGCAAAATCCAAACACATTTTCAGAAGATAGATGATGGAAGGGGTTGACATATGTGTGAGAGTTTGGGGAATTTATGCAGCCAGCCTCACAGCCATAAATAAAATCCCTTTCTTTTACCCAAAACCTCATTCGAGGGGTAAACACCAAACACTGTAATAGACAATTTGGCTGTATCTCCTGCCCTGTACCTCACTTGAATGAAAAACAGCCATCACAAGGCAGGGTAATGGGTTCGGCCACCTCTTTCCAAACATCCATATTGTCACCAGCAGACAAGTGGGGCTGAGGATGGAGCAAACAGGGCGATTTATCTCTCAGATCCCTGGTCTCTTCATGCAGCCCCATTCAGAGAGCCACCCATTCTGAGGCTGGGGTTGGGGAAAACCCCAGAAAAACTCAAATGCAAGGAAAAGTGACCCCTGGGAAGGCGAGAGGAGCAGCAGCCCCTTCCCTTCCCATAAGCCTCTCAAGGACCCCAGAGACCCCAGCACAGTTAACGCCAGCCCAGCCCATCTGCATGCAAGGCTGCCTGCTGCTCAGCACAGCTACTTGTGTTTTCTTGACCCACTTCTCTTCCCATCCCTGCGCTACTCCACATCCCCTCTGGAGTCCATGTAATTAGCAACTTTCCATCCATAAGGATTGGGAGATTTTAAAAAGCTCCTGGCACTCAGGCTAACCAAGGAGACAGGAAGAACGGGTCCTGGCACTGCTGTTTGGGTTTTTCTTTTCTTCCCTTTCTGTTGGCTTAACTCTGCTTCCTGGCCTCTGCAGGAGATTAGGCCCGGTTTGACCTTGCCAGCCAGCAGGGCCCCTGGCTGGAAAGCGGCTGGAAGTGGCCTAGCATGAACCAAAACTGAGGGCCAGCAGTCTTGACAGAGCTGAACAAGCATTGTTCAGAGTATGGGTTTGGGAGCACGAGGGGTGCCTTTGAAGCCCTCTGTTGTGGCAGCCAAAAGAGGGACCTGTCAGCTCCGCTTTCTGCTTCCCTCCCAGAGCACAAGTGTCGGGAGAGGCGAGGCCATGAGGTGCTACTGATTCTGGCTCAATCCCTTTCCGCTTCCCATTAGCGACAAATGGAAATTGATGGGTTGCCACTTTATTCACTCATTTAGAGAGGGAGAAGACCTTGCAGCAAACGCTGAAAAACTATAGGCATCTTATAAATTAAACATCTTAAGGATATGAACCGTTTTGCATTGCTGCTAAGCAGAATTAAATTAGGTTTTGAAGTTTCTGTAAAAATGAACGGAGAAGAGGGAGGGAAAATTTTGTTTTTTAATTTCTTTTTTTTTAAGCATGCAGAGCAGTGTGTCGAGGGCAGGGTGAGGGGGAGAACTGGGTCACCTGTCCACATTTCTGATTCCAATCAGCTCCTCTGCATTTGCATGAAAAACTGTGCCCACAAGGTAAAACGAAGCAGCTCACAGACCTGCAGGCTGGGCTTCCGGCCTGTGACCCCTGGCCTAGCCAGGTTTTGGCTGCTCGCCCACCTCTGCCCACACCATGGCCTCCTGACCATCACCAGCACACCGACCTGAATGCAATTGGAGGAATTTGGGAGCTTTAAGTCAGCTCCCTGAGATTCAGCATCGTGCCATCTTTGCTCTAAGTCAGCCTCTAACCCTTTCAGGCTCAGGTTTAAGATCTAGATTCCTGCCTTTGCTCCCACCCCCAACCCCACCCCCAGTGTGGGAAGAGGGGCCTCATGTGGTTATCCGTTGGGGTAACCTGCCTGGTATTTGAGTTCCTCTAGGGCTGTCACTTAACTCTACCCTTGGGGCCCTGCTGTTGGATGGGTCGTCTTGTGGCCATCAACCTACCTTTCTGGGTTTGTCACTGCTGTGCCCCACCCACCTGTCCACACTAATCCCCATCCCCCGATGTACACATAGACACCCCTGATCCCCGACACCCCACATCTGTCCTAATTCCATGGGTTCTCTGTTGCTGGGCCATCAGATGACCACACTGCGCCTGCCGGACTGAACTGTGTCCTTGTCCCTGTGGCTGGCTGTGTCCCCAGGAACCAGGATCTAGAGAGCCTCAACCTGCAGTTGACAAGTCTTGTTCAGTCCCAGCAGGGAGGAGGCACCTGACTTCCCAGACCCGCCCCTCCAGGGATGGGATGCTGAGGGCTCAGGTGGAAGCCCGCCTGCCCACACCTAAAGTGGGCGTCCCACAGCAACAAGGCAAGGGAGAGACTCACATGACCCTGCCCTCCCTCTCAGAGCCAGGCCACAGCAAGCAGACCCAATGTCAAGGGCCCTTCCAAGCAGCCAGGCCACGCCAGCAGACTCCTGGCTTCTTCCAAGTTGTGGACATAGCACTCTCTCCAGGAAGCCTTCTTGGACTGATCACAGGAAAGAAGGGACCTCTTCTCCCATCTCCAGCCCTAGATTTGGAGTCCCCATGGCCATCCTCACCCTCCTTTTTCCCCGACAGCTGCCTCTTAACCTGCTAGGCTGAACCTACATTGACTGCACTAGGGAGTTATCAGCATCTTTATTCTAGTGGCCGGGGAGCTCAGCAGGTTGACCAGATCGGAGTGGTCACCTGTCAGCTGCCTCCACCACCACCACCTGCATGTTCACCCCAGCCACACTCAGGGAGGGCACAGTGCACGGGCTGGGCAGCTTCCCCAAGTCCTGTGCAGCACTCTCATGTCCCTTGTGGACACCTGGGATAGTGGGTGGGGGCACTGCCCCAAGCTGGGCCACACTTACCGATCCTCAAGGAGTGCGGGCTGCAGGCGACCATCACGAGCCACGCAGGAAGCAGCACCAAAGGCGCCGAGACGCGGGGCATCTTCTATGAATCCTCATGGAGCCCCCTGCTGGCCTGGGCATGACATAACTCTGCGAGAGAGGGGGTTGGGGGCACGTGAGTCCCAGGCTCCAGCTAGGCAGCTGCCCCACCATCCCAGTGACACCCAGGAGCCGGAGAGGCCCCTTTGTCTTTCCTCCTTACATGCCGGGCTCAAAGAAGGCTCAGGTTCTAACTTCAGCTCTGTGACCGACATGGGGCAGGTTGCTGTAACTGTGGTTGGATGATTCATGGCGTGTCATTAGAAATGAAGAACCTCATCTGCTCGCAGCCAGGCACAGTGGCTCACGCCTGTAATCCCAGCACTTTGGGAAGCCAAAGTGGGTGGATCACTTGAGGCCAGGAGTTTGAGACCAGCCTGGCCAACATGGCAAAACCCCGTCTCTACTAAAAATACAAAAATTAGGTGGGCATGGTGGCGCATGCCTGTAATTCCAGCTACTCGGGACCCTGTGTCACAGACTTGAACACAGGAGGCAGAGGTTGCAGTGAGCCGAGGTTGCGCTATTCGCCATTGCACTCCAGCCTGGACGACAGAGCGAGCCTTTGTCTCAAACAAACAAAACCCTCATCTGCCCTTAAGGAATTGGAGCCATGGGTGAGCAGAAGAGGAAGGGATGGGAGAGTTGGGAGGGTTACTCCATTTCCCCAAACGCAGCACAGGCACTGCACACTGAGGAGAGGTGTGAGAGGAAACTGGGTTCAGGCCAGCTCTTCCACTTGCCAGTTGTGTGGCCTTCACAAGGTCCCCTCTGTGTCTCGGCTCAGTGTCCTCACATGTAAAAGTACTATAACAACCCCTCCTGGTGGAGTTGAACTAAAGAAGAATCAAGGTAACATCGGAGAAGCCACCATGCTCAGGGTCTGGCCTAAATGAGGTGCTACATAAATGTCAGGTCCTCCCTGGCCCAGATGGGAGCGGTCCATTCCTAGCAAATATGGAGAGCAGACACACACCTCCCAGGTTATCAGCTGCTTTCCACATCTGCTCTACTACCGCTGAAAACCAGCCCCACCCCCAACCTCTACCAATCCCTCTCCTCCTTCCTGAGGTGGGTGGGCCTCTGATGTCAAATCCAGAACCTTGCAGGGAGCTGCCTCTCCCCAAGGCAGCACGTGCCTTGGCCCCCACTGAGACCCAGATTCTGCCGACAGCCAGCTCTGCTGGCTTCACTGGGGTGAGGGTGCGGCTGATGAGCACCTGGATATGCTAATCCCAGGTGCCTGGATTGGGAGAGTAGTATTAAAATGTTTAATTTTAATACAGACTCACGCCTGTAATCCCAGCACTTTGGGAGGCCAAGGCAGGTGGATCACGAAGTCAGAAGATCAAGACCATCCTGGCTAACAGGGTGAAACCCCATCTCTACTAAAAATACAAAAAATTAGCCAGGTGTGGTGGCAGGCGCCTATAGTCCCAGCTGCTCGGGAGGCTGAGGCAGGAGAATGGCGTGAACCGGGGAGGTGGAGCTTGCAGTGAGCCGAGATCGTGCCACTGCACTGCAGCCTGGGGGACAGAGCGAGACTCCGTCTCAAAAAAAAAAAAAAAAAAAAAAAAAAAAAAAAAAAAAAAGTTTCGTCCTCCAACCCCTAGACAGACAATCCAATAGGAAAATGGGCAAAGGCTTGAACAGACACTTTACTAAAGAAGATATCCAAATGGCTTACAAACATCTGAAAAGGTGTTCAGCCTCATTAAGCATCAGGAAAATGAAATTTTAAACTACTGTACACTCACTATAATGATTTTAAAAAAAGACAACATTAAGTGTTAGCAAGGATGTGGACAAATTGGAACTCTTATGCAGTGGTAGTAGGTGTGTAAACTGAAATAAGTACTTTGGAAAACTGGTATACTAGAGCTTTACATCTAGCCTAATGACCCACTAACTCTATTCCTAGGTATTTATCAAGCAGAAATGCATGTATATGATTAGCAAAGACATGCACTAGAATGTCTATAGCAGCACTCTGGTGGTTTCGTTTCCCCAAACTGGAAACCACCCAAATGTCCAGCAGCACGATGGAGAAATACATTATATATGCACACAGTGGAATGTTATACAGAAATGAAAATGAATAATCGACAACCACATGCAACAGCAAGGATGAATCTCATAAATATAAGATTTAGCAAAAAAAAAGACTGGTACAAAAGATTACACATTCTAGAGACAGAATAATTCTGTCTATATAAAGTGTAAAAAGATTACAAAAGATTACACATTCTAGAGACAGAATAATTCTGTCTATATAAAGTGTAAAAATAGACCAAACCACTCTGTGCTGTTGGAAGTCCAGTTTCATGGTTAGGGTAGAGAATGGCAGGGGACACGAGGGGACTCCCCAGTGCTGGTGATGTTCTCTGGTTTTCACGCTGAGTGTTGCTTGCAGAGGTGTGTTCACTTTGTGAAAGATCACTGAGCTGTAAACTTATGGGGTGTGCACTTTTCCTTATGTGTGTTATGCCTCAGAAAAAAATCTTGTTCAGGGACACTCCGCCTCCCCCAACACACTCAACATTTCATCCACACGCAGAGCCTTGTCACTTCCTGTGCACAGGGCATCCCTTCTGCCCAAAGAACACCCCTCTGCTCACCCCTGCCATGGCCAGAATGGGGCCTCTCTCTGTGAGCCATCAGCACCCAGGCATGGCTCTGAGAGCAGCACTTTTCCTGCCTCTGCTGTTGCCTTTATGCGTCTAGGCCTGGGATCAGTATGTGCTCCTTAAGGGCAAGGACTGTGTCCAGGTTCCTGTTGCATCCCCAGGGTCTATTTATACATAATAGGTGCACAGCACATATTTGTTCAATGAATGGAAGGCCTCAAGCAATCACCTGCTAGAGGAAGACAGAGGAAGATAAAGAGTAAAGGATGGGGGTGAAGGCAACTCCGCTGTTGGCAAATCAGGCCCAGAATCTTTGTTCTTTAATTCATGGGTGTTGGTGCAGGGATAGATTAAAGCAAACACAGTCTTAGGAGAAGCTAGACATTCTTACTTATTATGGATAAAGTTGATTATTCAGTGATTTTCTGTCTCCCTACTAGAATTTAAGCTCAATAGAGGTGGGGCAAGGACAGGAATCTTGTTTGGACTATATCCCCAGGGCCTAGAACAGTGCCTGGTATATTATACGGCCTTAATAAATATTTGTTGAGTGGATAAATATTTGTTGAGTGGAACAAGGAGAAAAAAACTGTAATAATCCAGTTAGGCTATATAAAAGTACTACTAAATACAATCACTTACCTCAAATGCCTTCCATTTATGCCTGATCAGCATGCTGCACCATAATTATTAAGCAGACTGCTAAATAGGTGTCAGATTACCCTGTGTAAATTTTATTTGATGACAGAACTACACGCAGTTCGTGCAGGCCTGAGGAACTGAGTGAAGCTGCTCATGGCCCCAAAGACTGGTGGATCCTGGAGACTACATTTATTTTTGAGACAGAGTCTTGCTCTGTCGCTCAGGCTGGAGTGCAGTGGCGCGATCTTGGCTCACTGCAACCTCCACCTCCCAGGTTCAAACAATTCTCCTGCCTCAGCCTCCCAGGTAGCTGGGATTACAGATGCCCACCACCAAGCCTGGCTAATTTTTTAGTGGAGATGGGACTTCACCATGATGACCAGGCTGGTCTCGAACTCCTGACCTCAGGTGATCCACCCGCCTCGGCCTCCCAAAGTGCTGGGATTACAGGCGTGAGCCACTGCACCCAGCCGAGACTACATTTAAGCATGACAGTGGCTCAGGTCCTGGGCTGCTCTTGGGCCTCAGCTCTGTGACCCCCTAGACACAGTGATGAGAAATAATTTCCTCTTAAATCTTACAAGAATGAAAAGAGCCACCATGTTGCATGTCTGTAAGGCTCAGTGGCTTGCAAAAATCTTTGCACAGTCTTTATCATAGTTAAACCGCAGAACAAGCTCTATTACAGATGAGGAAGCTGTGCCCAAGAAAAGATACATGACTAGCTGAAGGTCGCATAACTGTCTGGAGGTAGAGCCAAGGCTAACCAGGTCTCTCACTCCACTAGCTTTTCTATCTTAACTGCTACAGAGCAGAAAGATGAAGCTTTCAGATTCTTCACCAAAAAACACAAAGACATTTGGGGTCTTCTTTTCAGCTTAACATTCAGATAAATCTAGTCTTAGGACCTAATAATGCATCCTTTATTAACAGAAAATATTTTAATAATTCAGGGGCGAAAAAAGAACTTATCCTGAAGTTAGAGCACCAGGTTGCTCTTTCCACGACCATTACCCTCCATGGGGGGTTTCTCCCCTGCCCATGGTATATTCTCCTCCACCTGCATGCTGTGGCATTGACATCTACAGCTCAAGCCCAGACTTATGACCGCACATCTGCCTGGTGACATCTCTACCTGGGGATCCCACAGCATGCCACAAACACCTTGTCCTAAAAAGAAGGCGTAGTCTCCACCAAGCCCGCCACCTGCTCCTCCTCCTACTTCCTCTTCTTAGTAGGTAACACCACAATCCACCAGTCACCCAAGCCACAAGGCTGAGAGTTACCCTAGATTTCTCTGTTCCCACACCCCCACATTTAATAAGTCCCCAGATCCTGACAGCGCTGCCTCCTAAATACCACACCTTTCTCTCCACCACCACCGGCTGTCCAAGCACAGACATTTGTCAGCAACAACCTGGATCTCTGCAATACCATCTTCATTGGGCCCCCATCCTCTGGTCTTTCTCTCTCCATTTGGTTCTCCATAGAGCAGCCAGGGGCTTCTTACAGAAATACAAACTTGATAATGACACACTCCTGCCCTGAAGTCTTAGGGAGCTCTCCATTGCACAGGAGATCAGGGCAATCCCCTCAATCTAATGGATAAACCCTCCCATGATCTGGCTTTGCTCACCTGTCCCTACCCTGTACCCTACGGCACCTGATGCCCCAGCAGAGCCAAAGCCCCACTCCTCTACAAAAGTTGTGTGTTTTCACTGTGCCCTCTGCCCCCTGCATGTGCTTCTGCTTGGAATGCAGTCCCATCCCCTGATGGACTGCAAGCTGTGTTTTCCAGGTTCAGCTCATCAGCTCCCCTCGAGGCTTCTGTGATCCCCTCCCCATCTGCTGCCACCATACCCTAACATGCCTCACTGGGACACACATCCTACCTATGACAACGATGCTGTCTGGAGAGCACCAAGTACCCAGCACCCTATCTGGCACATAGTAGGTGCTCCAATAATATCGGCTGAATGAATAAATAAACAGACGGGGCCAATATGAAATAAATTCCCAGTTTGGTGTGTGCATTTTGTATATTCACTGTAGTTAAAACAAACAACCTAAGCAGACATAATGCAGCAGATGCAGGCCAAGGGGAATCACAGTAATATATGCCGAGAAGGGGAGGGAAACAAATGTGTGCCGCCCTCTGATTCTGTGCCTGGGGCTTGGTCTGGCTGCCACAGGTAAGAACATGGGGCTGAGTCCTACACTGCCATGTACTAGCTGCACACCTTGGGCAAATCAGCTAACATCTCTAAACCTTGACTTCTTCATTCGTAATATGGGGATGTTAATAGTCCCCTCGTGGAATTGCTATAAGGATTGCATGATAAGATGCTATGCACTGCTGCTCAGAGTAAGCACTCAATAATAAATACTGGCCAGGTGTGGTGGCTAACACCTGTAATCCCAGCACTTTGGGAGGCCAAGGCGGGCAGATCACGTGAGGTCAGGAGTTTGAGACCAGCCTGGCCAACATGGTGAAACCCGGTCACTACTAAAAATACAAAAGTTAGCCGGGTGTGATGGCAGGCACCTATAATCCCAGCTACTCGGGAGGCTGAGGCAGGAGAATCACTTGAACCGGCAGACAGAGGTCGCAGTGGGCAGAGATCACACCACTGCACTTCACCCTGGGCAACAGAGCGAGATACTGTCTCAACTAATAATAATAATGATAATAATAATAAATACTAACTCTTCATGGCCACGCACTCATCCTGTAAGATGGCATTGCATCTCCATTTCACAAATGAGGAAGCTGAGGCTCAGAAAGGCTCAGTAACTTATCCAAGCTCACGCAACAAAAACAGCAGTGCTGGGTTCAAATTGAAGTATGTGTCTAACCATATGCAATCACAAATCCCAGGCCCCTGCTTTGACTACAGTTGAATTCAGCAGTGTTGGCAGAATTTAGGTTGAAAGCAGGTATGTCAGTACAGCTTCCAACCTCAGAGGGTCTCTGACAGTCCCCACCTAGACAGAGCTGGGCCTCATTCCCGTACTTTAGGTAGTTTGGAAGACAGACAGTTCAAAAACAGAAATTCCCCATCTATTTGACAACCCTGTTCTCGACACCCAACAGGTAGGAGCCTTGCTGATCCTGAGTGCAGAGGGAAGGGAAGGCCCAGACTAGACAGAAGCTGGGCTCCATCTGGCTCTGGGCCTTACAATGAATGCTCTTGAGCAGCTGCCCCCCTCAGAGCCTGCCTCTTCCTCCACCAGTAATATGGGAATGGCAGTGCCTACCTCCGGGGTGATGAGCGCCAGGAGAGCAGGGAGCAATTCGGGCTTTTCCACCTGTGTCCTCAGTGCCTAGCACAGGCTGGCACATAGTAGGCACTCAGAAAGTATCTGCTGGAATAAAAAAAGAGTCCAATCAGAGAACATATGTGGAAACACTCTGTCAACTGCAAGTATTTACATGTGAGTGGTATTTGGTGTCACTGAAGAGGAGGAATTTACAATCTAGGTACGATTTCTCTACCCATGCAGGCTCTCCTCCTTTGACCCTCCAGCCTTCACTGTCCGCAGCTCATGGGGCACCATTTATTCACATGCTGTCCCCCAAAGCCCTCAAAGATGCACTGTGAGCACCGCACTCAGAGCTGAGGCTTCCAAGTTCTCACCTCTGCTTAACCATTTACCTGCCCAGGATGTGTCCTTACCTTAACACCAAAAAATCAGTGTCTCCTCTTTTCCCATAAGGGGAAACTCATTTCCACTTTTTTACAACTGCAAGACTGGATCCATTTTCTCAACCTAGAAGATCCTCTAACATCTCTCTCAATGGAAAGAGACTGGCCCCCTGGTTCCATGCTTGTACTTTGAATACAAGCCCCATGAGGGCAGGAGCTTTAACATGCTTATTCACCTTCAGCACCTTGGACAGTGCCTGGCATGCAGCAGCTACACATAAATACTGTCAAATGCATGCATGCATGAATGAATGAATGAATGGCTATTTCACTTTGCATTTTTTAAAGCAGGGGAACATCTCTTTGGGGCATGTATCACCTGCCACACCTGCTATTATGTCCATACTGACTAGAAGTTTAATAAATGTTTGCTGATTCATGAGCAGCAGCCAGTTCATAAGCACAGACAGGCACCACCTGCAGACAGCTCATGGTATTCTGGCTGTGCACATGCTGTCTGGACTCCATCGGCCCAGTTGTGCAAATAGCCTCTCCTCTCCTGACTTGTCAGCAGTCCCTCCGCTGGTCTCTCTCATCCTCACAGGGCTACTACATCATTAATTGTGATTTTCTGAGGTGGGTCAGAGAGGAGGCTGATAGCCACCAGTCTCTGTGGGGCGGCAGGAAGGGTAGAGGGGATCAGAGGGGCAGTCAGATTAATGACAGCTTTTTTCCCCGCTGTGGGCAACAAGATCTTGATTACTCTTCCTGATGCTCCAGGCTCCTCAAAAAAAAAAATGGATGTGAACTTCTCTGCTGTCCTGACTCCCCCACTGGCTGGGAGAAACTCCAAGTGGCAGCCAGCAGCCTGGATGGAGTGTGCAGGGGTAGGGGGTGGCCATGACAGGGGAGTGAGTCTGCTCCAGCCTCTGTGGCCTCCTTGAGGGAGAATCAACCCTTGTGGCCTAATGCAGTTGGGCAGCACTTTCTAGGTGTCCTCTCTCCCTGACAACAAATGGGGAGATGCCAGGATGCAAGACTATCCCAGGAATCAGGAACCTGGGTGCTCACCAGCTCTGGGAGTCAACTCTCTGAGCTGCAGTCTCTCATTCTGTAAAATGAGGGAATTAGACTAGATGATCTCTAAGGTTCTTAGAAGCTCTGGGAATTCTGCAGTTGTAAGAACTGAACTCTATGATAATATAATCTTTATTGAATATTTACTATATGCAAAGTACTACTTCAGACTCATTTACTCCTCAGGAGAACCCTGCGAAGCAGATACTGCCATCCTAACTGCCATCCTCCCCACGTGCAGACCTGGAACTCAAAGGCGGAGAGGTTGTGTAACTTGCCAAGGTCACTCAGCGGGGAAATGGAGGAACTGGGCGTTGGCTCCGGGAACTTGTTCTCACCCATCACTCACTACACCCACCTTCCCTGCATGTCCCAGAACCTAGCATGCAGTTGGCACTTGAGAAAATGTAGGAATGTGATTATGATGATCATAATAATGTTGGAGAATAAGTCAAGCTAAATGCAAGCAGGTCACCTGCACATCTTGCTGAATAAGGGGGCCAGCAACAGAAGAATGCATCTGGGAGTACCCTTTGGCCAAAAGATCAGCCCAGGTGTCCCTGGCCTTTAGGAATTCCCATGAGGAGATGCTCCCAGGAGTCTGTGATGAGTTAGGATACAGCAGGTTAGCCAGGGGTAATGAGCATTCACTCTGGGAGCTGGACCTGGTCTGACTCACCTAAATAAACTGAAGAGCAGTGGCGGCACTGACCACCCAGCCCGGGTCCAACTTGAGGGGAGGACGTTCCCTGAGCACTACAACTGTGGGTACATGGTAGGAACCAGGCCACAGGACTACAGACAGTCATGCCAAATGCTCAGGCAATAAGGAGCAAGAGGAATGAGGAATTACAAGTCTTGTTTCCTCTCTACATTTCACACAGATTTCAGACCCCTAATGCACCTCTAAACAATGGCCCCTCCCCAGAGACATGATAAGACATCCCTGGCTTCCAATTCCAGTTGTCACTATGCATCCTTGGGCTGGCTGCTTAATCTCTGAGAACTTTATTTCCACAACTGTAAAACTGCAGACAATAGCTCCCTGGAAAGGTTGCTTCAAGAGACCTCAAGTATAATGCAGTCAGTAAATGGGAACTGCCTTTCATCTCTCCACCCCATTCAGTGCTTCCTTCCAGCCCTTGTACACAGACACTCTGATGGCATCCTCATCTTTCCCCAATAGGATGGCCTCCCATGCCTGCTTGCTGGTATTAATCCACAGCCCTCTGACCTGCAGAGTGCAGGTCCAGATCAACCCCATTCCCAAAGCTTTCCCTGAAGAAGTCAGTCCTTCTGGCAGAGGAGAAAAATCGGCAGATTGGAAGTAGAGGGCTGCGTGACCTTGGACCCATCACATAACCTCTTGGGGCTTCCATTTCCTCTGCTGTAAGGTGGGAAATGACATTTGTATCATCTTCCTTACTGGGTTGTTAATAGGATTCAATGAGATCATGGAAGTAGAATTACTTTGCAGGTGAGTAAAGTGCTTTTGCGGCCAAAAGATCTATGTTGTTCCCATACCCAAGACCGGTCAAAGCATGTACACATACCGAATGCCACTATACATTTATACTTTATTCAGTGAATACTACTGAGTGTCTACTGCATGGCAGGTAATTTTCCAGGCCCTGGGATATATACAGTCCCTGCCTTCATAGAGCTTACAGTCTGGGACATTAAGAGACACTAATCAGATATTCAGGTGTCTTGATGCCATAATTACAGACTGTGAAGGAAAAGAACAGGATGGTTCAGGGTGCAGCAGGGAGGGAAGACCTCCCTAAGGATGAAATGTTTGACTTGAGTTAGCCAGGTCTGGGAGGGGGGATGCGAAGAGCAGGGAAGAGACCAGGATGGAGAAAACAACACATGAGGAGGGCAGAGGCCTAGGATGGGATATGGCACAGTGAGTTTCAGAAATCACAGGGAGTCTGCTGAAACCACAAAGCTAGAGCTTCTTTTCTGCGTATCTACTCTGTTGATTTCCAGTCTCCCTCATTAGCTGTGGCATCCGTAAGTACAAAAGCCTGTCCCCTCTCCCTCTGCACCCCTTGGTCTAGGATAAGGCTCTGCATTGAGGGCCGATTTTCTCCATGAACCCTGAACTGGACTCAGCATCCTTCACAGAAAAGGCAAGGAGCCCGCAGCTCCCATCTCCAGTACACTGAAAGGGAGGTAGGCAGAGGTGAGAGGAGGAAGAGCTCATTGCCAGCCACGGGAGGTGGAAGATGAGGCCCACAGAGCTTCCACCTGTGGGATGGGAAGGGCAGGACTGGCTCTGAATGGTGACAAATATCCCTGACATTTATCTGAGGCCACCAGGCTGGGCCCTGGGGGACATGCGCTCCTGGCAAAGACCACATGAGCCAAGGCTTTGAAACAAAACAGCTCAGTTCTGAAGCCACCTATAGCACACTTAGAGCAGAGACACCTGGCAGAAGGGGTGCCCACAGAGGAATCAAATGAGCAGGAGAGAAGACCAACTTGGAGAGAACAACTTTTAAGGACAGCATTTTAATCACCTCCAGATAAATATAACCCTCTCTCCTCTGCTAGGCATCTCTCTGGGTGTTTGGGAGGAGATGAGCAGTCCTGCAGATGACTGTCTGTGTTTGAGTGAGGGTGTGTGTGCTGCAACCTTCCCTAAGGAGGACTGAGAAGAGCTGGGCTTCTCAGCCTGGAGAAGAGGGTGGGATGGGTGGCAGCTGTGTAATGACCCATGCAGGCACAATGCCACCACCTGAAGCCAGCGAGGGCTATGCTGGACTCCCAGGTGACGGTACTCAGGTCAAAGCCAGAGGAAAGCACTGGAACGGCTGTTCGTGACAAAGAGGAAGTCCTGAGGCTGACAGCTGCTGGGCACAGACACAGAGCTCCTGTCCCTTGGCCTGGCTCCATCATGCCCAGGTGGAGACCCCACTACATCTGTCCTGTCCATGGCCACTTCTGGTGCACATCAGTGCTTTTTGTTGTCTTATCCACCATCGTCAGAAAGTAGGCCCTATCTTTTTTTTTTTCTTCAGTCTTAGCCAGAGCAGGTGAGAAAGGAGCTATCTCTGGATGTGCGCATTCCTTGGAGAAACCCAGAATCAGCCCCCCTCAGCCCTCCCAGGTGTGTGGGGCAGAGGGCAGCAGAGCTAGATAGGTCCCCAGCAACGTGAGCGGTGTCCTGCTGAAGGTTCGGAGACCTATGCCACTAGAGTCATCCAAGCTCAGAATAGTCTCTCGGAATTGCCTAAGGGCACATGCAGGGCCCATGCCACCCCTCCCCTTCCATCAGCCCAGTTAGCACTGACTCCCATCTGCTTGGGGCAAGGCCCTGGCACCAGGCTCCCTCGGGGGCCAAGGGAGGAGAAACTGGCTGCTGACTGGCTGCCCCCAGAGAGGGGATACAGGACTCCAGTCGGAGAAGGAAGTAGACTTGCTTTTCATTCTCAAGTGTTCTCTATTGTTTGCATTTTTAACTGAGAGGTTAGACTGGTTTTTCTGTTTGTTTGTTTGTTTGTTTGTTTGTTTCACTTAAAAAGTCTGGTTAATAATTACAAACACAATAAAGAATCCTGACTCTCTCAATACCTAGCTCCAAGACCTGGGCCTGTTCCTTAACCCCCTTAGCCCGCATCCCCCCTCTGCAGAGTGAGGCTAATACACCTATGCCCAGGTTCAAGTGTTCAGTGAATGCTGGGCCTGCCTAGGTCTCTGGTGGCCTCTCTGGAACATTCCTCCACAGCCTATGCTCTGGCTGCCCAGAGAGAAGCTGGAGCTCAGTGCTGAGCCTGGGAGTTCACCCCAAGACCTGCACTCCTCCAACCAGGATCACCCCCTCCACAGCTGGTATTCACCTGCCTACAGCCATGATTCTCACCTCAAAGATCCCTGGCTCTAGTTCTTGGCTGGATCTCAGGCCCTCCCTCAGGGAAGGAGGAACTCTGGGGAACCACTATGTTCAGTCTCCTAAGGGGGTCAGGCATGCAGAGGGCACCCCATCCAGAGGCTGCCCTGGGCATCTGCATTTGACACAGTTTACAGAAGAGAGCCCGTCTAGGGCCCATCACCTTCCCTCTGCCAGTGGCCTAGAGATGTCACAGAAACCACAGGCAAAGTCAGGCTAGTCTCCGGCCCCTGGTTTAGAAGTCCAGAGGCTGAAGGCTCAGCCCCCTCTGGTCTATAGTCACAGGACAGCCTTGAGGAAATCCTCAACCTCCCTAGCTAAGCAAGTGGGTCATCCCTGCTCTCAACAAGGATGGGACCTTGGTGAGGGGGCACATACACCCGAGAACCCAGCTCCGGCGGCCAGAAGAGGGAAAAAGGCTGTGGGTACTGTACCTCCTCCAACAGGGGGCTGCCACATGGGCAGATCTCACAGCTCTATGGCACTGCGCCAGCATACCCACATGCTTGGGACCCACCCAGCTCCATGCTGGGCACTGGCGGCCACCGGGACCCTCCGATGTGGTGCCTTCCCTCAAGAAGCTCCCTGGAGAAGTAGGATGTCCTTGTGTGAAGAGTAAAACAGGCTGCGGGAACTCAGCATGCCCGGCCACAGCGAAGCCGCTTTCATAAGTCAGGGTGGCCTCTGTCACAAAACAAGGAACAGTGCTGGAAGGCAGGCAGAAAAATGTCCCTGCGCCCCTGCAGTTGCAGCAAGAATCTTGGAAGATGTGGGCCACACACTGAGCCCCGAGGCATGTGCCGGGTGGGGAGAGACCTTCCAGGTAAGTGCTGGGGAAAGCAAGCAAGGGCTGTTCGAAGGATGGTGAAAAAACCAAATCTGGCAGGAGCCCATTGTTCCTGAGGGGCTCAGAGATGGGTAAGTATTGCAGTCAGATTCTGGAAGGCCCCAAATGCCATGGTTAAGGAGTTTGGACTTTATCCTCCAGGCAACAAATAGCCATTAAAAGTTTCTGGGCAAGGGAGGGCCAGGACCAGAGCTGTGCTCTCAAAAAATCCATGGGACCAAGGGGCGCCCGATGGCCTGGAGAAGTTAACAGACACCTAGCAACATGTTGGGGGTAGTGTGAATGTGGGGAAAACTGACCCTGAAGCAAACTGGGCTGATTCCACTGGAACATCAGAGCACAGACATTTTCCCACAAACTGGAAAAGAAAATTTCCAAGCAGCTATGCGTTGGGTAGGAGCGTATGGTGGTTCTCCAAGGGAAGCAGAGCCCTGGCAGGTCCAGAGCCAGTCTCTGTAGGATGTGGGACATCAGACACACTGATGAGTCTGGATCCGCTCATCCCCAAATGTTAGGCTCTAATGAAAGTATCTTTGTAGTAAAGGGTCTGGACTTGGAGTCAGAAGGCCTGTGTTCAAACCTGGTTTTGCCACTTGTTCCCTGGGTAACTGTGGTCAGATCCTTGAATCTCTCTGTGCCTTACTTTCCCATAAAATAGGAGACATACTACCTGCCCTGCCTACTTCACCAGGCTGTTCAATGATCAGGGATGTTACATGTGAAAAATGGTTTGATAACATGCAGTGAGAATTAAGGAAGGTTTTCTTCTAAATCAGACCCCTGTGGTTGGTTAGTTCCTAGCATTCTTCTTCCAACGCGCCCTACCAATTCATCCCCCATCTTATGTTCTAGGATATGTCTGACTCCCTATCTCTCAGATTTATTGAACAGATGAATGATTTATCTTTGTTTTCTTCAAAACACCTAGGACAATGTTTTCCACCTAGTTGGAGCTCAATAAGTGTATGATTGATTAATTAATAAAAGTGAACCTACAGAGGATGTTTTAATCCTATTCATCTTTCCCCTACTCAGTGACTCATCTTAATATCAATGCTAGCAAAAAAAATAATTAGGATGGCAAGCTGGAGATGTCCCCCCACTCCCTCCACTCACAAAACTTCACAAAACTCCCAGAAGGAGGCAGTACAAGGGAGTGGTTATCCGCACAAGCTCTGCATCTGTTTTAAACAGAGCTCCCAGAGCCTGGGTGCCGCTACCTACCAGTCATGTGACTTGGGACAAGTGATTAACCTCTCAAAACCTCAGTTTCCCCATTCACAAAGTGGAGAAAATGCTAGACATTCCTAAGGTTGCTGTCAAATATTAGCTGCGATCTTAGCAGTATGCCTGCAAATAGCAAGTGCTCAATGTTTGACAGCTGTTATTGTGATTATTGCTATTATTGTCCAAAGCCAAATCACCATGATTTGGGGAGACTGGTATTTAGGTACAGATTTTCCATTAGTGTGGATGATTTTGAGTACTTTGTGACAGCCAATGGATTAAGCCTCTCAAATGCCTTAATCGACAATCAGTTGGACCCCCAAAGTCAACTAACATCCCTGCTATGGAACGGCATCTGGGGCTGGGGGCACTGAATGGATCAGTCGCCCTTCTGGTGCTAACCCAGCGTTAATGGTGCAAGTGAATTACAAACAAGGCCCACCTGCTGTGCTCAGCAACAAAACCCGGCAGGAGGGTAATTGCCCGGAACTTGAGTGCAGGGGGACACAGCGGGCATGGAACACATTAACCACAGGGAAGAGCAACTTCCCAATGCTTTCGTTTTCCAGCCGACCCAGCCAGCAGGCAAGGGAACGTGAAGGCGGGCGCCAGATAGGGAACTCTCAGGAACCACAGAAGAAAGGTGCTTCCAGACCACAGCTGGCTGCCCAGCCCAGTCCCTCAACAGATCTGAGAGCACGGGGAGATCACCTACACCAACCATGCACAGGGACACTGATGTTCCCCATGTCCACGTGGATGCCAAGGATTTCTGGCATTGAAGTCCCATCCGGGTGATCCAACCATAGGAAGGCAGCCTCTTTGATATTAAGCCCCCGACATGAGTGATCAGGAGTAGATGATGGGCTCACCAAGGTCAGTATAGGCAGTGGTGGCATGGAGGCCATCCATTTGTTCATTCATTTGTTCACCTACACACTCAACATCCATTCCACATACCGTTGCATGTGAAAGGAAAACTAATATGACACAAGACATTCTTTCCAGGGGCTCACTGTGTTAGGGGAGGCAGGCAGAGACATCAGTCACCCGGCACAGGCTGGGAACCGCAGTCACACAGTCAAGGAACGAGGCCCAGGCTGAGACCTCTCAGCACTGCCAAGGCACGGTCAGAGGAGGCTTTGCAGAGAAACAGATCTTCACGCTGCTCTTGAAGGACAGACACACACAACCACCATACATACACATACACACACACACACACACTACACACCATATATGCATATACATATCACACATCCACACAGACATACACATATACAAGGCATACCGTACACACATATGTACATACACATGTACATCATTGATACATGTACATATACGTAGACACATACATACATGCATCCTCAGGTTTTAGGCACCTAAGAAGGAAGCGTAAGGCCCAAAGCTCTCATATCTCCACCAAGTTCTTTTTTTTCTTTTTTGTCCTCTTTTTTTATTATTATTATACTTTAAGTTCTAGGGTACATGTGCACAACGTGAAGGTTTGTTCCACCAAGTTCTTAACATGCTCTAAGACCGAAAGGAAAAGGACAAATTCAAGTACAGGGCAGAGAACAATCCTTGTCTTTGATCGTCCTCATTGTCTATTGCAGGCAAGGAAGGGCAACCCCTTCGCCTTCTCCCCTTCTACTGGAAGGTTCACCGGTGACCTGAGCAGTGACTTCACAGCCTTGGACTTTCCTCCTGGCCTGGCTGCAAGAACATCCTTCCTCCTCCTCCTGAGACATCAGGCCACGGAAAGAGGCAGCGATATTCCAGGCAGCCTCCGGAGCAACTGGCATAGGTATTCCTTCTGGAAGGCTGAGTTCCAATCCCAGCTCCCTCACTTACTGTGACCAAGACATTAACCTCTGAGCCTCAGCTGCCTTGTCTGTAAAACAGGAATAATAATAGTACCTACCTCACGGGGCTATTTGCAGTTTCAAATGAGAAATGCATGCAAATACTTCACACAGTAGCTGGCACATAGTTAAGTTATCAATAAATATAATTCACAACGGTACCACATTCCCGTTGCCTGGAAGCAAACAGCTCTGCTGCTTCTGATCCACACATTTAATCTAGCAAAGAGCATTTTCCTCACTGCTCTTTCATTCATTCAACAAGGATTTACTGAGCACTTAATGTGTGCGAGGCATAAGATCTTGTAAAAAATACAGTATCCTTGTCCTTGAAACATTTATTAAATAATAAAAAAAACCCTGTGTCACAGAACTGTACACACATACACAGAATCACACATACACACACTTTCTCTCTCTCTCTCTCTCTCTCCTCTCTCTCTCTCTCACACACACACACACACACACACACACACACACAGACCCTCTCCCCTGGAAACTTGTCATCTATATATAAAGTACTATTATCTGCATTGTTAGACTGGATAATTACTAAAGCCTAAGCAGTAGGCAGCTCAGGGACTATTATACTCTGTTTTCTGAAAGAGGAAACTGAGGGTCAGAGAAAATAAATACCTTGCCCAAAGACCAGGGTAAGGGATGCACTAGAACTAACGTTATTAGACACCCTGGCTGCAACATGCATTGAGTTAGCTGCTTCCACACGGTCACTTCGTCAAATCCTACAACAACCCTAAGAGGCACGGGTCAGAGCCCTCCTTCAAAGATGAAGAGCCGGAAACTCAGAGCGGTTAAGTAATTTGCCAAGGATCACAAAGCTAATGAGCGATGAGCCAAGTTGCAAACAGTATTGTCAGACTTAGTTGCCAGCTCCTCCCACAGGACCAGACTAGATTTAACAAGTACCACTGTTCAGACAAGTCACAGGCCATTCAGCTGCAGGTCCAGCAGGCTGTACACCAACCCCCAATATCAGCGGTGGGCCTGCTATGCTCCAGGCATTGTGCTCTGGCAGATACCCTGATGTGCAGAGTCCACAGGCAACGCTGGGTCCCACGGTGCCTCAGGCACACCCTGCACATTCCCACCTTGGGGCCTGTGCTTGAGCTGGGCCCTGGACCTAGAACACGTTCCTCCAAATAGCTGACACACTCCCTCACCCTCTTCCAGGCCTTGACTCAAATCTCTAACTCTCAGGGGGCTTTCATCCTTGCTACCCTGCTTTATTTTTTTCTTTTTTCCATAGCACTTATCCCCTTGTAGCTTGTTATATAATTTACTTATTATATTTCTTATTTATATGAGTTTCCCCTCTATACGCTTGCTAAAGAGTAGCGAGCTCCTAGAGAGCAGGGATTTTGTTTGCTTTGTTCTTTATGGGTCCTAAACACCTAGAACAATGCCTGCCATACATAGTGGGTGCTCAGTAAATGTGTTGAATGAGTATGGGAAACATGTGAGCAGTCACGGTGTTAAGATTAAACACTCCCAGTGCAAGTGGAGGCTGGGTGTATTCTGGGAGGGGGCCATGGCAGCCAGGCATCTCCTGTTTCTACTGGGGGAAGTGCAGCCTCAGGAGCACGTAGATTTAATGCCTCCCTATTGAATGTTATAATAATTCAGAGACAGAGGCAGCATGAGAAGCTTCCTATTTGCAATGTTCTGACAGCAAACAGATGAGGTGAGGAGGAGGACGGCAGAGAATTTCAAGGAGTTCTCATCCTGGACGCAAGGAGAACCCAAGGCCGCTGCTGGCCGTGGCTGAGCCCCGCTGAAGGCAGGATGCCAGGCTCTGCTTCCCAGCACATCCTGAAGGGACAGGAGTGCCAAGGAGAGGGAGAAGATGGGGCCTCACAGCCTGGAAAGTCAAGAGAGATGAGAAGAGTGAAGCCTTGGTTCAGAAGATGGGTCCCAGGACCTCACATCCGGAAGGGAGCTTGGGGACCACCTAGCATAGATTCCTTACTTCACAGATACAAAAAAAAAAAAAAAATGCCCAGAGAGGGAAAATGACTTAACCAAGGTCCAGAGTTTGTCCCAGAACAGGTTCTAATACCCGCATCTCCCAGCTGCTCCGTCAATGTTCTTTTCGTGATAGTACTGGCTCAGTGACCTGTTTTGTTTTGTTTTTTCCCTTACAGATGGAGGTCTTACTCCATCTTGCCCAGGGTGGAGGGCAGTGGCATGATCATGGCTCACTGCAGCCTGGACCTCCTGGGCTCAAGCCATCCTCCCACCTCAGCCTCCTGAGTAGCTAGGACCACAGACACACACCACCACACCTGGCTAATAACTTTTTTAAAAACTGTCTTCCATAACTCAGCACTGTATTCCGTACTGGGGACATAGCTGTGTGCAAGACAGATAATGTGTGTTGGGAAAAACACACAGGTAGCCATCAAATCCCAATACAAAGTGGACAGTGTGATCACAGAGGATGTTTCCTGGTTGCCATGGGAACACCGGAACAGAGCACCCAAACCAGGCTTGGGAAGCGGGGGTGGTCAGAGAAGACTCCTCAGAAGAAAGAACATTTGAGACCCAAACAATGTTGGAATCAGCCAAAGCGTCAGAAGTGTTTGAAACAGAGCAACTGCATCTTGAATAGGAGCTGGGTAAAATGAGGCTGAGACCTACTGGGCTGCATTCCCAGGAAGTTAGGCATTCTAAGTCACAGAATGAGATAGGAGGTCAACACAAGATACAGATCACAAAGACCTTGCTGATAAAACAGGGTGTGTGGTAAACGAGCTGGCCAAAACTCACCAAAACCAAGACAGCAACAAAAGTGAAGTCTGGTCATCCTCACTGCTCATTATATGCCTATTATAATGCATTAGCATGTTAAAAGACACTCCCATCAGCGCCATGACAGTTTACAAATGCCATGGCAACATCAGGAAGTTACCCTATATGGTCTAAAAAGGGGAGGAACCCTCAGTTCTGGGAATTGCCCACCCCTTTCCCAGAAAACTCATGAATAATCCACCCCTTGCTTAGCATATAATCAAGAAACAACTATAAATATACTCAGCCATGTGGGCTGCATTGCCTATGGAGTAGCCAAGCTTTATTCCTTTAGTTGTTTTTTTTTTTTTAACTTTTACAGTTCAATTTACTATATAGAAATCACTTGGGTTTTACATTTTCAGTTAACTTTTGAACTGAGATTACAATATTATAACAAAAAAATCTTTATACTAATTCAGGACTTTTTAGCATACCAAATTGAAATACACAGATTCAAATTTCAGATTCATGGCAAACAGTCTTCAAATACAATACAGACACTTCTTAAAGTAGCCATATCATTCACATGTGATATTTGCAACTCTGAGATGTTTCACATAGAACAGCTCTCCTGCAGATATGGCAAAGTGGCTATGCCACGAAGTTCAAAGCCTGTAGAGTCAAGCCAAGGACAAAGTTGCACCATCGTTAAAAAGGTTTAGCATTTCTGGGCCGGGCGCGGTGGCTCACGCCTGTAATCCCAGCACTTTGGGAGGCCAAGGTGGGCAGATTGCCTGAGGTCAGGAGTTCAAGATCGGTCTGGCAAACATGGTGAAACCCTATCTCCACTAAAAATACAAAAAAACTTAGCTGGGCATGGTGGCATGTGCCTGAAATCCCAGCTACTCAGGAGGCTGAGGCAGGGGAACTGCTGGAACCAGGGAGATGGAGGTTGCAGTGAGCTGAGATCGCGCCACAGCACTCCAGCCTGAATGACAGAGCGAGACTGTGTCTCAAAAAGAAAAAAAAAAAAAGGTTTATCATTTCTGGACCACAACAATGCACAACATGTAAAGAAGGCAGGAAACAGTTCTCCCTCCTTGTTATGGTTAAAAGAAAGTTACATGGCAGCTTGGAATTTTGCATAAAACCCCATATTATACCTTGAAAAAGTCCAAGGGCAATTTGATGGTGATGGATTGGGGTCTTATTTTTTTTTAAATTAATAGAACCCATGAAATTCAAATGGGCATTAATTAATTAAAAAATATTAAGCACCTACTGGTTTAAGAGATTTAAATTTATTGGAGATTCATAATCAATTTCTTTCCACCTTGAAATCAAGGTATAAAAACCAGCTATTAAGTACATTCCAAACTTCTATGTGGCACAGGTAGAATTTTCTGTCCATTGACACCAAAGTGAAGTCACATTTCCTCTTGGGAGACAGAAATTCCACACCTGAACATAGAGTAAGTTGGGAAAAAATGACCCCTGTTACTACTATTGTGATTCTGAGATCTAGGATTACTAATATACTGACAGTAAACAAAGCAAATTCCTGGCAACAACTGTTGTTCCTTTACTTTCTTAATAAACTTGCTTTCACGCTACTCTATGGACTTGCCCCAAGTTCTTTCTTGCATGAGGTCCAAGAACCCTCTCTTGGGGTCCGGATCAAGACCCCTTTCTGGCAACAAATGGGAAGCAGAGGGATGGGAGGAGGATGAGCCCATAACTGGAGGGGACAGGAGACAGGGATCTTTCCTGATCCAAAGGCAATGAGGGGTGCTGCCCTGGGGGAATAGGATCCGGGTCAAAGATGGCTCCACAGCAGCCATGCTAGGAAGTCTAGATTGTATTCTAGGGGTACCAAAGAGCCACTGAGATTTTTACATAAAGGGATGACATAACCAGAATTTCTTATGGAAAGGTCACTCTGACTGCAATTTGAAAAGAGTTTTAGAGGGTTTAGGTCTGGAGTCTGGGACATCCATTGGGTGGGCACTGAAGAGGTCCTGGAGACAGATAGACATGAGGAAGGTAGAAGTGGCAGAGGAAGAGACGTTTGCATTTGCGAGCTTTTTAGGAGGTAGAATTGACAGGACCTGGGGATCAGATGTGGGTCGTGGAGGAATGCAAAGCAAGGATGCCTTCCAGGCTTCCAGACTAAGCACCTGCCTAGAGGATGGAGTCACTTACTGAGACAGGGGCCGACCCCAAGAGGAGAGACTGCGAGACAGGGGAATGACTTCCCCAGGAGATTAGAGGAAGGAAAAGGCAGGGAGCAAGGGATAGTGAGCCCAAGGTGCCAAGAGCACCTGTGCTGTGTGTGTAGCGAGATGAAGAGCACAAAAGCAGGCCCCGGGGATTCTCCCATCCAGAGCTCAGATGGTTCCAGGATAAGCTCCAAGTTCACCTTTCCACCTCTGTCCATTGCGCCCCTGATGCAGCTGAATCTTAGGGCAAGCTTGTGCTTTGTAGGCTTTGACCACTGGCCAGACACTGACCTCTGCTTTTATTTTTATTTTTTATTTTTTATTTTTTGAGATGGAGTTTCACTCTTGTTGCCCAGGCTGGAGTGCAATGGCGTGATCTCAGCTCACTGCAACCTCCGCTTCATGGTTCAGGCAATTCTCCTGCCTCCACTCCTGAGTGGGCGATTACAGGCGCCCACCACCATGTCCAGCTAATTTTTTGTATTTTTAGTACAGAAGGGGTTTCGCCATGCTGGACAGGCTGGTTTCGAACTCCTGACCTCAGGTGATCAGCCCGCCTTGGCCTCCCAAAGTGCTGGGATTACAGGCATGATCAGGCGTGGGATTATTGCTCCAGGCCTGACCCCTGCTCTTGTAAGGTCAAGGGCCACCTTGGATAGAAATGATATTAGGGCACAGAAAAAATAGTTCTAATCCCTGAAAAAGGCAGGCCCTTGCTCACCGTGCCGCTTTAGAAGATATCACTGGGCCAGGCGCGGTGGCTCACGCCTGTAATCCCAGCACTTTGGGAGGCCGAGACGGGCGGATCACGAGGTCAGGAGATTGAGACCATCCTGGCTAACATGGTGAAACCCTGTCTCCACTAAAAATACAAAAAATTAGCCGGGCATGGTGGCAGGTGCCTGTAGTCCCAGCTGCTTGAGAGGCTGAGGCAGGAGAATGGCGTGAACCCAGGAGGCGGAGCTTGCAGTGAGCCGAGATCATGCCACTGCACTCCAGCCTGGGTGACACGAGACTCCGTCTCAGAAAAAAAAAAAAAGCAAAAGAAGAAGAAATCATTGAGAGGTAGCAGAGCATGAGGATAAACATCATGGACTCTGAAGACAAATTCTAGCTCCACCACCAACTAGCTGTGTGATCCCATGCAGGTTACTTAACCTCTCTGTGCCTTGTTTCCTACATTTGGAAAATGGGGATACTAATTCATTTCTCCAAAGGGGTAGTAACTCTACCTCTCTGTAGAGTGTTAAGAGTTTTAAGTGGGTCAGTATTTGTCAAAGAGCTTAGAAGAGTGCCTGGCACATAGTAAGTGCTATATAATTGTTAAATTAATAATAAAACATGACCAGGTATAGTGGCTCATGCCTGTAATCCTAGCACTTTGGGAGGCCAACACAGGCTGAACACCTGAGGTCAGGAGTTCGAGACCAGCCTGGCCAATGTGGCGAAATCCCATCTCTACTAAAAATACAAAAATTAGCTAGGTGTGGTGGTGGGTGCCTGTAATCCCAGGCACTCAGGAGGCTGAGACAGGAGAATCACTTGAACCTGGGAGGCGGAGGTTTTAGTGAGCCGAGATCACGCCATTGCACTCCAGCCTGGATGACAGAGCGAGACTCCCTCTCAATAATAATAATAATAATAAACATATGCATAAGCTGAGGGCTTAGATGCCATCACTCTAGGAACAAGATAAGTCAGGGTGGGAGAGGTATGGTTCTGTAGGCAAAGGGGCCCAGGAGAAAGAAGGGGCATTCTGCAGTGTCGGCTTTAAGCACCCTGGCACACCCCACTACGGAAAAAACCTGGGCAGAGACAAATGAACATTTAAACCAGCTTCAGCTTCAGATCGCCGCAAGAAATAATTATTCTGGGTATGAATCTTCTCTAAGAAGTAATATTTACTTTGGAAACACAGCAACTGCACCCCACATGGCTCGCTGTTGCTGGAATCTGAGCAGCCTCCACTTTACTAGGGGAAGCAGTCCTGCTTTACGTATCCAGGCGCTCTGTAAAGCACTGAAATTTACAGCACATTTGTTATGCAGCTCAGCAAAAGGTGTATGAAGAAAGAATAACCTGTTCCATCAGCACTGCTCAGCCGGAGAGACCAGAAAGCCACTCACTCTGCCTGTGAAGGGGATTTGCCAAGTGCCAGGGGGGAAAAAAAACAAGCCTGTCCCACCAGGGCACCCTGACATTGGATTTCAACAGGCTCATGTTCCTGCTTCCACTGTGTCGCTTGCTGGTACAAACAATACAACTCCAACATGAGGACACCTGCTTCCCTCAAGAACACCCGCTCCCTGCCTGTCTGACTTTCTCCCCACCCCCACCTGGCGTCTGGAAAAATATGTGTTCATGGTTCTCTCTCTCTCTCCCTCTCACCTCCTTCCCTCCTCTTCTCTTTCTTCCTGCATCTTCTCTTCTATTCTTCACGACTCTTCCCTCCTGCTGGCCATCAAATGCCTACGTCTGGGGAGGCCCATGGCATTGAGGTCCTCAGAGACCCGAAGCAGGCAGAAGCTGGTTTTGCACCAGCTTATCACTGGGGGGCACCCTGGGAAACTCATAGACACCTCTGACCATGGCCATGGCCTCCAGCCCATTCTCAGGGACATCAGGACCCAGGTGGAGGCCAGAGCCCAGAGAGTAGAACTCTTCCTTCCTTTCTTTTTTTTTTGAGACGGAGTCTCACTCTGTCTCCCAGGCTGGAGTGCAATGGCACGATCTTGGCTCACTGCAAACTCCACCTCCCAGGCCCAGGTGATTCTCCTGCCTCAGCCTCCCAAGTAGCTGGGATTACAGGCGCACGCCACCACACCCGGCTAATTTTTGTATTTTTAGTGGAGACAGGGTTTCACCATGTTGGCCAGGATGGTCTCGACCTCCTGATCTCATGATCCACCGGCCTGAGCCTCCCAAAGTGCTGGGATTACAGGTGTGAGCCACCGTGCCTGGCCAAGAGTAGCAGTCTTTCTAGGGAAGAATCCGAACTGATCCCCAAGACTCCCAACACAGTCTCCCCACACTGCTCTTCTTAGATATCAAGAGAAGCCCTGGGCAAAACTGTGACATAAAATTTGTTCCTTCACTCAACTAATGCTTTTGAGCATCTACCACTGCCAGACATTTGCCTAGGAACTGAAAATATCACTATTCATCTTTCCTGGATTATGACAGAGTGCCATGGGAGGGTAAAGGAGGGGCACTCATGCTCCCCTGGGGTAGGGGTCAGAAGACGGTTCCCAGGAGAACAGCACATAACCTCAGACATAAAAGAAGAAGACAGATATGGCCAAGAACATTTAAAGCATCACCATTCATGAAAGTCAAAAGCTAGACATCCAAATGTCCACCAACCATAGAATAAACTGTAGTATATTCACACAACGGAACACTACACAGCAATGAAAATGAACAAACTTTAACAACATGGGTGAACCTCACCAACAGAAACGTTGAACGAAGGAAAGCCAGACGCAAAGGGTAGACGCATTGAAGAAGTCCACGCTCACAGAGTTTGAAAAGAGGCAAAACGTTATCTATGGAAGTCAGGATAGCGGATGCCTTGGGGGTCACAGTGGCTGGCTGGGGGTCTGAGAGGAGCAACTAGTAACTGTTTCACAGCCCAGGTGCTGGCTATAAGGGTGTGTACACTTCCTAAAAATTCAAAGCCATACACTTATGATTTGTGCATTTTGGGGATGATTGATATAATTTTGTGAAAATGTTTACTAAAATAATTTTTAAGACAAATGAGATAAGCTGGCAACCACAGGGCATGCTTATCCTGTACGCCCTTGGCTTGCTCCTTTGCTATCTCTCCTGAATCACCTGGTGACCTCATGCCCTTTCCAAACACTCATCACACCCCATTCACTCTGCAGGCAACAGGAAAGCATCCGATTAATTAATTGGTACTAAATTGTCCATGACTGATAGCGGTTCAACAGTACTACCCCTCCCTGGGGGACTTCCTTTTTAATAAAGCAGAATCGCTTTAACTCAAAATAGTAACTATCACCAGGCATCCGGAGCAGGAGCAAGGAGAGCTATGGGGTGGGGCTGGGGGCACTCTCCAACACCCCTGAGCTCCCTGAATGTCAGGAAGGCCCTGGGTGACTGCGGCACGCAGGACTCAGGGTGCAGTGCAAGGCTTGCCAGGGAATTTGCAACTTCAAAATACACACAGGACTCTGACCTACGCCTCTCAATTTGCATAGCTGACTCAGTGCACCTTGGGTGGTTGCAGCATGTTTCCAAGAATTATTCAAACATCTGTCCCCTTCTGAGTGGGGAAGGGGTTGGGGTGGGATGTGCTTGGTTCCTAACCCAAGATGATCTCTGACAAGAGTTCATGGCAGGCAGAGAAGGAACCCGACCCTTTGCAGGGACCGTAATATGAAGTTTCAGCTGGGAATCCTGGGCCACACTCAGCTGCCCTCCTATCTCCTCTGTCTGGAAAACGGAAAGAAGGCAAGAAACAAGCCCCATAGCTGCTCAAGGTCCTCTGGCCTCCCTGGTCTGTCTTCTCCCAGGCTTTGCTCCCCAGCTGCCAAGGCGAAGCTCAACTGAGGTGCAAGGGGGACGTTCGCATCTCGCTTTCCCTAGAGATGGCGGATGCTCAGTCTGGCCACCTGCTCAAGTCAAGTAGCAGGCAGGTCACATGCTTGGCGACTCCGTGAGCTGGGCACGAAGATTGGCAGAGAGGAGGAAGGGAAGCCCTGGCAAGGTGAATCGCCCCCTCCTGCCCACGAGGGTCTCTTGAGAACTCCCACAAGGAACCTCCCACTGTCTCCGGACTCCGTTCTCTGTCTCTTTTCAGCTCCCAAATCTGCTGTCTCCAGATCACTGGGGTTTCCAGACAGAGCAACAAGTCTCCCATCTGACAGACTCAATTCCGAGTGGGTCCCTAGAGGAACAGAGTCTCTCTGAAGAGTCTGGGGTAGGCAGGCCGGCAGGCTGGGAGAGTCTTTGGTGTCTGGGAGGGCTCCTTCCAGAAAGGCCAAGGCGAGGCCCTGGCAGAAGCTGCAGAACCCTTGGGGGAGGAGGGAACTCTGTGTTACAAGCAGAGAACTTTCAACCTGGGAAATGGCACCACGGGATGGTGGCGGGGTGGTGTGGGAGAAGCTTTGGAATGGGGAAAGCTGGGTTTGAATGCCAGCTCCGCCTCCTGTTTGCTGCAGAACTTCAGGCATAGCCCTGGCACTGAGTAGGGTCTCAGCACACGTTAGCTGTCATGTTCAACAACTAACACTCTAACAAGGCTAGAGTGACAGAGAGAGTGCGTCAGGAAACACAGGGCACCAGAGGCCCCCTCTTGCCATTTATTCGGCGGCTTACAACTTGTCAGGCAGGACGCCAAGCACTTTACATATATTATCGTGCTTAATCTGCACACACACTGGAAGGCAGGTCTAAAGAGCCCCATTTTAGAAATGAGGTTCAGAAAGGTGCAGCCGCTGCTCTAACGTTACACTGCTCATAAGCGGAAACAACAGGATTTGAACCTACGTTTGGCCACCTCCAAGTTCTGTCCTACTAATCGCTGTGCTCTCTCTCCCCAAGAGCCCTTCTCCCACCCCCGTGCTCACAGATCTTCAGTTTGCATCAGCTCAGAGGTTTGCAATCGTCTTTCACACATCCCACTGGGAGATGTGCCGCAAGCAGGGCCCTTATCTCAAAAAATCTCCATGCCCAGCCACACTTCCCTTCTGCCTATGCTTGGTTCTCCCCAGCAAACCCCCACAGTAGCAGCAGGGAGACAGAGAAACTCTCCCTTCCCCTCCCAGCCTCTCCCTGCTCAGGGGCCTTCTAATGCTAACACAGCCCATCCCCTTTCATTTGAGGGGACCTGTGGCTTTCATTTCCCTCTTTACTTAAAAAAGCCAACTCAGTACACTTTTGATGCTTCAAATTTATCTTTATTAATAAACAATAAAAGTTAAAAGCTTCCCCGGTCCCTAATTAAACACCATCAATAGCAGATATGGCAGCCTAGCTTCAGACACAGAGCAACGTCCTGACAATGTCTAAGTCAAAGGCTTTCAAAGCAGGTGCATGCGAGCACACACATGTGCTCACGTGCACAGAACAAGGCATGGGCAGCGATTAAGAGGGGCCAGCGTCTGCAGAGAGTCCTCTTTATCCCAGGAAATGGCTCTCTCCGCTCCCCATCGAGAAGGCCTGGGAGTCCTATGAGGCCTGGCCCTGCACTCACTGTGTCTCTGATTTACAGGGCTCTGAAAGCCTGACATGGCCATTTAAGTACTTTAAATATGCCCAAAATGATAATTACCTTGCCATTGGCACTTCATCTTAAACGAAGCTCCAGGCCAAGAAGACTCTGAACTCACTGTCACTGAACATATAATGTTCTTGGTTGACTCTACTCTTCTGCATGGCGCTGGTGGCTCTGTGGGCAGCTGCCACCCAAGGCAAAGGGCACTGAACTTAGGATCAGATGACCAAGGTGCCATCATCTGTTTGTGTGCCTGGGTGAACCATGTGCCTTCTAAGTTTCCTCATCTGTTAAATGGCTGATGATAGAACCAGCCCATCTCATGGCTTATTTGTGAGGGCCAAAGGAAACGACCTGTGAACTCCAAGGTGGGTTAAGACGTGAGCTAGTAACAAGGTCATAGTGTCAATGGCCCCAAGCTGGGTGTTCCTCTACAGCAGAGAAGCACACTCCAGTCTCCCCAGTGGTGGAGAAGGGCTTATCAACTCTGAGCACACAGAAGCCTCTGGGGGATGCTGGTGGTAGTGCAAGGGGTTGCAGGAGATCCTCAGAATCAGGAACCCTCAGTTCTGGGGGTGCTCTTCTACCCATTCCCAGGACATGCTGGGTGGTGTGAGTTGAGTGCTATTCCTGGAAGAGCCAAGTTTTCAGCAAGATAAATGGAGCTGCAAGAGCAGGAAGAAGGTGGCTGGGACAAACGGGGACAAGTGTTAGACTTCTATATCTCATACCTGGAGCTAACCTGGAAACGGGAAGCACAGTGAGACCCTCGGGTTCTAAGTGAGCAGGGTCCAGCCTGACAATACAGGACAAGGAGAAGAAAGAGAGGAGGAGAAGGGGACACGGAGCATGGAAGCAGAACCCCACCCTGAGCTACGTTCTTTACTCATTATCTCAATTCAGCCTTATAAATCTATGAGGTGGATGTCGTAGTTTGAGGTGGTTTATAAACCATAGAAATTTATTTCTCACCGTTCTGAAGGCTAGAGGTCTGAGATCAAGGTGCGACATGGTCAGGTTCTGGTGAAGGCTGTCTTCCAGGTTGCAGATGGCCAGCTTCTTGTATCTTCACATGGTGGAAAGAGAGAGCAAGCTCTCTGGGGTCTCTTATACAAGGGCACACATCCCATTCATGAGGCCTCCACGCCTATGACCTCCCAAAGGCTCACTTCTTAATACCATCACACTGGGGGCTAGGATTCAACACACGAATTTCAAGGGGACACAAACATTCAGTCCACAGCAGTGGGTACTGCCATTCATTTCCAGATGAGGAAGCTTGGAAGGGGTAAGGAGCTTGCCCCTGACTGCTCAACAGTATATGATCATGCTGGACTTCAAACCTGGGATCACCTGACTCCAAGTTGGTGTTCTCATCCCCACCCCACCAAGCTCCAAGGCTGGGGGTCTCTGGAGCAGATGGAACCTGTGTGCCTCCTACAAGCCCAGCGGTGGTGTCGTAGGAGCTCTGGAGTAAACAGTAATTTGAGACAAGACCTTTGTCCTCAAAGGGTTTTCAGCATAATTGGAGAGACAAGCCCATGAGGCAATCCTAATAATCAGCCCTAAATTATGAGAAAATTAGGAGTTCAAGGCAAGAGTCATCTTTAAAATCCTTTCATGAAATCAGCTGGGAAGACTCTCCTGACCTCATTGCCCCCAAAGGCCTCTGTCCCCTCTCACTCCTGGGTGAGACTTTTGTGCTGCCTACTGTCCTGGGGGCAGAGGGAGGGGGACGCTGCTGAGTTTACCAGGCTTGTCACTCTCTCCTTGGACCTTAAGAGGCTCCCATCGACTCGGAGGCCTGGCCCTGGATGACACAACCACCTACACTGGGCATCGATGCTTTAGTAGCGTCACATCCTGGCTACTCAAAGTGTGGCCTGTGGGCAACAGCATCCATATCCCCAGGGAGCTCATGAGAAACGCCGAAACTCAGGTCCCACCCCAGACCCTAGGGTCAGCATCTGCCTTCTGACAAGATCCTCAAGTAATAAATGCTTGAGAAGCACTTGGGAATCCCCATTGAGCTGCAGAGCCAACACTGTCAGAACTAGGAGATACAATGAAATGACGACAATGATCATTACAATGAAGGCAAACAAAACAGCAGACCTGTACTGAGTGCTGCGTAGCAGCCGGACACCGTGCTGAGTGCTATGTGTGCATCTCTGTTCATTCTCACAATATCCCCGAAAGGCAGGCACTATGATTACTCCCATTCTCATATGAGAGAACTGAGGCTGAGAGACATGACCCAGCTTGTAAATGACAGAGATAGAGCCAGACCCAGGACCACCAGCACTGTGCAGCCCACCATTCTTAACCGCTCGGCTGGAGTGCTTCTCCAAGAACCCAGAGATCGCCCAGGTACACTTTCTCATTTTACAGAAGAAAAAATAGATCCAGCAAGGGAGGGGCCTTGCCCAAGGACTCCAGAAACCCAGACTCTAGAACCCAGTCAGGACTCTAGAACCCTGGTTAGCGAACTTTCCAACACATCACACTGTCCAACATCCGCATCCAATGGTGTTGCACAAAAGGAACAAAAAAAGTAGTTTTGAAGTAGACTACGATAATTTTAAATCACTTGTTCATTTGTGCTCAAAACAATATGGATTTATGGACTGTCACAGAAGCCCTCTCCCAAGAGAGTTCCCCCTTACCTGGCTCCTGAGAGGGGGTCCAGCCACCCAGAGCTCGGCCCAACACCCTTAAAAGAGGAGGCCGGCGTCTGCTTTTCTTTGCATTTCACTTTTTCCTGGCAGAGCAGGAAAGGCTGGAGATGGCTGCTGCTAAGAACCATCAGCAGAACTGTTGATAGTGCAGAGCCTGGGCTGCCTCCTCTTCCCAGTGGGCTGCCAGGAGCACGTGCAACCCAAAGAGATTCTTATTCACTGCTCTTCTTCAAGCATGTTTCTTTCTGCTTTCAGAAACACACCACAAAATGGTCAGGCAGTCTTTTGTCTGAGTTAAAGAGCAGGTCACGGGAGGCCTGGTTTGTCTGCTCCCAAGGGGCTTAGCTCTGGCACTGGGCCATGGGGCCTTCTGCTTGCCCCAGAGGCTGACAGGTAAGAGGGGGTTCAGGGTCCCCACACAGGGCAAGGCAGAGGATGACTCTGTAGCCTGCAGCTGGGCTGGGCTAGGCAGGAAGAGAGGAAACCCTTCCAGCCACTTTACTTGCAGAAGGAGCTCAGAAGGACTCCTAGACCCTGGCTGGGAAGGGACGCCTCCTGAGTGGTGTCCACAGTGCCCCTCTCTCCCCCACACACAAATGCCAGGTGCCTTTTATTTTGGTGCTGGGTATCCTGCACCAAAGCTTTGCCAGCCCAACTGCCAGTGCAATGAAACTGGATTAGCACTAGGACAGCTGGGACAGGCCCCGTCAGCAGAGAGGCCCCTGCCCTGGTGCAGACAAAATGTCAGATTCCCGAGGGGGTGGGCAGATGCCTCTGAGGGCATCACAGCTCCCTCTCCTAGCAAAAGGCCAACTCCCCAGCCGCCCAGCATGGGGAGCCGCTGGAAGGAAAAGGTGGCTGGTGCTGTCAATACAAACAACAGCGGGCCTGGCAGGGAAACTTTCTGCCTAGCAGGACAATCGGAAAAGAGCAGGAGGGAAGTTGGGTTCAATTCACACCTGGTGGAGGCGCTCTAGCTTCCTCTGCTTGGGGACAGGGATTGGCCAGAAGCCTGAGCACATAGCCAGGTGCCCATGTGGCCCAGAGGAGAGATTCAGGTGCCTTCTCATCAGAGCAGGGTCAAGGCACGGAGGGCAGGAGGACAGAGTGGCAGCAACTGGAAGGCAGAAGTCGGGCAGTCGTACCAGCAGTGGCAGGAACGACAGTAGCTAATGTGTTCTGAATATGCGTGTACTCGGAACAACCTTGGCCCTAGGTAGTTCACATTTTATTTCATTTAACCCTCAAACAACCTTAGGAGATAGATACTGTTATTGTCCTCATTTTTCAAATGAAGAAACTGAAGCTCACATAGGAAGGGAAATTGTCAAGGCCACATGGATATTTCATGGTATAGACAGGATTCAAACTCAGATCATCAACCACTGCCCTATACCAGTTTTGTTCTCAATTATGCTTCCCTCCACCTTCCCCACCTCTCCAACTTCTTCCCATCCTCTGAAGCCCATCTCTGGGCCACCTCCTCCACAACACCCTCCATGGCTACACCAGGCTTCCCAAAGCTCACCCAGGTCTGAATGGCTGTGCCGCTCCATCAGCGGCCGCGTGCCTCCTTCTGCCGCCTTGCTCGGTGGTGATTTCATCTCCCTGACTAGACTGCGAGTTCCTAGGAGGGCAGCAGACGCATTCTCCACTCTGAGTGTCCTAGCACAGCGTAAGGCAAGTACTGCTTGCTTAATAAATATTTTAAAAAGGAAGGAAGGGAGGGAGGGAAGAAGGATGTATCTTGCCCTGAAACCCTCTTTACTTCACATTTATTTTTCACGGTATAAGAAAAAACAGAGAACTGAGCATGAGGTTTCTCACCCTCACTGGAGAAGTCCCTCTGCCCCACAGCTGAAACCACAGCCATGGCCTCTGGACTCACCTGGGTCCCAAGAAATTGCCTTCCTCAGGCCCCTAGGAGCTAATGTCCCTTCTCCTCCTCCACCCATCAGTGAAACAGGCCAGGACCCCAGGGAGGCACTGCTAACCCTTGTGTCATCATGACCATCAACCTTTCCATGGCTATCCCTCTCTGCACAAGGCGCATGTTGTCAGGAGGGCCCTCGGGAGCACAGCTCCTGGCTTCAGGGGATCTACAATCTCCAAGGTGTGTTTTTACCCAGATGGGTGTCTGGTGGTCAGGGAGGCCCAGGGAACACAAATAAGCAGGTCAAGAGTCACATCCTTGTTTCCGCTAAGGGAAAGGGCAGCTAAGAGGTAGGGAGTAGTGCCAGGGGTGGCTGGGGGCTCCTGGGACCATGGCTAAAGATATATTTCTGGGGCAAAATTGATGATTCCTCCAAGCATAGAAGAAAATAGCACTCCAATCTGTGGCCTGGGCCAGAGATGTCAGATGAAGGGCCAGGTGACAGGGACAGAGTGCACTCAGCCTCCTCTACCTCACAGCTCACCAAGCCTCCGAGTTTCTCACCCCATTTGAGCCATCTGGATAACACCCCTCCTGGGAGCACACCCTCTGCCACCAGCAGAGCATTAGCACCCCGGCACAGGCTGCCTCCTCTCCCCGGAGGCTGACACTCATACAGCCCTTTGTGCCTTTCAAAGAGCTTCATATACATTGCCTCTCACCATCTTCATAGTGAGCATTCTCAGGCCCATTTTACAGATAAGGAAACTGAGGCTCAGGGGAATTAGAAGCACAGCAAATTGCTAGCAGCACCGTGACATGAGTTCAGAAGTTCACTCTGAAGTTTGTCTTGACCTTTATTCCTCAGGAAATATGTTATGACTTGAAGAATGATTTCATGCTGGAAAAGGGGAGGATGCAGCCAGATGGGAGCAGCTCTTTGGGGACCCTCTCTGCTTATCTGGCTCAGGCACTCCACACAAGACTGAGCCAGGCCCTCGTGCAGAGGTCCAGCAGGGCTACACCAGGGCCCCAAGCCACAAGCTCATCCTGCCCTTAGGCCCTTCAGGGAGGGGGCAGCAGCCATGTTGACAGTTTTGCCCCAGCAGGGCCTGCCTCCTGGGCCCCAGGAAACCACTGTCTCCAGGAACTGCCGGGCTCATTCCACCTCCCAGCCTGGTGTTGCTCTGGGAGGCACAGGGTTGAGCAGGGAAGGGGAGGGAAATATCAGAACTGGAAGGAGCTAGCACAACCCCACCTGCCACATGCAGAGAGGCACGCAGAGACTCTGGGGAGGGGAAGTGCCCACATTCACAGGGCCAGTGCAAAGCAGGGCTGGGACCAGAAGCCAGGTTTCCACTCCTAGCCTGGTGCTCTCCTTGCACTGCGCTGTGTGGCTTCTCCTTTGGAGAGGACCGGGAAAGTGCAGGTTCCCATCTAAAATCAGTTTTGTAAGTAAATGGCGAGAATGATAATTTCTTGTGAATGAAGGAAGAACTGGATTAACTTGGGCTCCATAATGTTTATCATCAACCAACATTAATGAAATTCCTACTCTGTGCTGAGCCCTGGGGACCCAACAGTAGATAAAGTGGGCTGGTGACACAGAGGGACACTGAGCTGTGCAACCCCAGACACACAGACCGGGGCTCTCAAGAACAGATCAGCACAAACAGGGCCAGGCCCGCCTGCTACGTGGCCTCTGCCCAGGGCCTTGGGCAGTGGAGAAGCCCTTCGGGCCTCCGTGGAGTCAGTTGGCACATAAGGAACCGGTGTGCTGACCATCAGTGTTTACCATCACTAGGGCTGGCTTTCTGTCAATCACATCAAGCCATGTTTCTTTAGGGTAGATCATAAGACAATTGTTTTCATCTGTTTGCCCTACAAAGCCCTTGATATGTGAGTATGCCATCCTCCTGACGAGCCCTGATCAAGGGAGAAAGCACAGAAGTCCAGCAAGAGAGTTTTCCAGACATCGTGTGTCCAGAGCGATGAGTGCACAGCAGCTGCGGAGTCCTTGAGATTGGATCCAAATGGGGCGTTCAGGCAGAGGAACAGATGCAATGAGCTCCGGGATGCCTAGGAGACTACTGTTCCCTGGGGAAAGCACGGATCAAGGTGAGCTTGAGACTTGAGTGCACCCTGGAAGCAGTGTTGGTGTGGCAGGGGACCAAAGGTAAGGCCAAAAGATCCTGGGTCCTAGAGCCACCCTGTGCGGCTTTGAGACAGCACAACCTCTTGAAGAGTTCACCTCCCCACACACATAAGACATGCCACTCTCTCGTCTAAGGGTAGGGAAGCGCATCAGTTTCCCTCCAATAAAGTGTGCCGAGCCAGTTAAAGCAGGTAAAATGGTTCCAAGTTCTTTCTGAGGTCGCATCTAAATCATTTAAACCCATTTTCCCCTTCCCTGGCCTTTCTTCCATTCCCTTGGTGGCAGAGACTTGGGTCATCTGTCACCAGCACACAGGAAAGGGGCAGGGCCCACTGAAGCCCCCTCCCCTGGGCTGCTGACAGCCCTCTAGACTAATAGCAGCTCTAAGGACTCAAAGAGATACATGTACATAATATTTTTATGTGACTCCCCAAATCAATGAATCCTTTTTCTAAAGCATCTTTTGTTGGGGCGGGGGGACACTTTGAATCTGAAATAATTAAAGTCTTCCATCAAATTATCCTGGAGATCTCTTTCCATGAAAAGCCTTTAATTTCATCCTCCTTGATGTAATCCTACCTCAGCAGATGAAGTTGGCCTTTTATATTTCTTCAAATGTTGGTCAGGTCCCTTATCAGAAGTAGATTCTGAATAGAAGAGGGACTGGGAAGCCTCCATTCATCAGAGCCTGAGGTGGGGCACGGGTGGCCATCACTGACACCTCCCCACACCCCATCTGCCGCTGTCTCTACCCTGATGAGTCCTTCCTCTAACACAGTGCTGCCACCTGGAAGTTCTGATTCACCCAGCCAGCTGCCCACCCTCCCCCCAAACACGTGGAGTTTCCACCACACCCTGGCACTCTGTTTGGAGCCAGGGGTAAGAAGGGAAGAGCACAAAAGCCAGCAATGACTTCTGCCCACCGAGACCCAGACCAAAATGTTTCCTCCACTGAAAAGATGAGCTATGCCCACTGAAAGGAGAGACAGAAAGATCCAGAGAAAGAGCCACGGAAGAGCTGACTAATCAGCATCTCAGATGTGAGAAGAGGCAACAACACTTAGAATCCCTAAACCAAAATGAAGCTCAGGAGGGCCTGTGAGTAGGTGGCCAGCTGCTGCTTCACATCATGGCCCTTCTCTCTCCGCCTCCCCCGGCTCTGCTCTCCCTCCTTTCTGCTTCTTCTCTCTGTGTCCCCTTTCCGGCCGGGTGCTCATCTGCCATTCCCCGCTGCCTTTGCTCTGACCTCCCTCTTTTCCTTCTTTCCCTCTTTCCTTACTGCCTTGACCAACCACCATAGGAAACTTAAGTCACTCTGTCGCCCAGGCTGGGGTGCAGTGGTGCAATCTTGGCTCACTGCAACCTCCACCTCCTGGTTCAAGCAATTCTCCCGCCTCAGCCTCCCGAGTAGCTGGGACTACAGGTGCATGCCACCATGCCCGGCTAATTTTTGTAGTTTTAGTAGAGACGGGGTTTTACCATGTTGGCCTCTAACTCCTGGCCTCAAGTGATCCACCTACCTTAGCCTCCCAAAGTGCTCAGATTACAGGCGTGAGCCACCGCGCCCGGCCTTAAGTCTTATTTTTACATGTTTATTTAAAATGAGGCGCATGATTGCTAGTCTATAATTTTCATACCAGGTGCGTTTCATCTTCTCTAGGTCTCTCTTAAATCTCTTAAATCTGCACCCCATCCCCCCAAGATAATCAAATACATGAAGGTGTCTTTATTTCTGTGTAGCTTTCTATACTTTCCTTTCCTGGAGCAGCAGGCAGGGAGAGAAGCTGAAGGGCAGAAGGTGAGGTGGGAGCTGTTTCACAGCCCTGGAAGAAAGAAATGAGGATCTACGCTAATGGAGGAAGAGGAAGAACAGGTTGAGAGCAATTCCCAAGGTGCTCTAGAGAATGCCCAGACTCCGCGGCAGGGTACGAGATGAAGTGTCTGTCTTGCAATTGTGTCTTGCAGAGGACTTCACCCACTTTCTTCCCTCGGTGCCAGCTGACTCTGGGCAGGGTGCTGAGAGAACAAGGGGTGGCCAGCAAGGAGGGGCAAGCAGGACAGCCCTCTAGGAGCACCTACAGCTACTCAGAGTAGAGAGTGGCTATGGGACAAGGAGGAGGCCAAAGGGGATGGGATAGCCACCAAAGAAAAATTCAGCTAGAGCCTAGCTTTGGGGCCAGGACCTCTACATCTGGTTACAGGGAGGGGGCACCAATGGAGGTCCCAACACTACTCAGATATTTCTGCCCCATGGGGCCCCATGGGGAAGGTCCAGCAAGGCCTAGACAGTCCGCTCTTGAGCTCTCTATTGGGGTGGCCCCTGCCAAACCCCAAGGGGACCTCAAGAGCCCTTGGTGAGAGGTTAAAGTAGTGTGATGAGATGTTTAGATTTCAACATAATTATTGCTATAACAGTTTAATCACTTAAAAACACTATCTTGTGTTACTCTAATGAAGAGAGAGGCTCTTTTCCATATTGTTTATGCCATCTGTGAGCAATTTTCACATTAGCCTCTTAGAATGGCAAAATGAAGTCCAGGCAGTGATGGAGAGAGGCAGGGCGGAAAGGGGAGGAGGAAGAGGGAGAGGGAGGAGGAAGAGGGAAGGGGGAGGAAGAAGAGTAAGGGGGAAGAGGAGGAGGAGGAGGAACGGGGAGGGCCCAGAGAGAAGCAGGGTGCCACGGAGGGCAGCAGGAGCTCTGAGGGCCCCTGGATGGGACGCAGGCTGCATGGTGCAGGCCCCATGTGTGCAGACCCCATCCTGCCACCATGGAGGAGCCAGTGGATGAACACGTGACCCTGCCTTTGAGGGTACCTCACTTTCTGATGGGAAGGAATTTCCTAAATTTATGAAGAAAGTAAAGAAAGACAAAATAGCCCAGGACAGTGATTTTCAAACTATGGGTCACAACCCATAAGTAGGTCCGTGAAATCAATTTAGTAGATTGTAATCAGTGTTTTTCTTTAATGAAATAGAAGAGAATGGAAAATAACAGAAATGTCATTTCCTACTGAAAGAAATCAGGGTGACTTGGAGGAATTCCTGGTTGGGGGTCAGGAACACACAAGCCTGTGACATCTTGTGTCAGAGAGCATGGGCTTGTTCACAGACCGATGGGGTCACACCTAAAGAGTACAGGGGGCCGGGTGCGGTGGTTCACACCTGTAATCCCAGTACTTTGGGAGTCCAAGGCGGGAGGATCACTTGAGCCCAGGAGGCCAAGACCAGCCTGGCAAACATAACAAGACCCCATACTCTACAAAAAAATAAAAATAAAAAATTAGCTGAGTGTAGCCCCAGCTACTTGGAGGCTGAGCGGGGAGGATCACCTGAGCCCAGGAGAATGAGGGTGCAGTGAGCTATGATCACACCACTGCACTCCAGCCTGGGCAACAGAGCAAGACCCTGTCTGAAAAATAAAATAAAATTTAAAAGAGTACAGGGGCTGGCTCCAAGGGGTTCCCACAGGCCAAAGATGGGACAATTTGAGATGCAAAAAGAATAGTTAGGAGAACTGACTGAAATACACTGAATCTGTAAAAATTCACAAGTCCATAAATGTAGTGGGTTAAAAGGCGACCCACATGACCTAACTCCCAGAACCTCTGGATGTTACCTTGCATGGCAAAAGATGTGATTAAGTCAAAGGATCCTGAGAGGAGGAGCACACTGGGTTATCAGGGGGGCCCTAAGTAAACCACATGTATCCGTAGGACAGACACACAGAGAAGAGGAGGGGGCAGCGTGACCACAGAGGCAGAGACTGCAGCAAAGACCAGCTAAAGCCACCAGATGCTGCAAGAGGCACAGAACGCATTCTCCCTAGGGCCTTTGGCGGGAGCACAGCCCTGCTGACAACTTGATTGCAGACTTCTGGCCTCCAGAATTGTGAAAGAATAAATGTCTGCTGTTTTAAGCCACTTGGCTTCCGGTCATTTGTTACCACAGCCACAGGAAACTAATACAATAATGACACTCCCAAAAGAGAAAGCCAAAAGCAAAGAAAATAAGAACTATCAGGGCATGCAGTACAAAGTATTTCCATTTGATATGCATATATCTGTGGACAATCAGGGTTAGGCTTGGAAAAGTATTTCTTGCTGTGAGTCTTGCTCAAAAACATGAGAAAAGTCTGCCCAGTGGTTAAAGGCATGGCTTTGAAGTCAAACTACCCAGATAAGTGTCTCACTTCTGCCCCCTAAAGGCAGTGTGACCTGGGGCAAGTCACTTACCCTCTCTAAGCCTCCTGTCTGTGTCTGAAAAATGGGGGTAGTAATAGTACCTAGTTCATGGGGTTGTTGTGAAAATTAAATGTACCACATCCCAGTGTTGGTGGTGGTTGCACATTTGTCACAGTTAAAAATAATAATAAGGCCGGGGGCGGTGCTTCACGCCTGTAATCCCAGCACTTTGGGAGGCCGAGGTGGGTGGATCACCTGAGGTCAGGAGTTTGAGATCAGCCTGGCCAACATGGCAAAACTCCGTCTCTACTAAAAATACAAAAATTAACTGGGTGTGGTGGCGGGGGCCTGTAGTCACAGCTACTCGGGAGGCTGAGGCAGGAGAATCGCTTGAACCCAGGAGGTGGAGGTTGCAATGAGCTGAGATTGCACCACCGGACTCCAGCTTGGGCGACAGAGTGAGACTCTGTCTCAAAAAAACAAAAATTAAAACAATAATAATAATAATAAATGACATATATAAAGACAAGCACAAGCTATACCCCATACCCATGTTAATCATTACAAAGACCCCCTTGTACTGCCGCTGCAGCTGAGAAGTCTCTACGGATGACAGTATGTCAAAACTGACTAAAATCATGCAATTAAGTGCCTTCACTTTAGAAAGGAAGAAAATAAGGCCCAAAGAACTGTGACTTGGCAAGTTTACATAGTTAGTACATGCTTGAGATAAGACTAGACTCCATCTTGGAACTCCCAGTCTAAGGTGAAAGCACACTAACCCAACTCCCATAGTCTTTCATAAGCCCCTGAGGATGCCAGGACCTTCACTCTTTCTGGCTCCTGATGGCCCAGACCCTCCCTTGCCTCACTGCCAGGGCTCTGGGGAAGTCTTCTTTGTGTCTACCTCACAGAAAATCCCTTAGCTGCAAGTTGATGAGCTGGGAGGGGGTTTCTGTTACAACGAGTTTCCTTGCACTAAACAAGCTTACACTATCCTATTATTACCTGTTCAAATGATTTAGATATTTCTCCCTGACAGCTCCAAGTGCCTGATTCCCTGATCTTCTCTAGCAGGGGGCCTTGCAGGCCTTCAAACACTCAGCTGATTGGAGAAAATGGACTGTGTGAAAGGCTTAACTAAGGAGAAGGTTGTCAAGATCATCCACCGACCCTGCAGACTCACCGTGCCCACCCCAAGCAGCCTTCCTGACCTTACCCAAGACTCAGCATGAACGTGTTCCTTTCTTACTTCACAGAGGCTTTGAGCTTGGGGTTTGTGTGTGACAAGCTGTGACCAGGGTACACGAGTCTTTGTTCTCAGCACTGAACCACCCATCCCCGAAGATTAAATAATGGCTGAGGATATAGGTTTTGGAGTCAGGCTGACTTGGGTTAGAATTAGGGCATTTCCACTTTGTTGCTGCATGATCGTGGGCAAGTGACTTAACTGCTCTCCGAGCCTCAACAGTAAGAGGCGGGTAATGATATCTACTTCACTGGATGGTTGTAAGGATTGAATGAGATCGTATTGCAAAGGGTTGAGCACAATGCCCGGCACATCGTGCATGCCCAATAAGTAGTGTCTGATAGTTGTCAGTGGGGAAATAATAGTGACAGTGGGGGTGGTAGCAGTACTAGTAATAATACTACAATACCTGATGTGATTGGAGCAAAATACTAATAAATATTTATTTAAAAAATTAAACCAGAACTTTTCCACAAGGCTATGAACAGCTACATTAAAAGCTTTCCGGGGCCAGGTGTAGTGGTTCGTGCCTGTAATCCCAGCACTTTGGGAGGCCAAGGCAGGAGGATCCCTTGAGCCCAGGAGTTTGAGACCAGCCTGAACAACATAGGGAGACCCCATCTGTATTAGTCTGTGCTCGTATTGCTATAAAGAAATACCTGAGGACAGGGAGGCAGCTGAGGGTGGGGGAGTGGCCCTGGAATAGGGGCTGTGGCCATACATGGGGACTGGGTTATGGTAGCTACGGGGCAGTACATGGGGACTAGGCTGTGGTGGCTCGAGACAAGTGAGTCTCGAGCTGGGGCAGAAAAAGAACTCTGGGAAACTACTAAAGTTCCTGAGGAAGCAAAGTAGAATTTCATAAGAACAAAATGGATGGCGAGGAGAAAACCTATTAGGGTGGCTGTGAAGGCCCTGATGCCATGTATGTCAAATTGATATCATCTGATGGTCATGAATTTATTGTAAAAAGAGAACATGCATTAACATCAGGCATGATAAAGCCATGTTGAGTGGCCCAGGTCAATTTTGCTGAGAACGAAACCAATGAGGCCAGTTTTAGAGAGGTACCTTCACATGTGCTATCAAAAGTATGCACGTATTTTACACACAGGTTCACTACGCTAACAGCTCCACCGAGATTCCCAAACTCCCAATTACACTGAAACTGCACTAGAACTGCTGGTGGCTGCGAACTTCCTAGATTGTCAAATAAAATAAATTATAATACACTGTTAACTCTTTTCAGTATTAAAAAAAAAAAAAGAAATAGCAGAGACTGGGTAATTTATGATGAAAAGAGATTTAATTAGCTTACAGTTCTGCAGGCTGTACAGGAAGCACAGTAGCATCTGCTTCTAGGGAGGCCTCAGGAAACTTACAATCATGGCCAAAGGCAAAGGAGGAGCAAGCACTTCACATGGCCATAGCAAGAGGAAGAGTAGGGGAGGTGCCACACACTTTTAAACAACCAGATCTCATGGGAACTCACTCACTGTCACAAGAACGGCACCAACAGGGAAATCCACCTCCACAATCCAATCACCTCCCACCAGGATCCCCCTCCAACACCGGGTATTACAATTCCACATGAGCTTTGGGTGGACACACAGCTTCAAATCACATCATTTCACCCCTGGCCCCTCTTAAATCTCATGTCCTTCTTACATTGGAAAATATAATCATGCCTTCCAAACAGTCCCCGAAAGTCTTAACTCATTCCAGCATTAACTCAAAAGTCCAAAGTCTCATTTGAGATAAAGGAAGTCTCTTCTGCCTATGAGCCTGTAAAATCAAAAACAAGTTAGTTACTTCCAAGATGCAATGGGGGTATAGGCATTGGGTAAAAACTCCCATTCCAAAAGGGAGAAATAAGCCAAAAGAAAGGGACTATAGCTCCCATGCAAGTACAAAACCCAGCAGGGCAGTCATTAAATCTTAAATCTCCAAAATAATCTCCTTTAACTCCATTTCTCACATCCAGGGCATACTAGTGCAAGGGGTGGGCTCCCAAGGCCTTAAGCAGCTCTCCTCTTGTGGCTCTGCAGGGTTCAGCCCCCACAGTGGATTTCAAGGGCTGGCGTTGAGTGCCTGCAGCTTTTCCAGGCACAAGATACAAGCTGCTGGTGGATCTACCATTCTGGGGTGTGGAGGATGGTGACCCTCTTCTCACAGCTCCACTAGGCAGTGCCCCATGTGGAGGCTCCAACCCCATACTTCCCCTTTGCACTGCTGCCCTCGTAGAGGTTCTCCATGAGGGCTCCAACCCTGCAGCAAGCTTCTCCCTAGACCAATAGGCTTTTCCATACATCCTCCAAAATCTAGACAGAGGTTCCCAAGCCTCAACTCTTGCACTCTGTGCACCTGCCAGCTTAGCACCACATGGAAACCACCAAGGCTTATGACTTGTACCCTCTGAAACTGTGGCCCACGCTGTACCTGGGCCCCTTTGAGCCTCGGCTGGAGCTGGAGTGTGGGCTGTATGGAACAGTGTCCTGATGCTGTGCAAGGCAGCAGGGCCCTGGGCCTGGCCCACGACACCATTATGTCCTCCTAGGCCTCTGGGCCTACGATGGGACAAGCTGCCACAATGGTCTCTGAAATGCCTCAAGGCCTTTTCCCTACTGTCTTGGCTATTAGCACTTGGCCCCTTTTTACTTATGCAAATTTGTACAGCCTGCTTGAATTCCTCCCCTAAAAATGGGCTTTTCTTTTGTACCACACGACCAGGCTGCAAACTTTCCAGTTTCATGCTCTTCTCCTCTTTTAAATATAAGTTCCAGCTTTAAGTCATTTATTTGCCCATACATATGAGCATAGGAATTAGAAGCAGTCAGGTAACATCTTTAATGCTTTGCTACTTCGAAATTTCTTCCACCAGATACCCTAAATCATCACTCTCAAGATCAAAGTTCTACAAATCCCTAGAACAGGGACACTAGGAAGCCAGGCTCTTTGCTAAGACATAGTAAAAGTGACCTTTTACTCCAGTTTCCAATAAGTTTCTCATCTCCATCTGGACACATCCAGAGCCTGGCTATCTCTGTTCATATCACTATCTGCATTTGGGTCACAACCATTCAAAAAGTCTCTAGGAAATTCCAAATCTTCCTGCCTTCTGCTGAGCCCTCCATACTCTCTCAGCCTCTGCCTATTACCCAGTTCCAAAGTTGCTTCCACATTTTCAGGTATCTTTATAGCAATACCCCACTCCCGATACCAATTTTCATTATTATTCCATTCTCACGTTGCTATAAAGAAATATTTGAGACTGGGTAATTTATGATGAAAAGAGATGTTACTGGCTCACAATTCTGCAAGCTGTACAGAAAGCACAGCAGCATCTGCTTCTGGGGAGGCCTCAGAAAACTTACAATCATGGCCAAAGGCAAAGGAGGAGTGAGCACTTCACACAGCCGGAGCAGGAGGAAGAGTGGGGGAGGTGCTACACACTTTTAAATGACCAGATCTCACAAGAACTCATTGACTATCACAAGAACAGCACGAAGAGGGAAATCCACCTCTATGATCCAATCACCTACAACCAGGCCCCACTGATCCAAATGATATCACTGTCTGTACAAAAAATTTCGAAATTAGCCAGGTGTAGTGGCACATGTCTATGGTCTTAGCTCCTCAGGAGGCTGAGATGGGAGGATCACTTGGGCCTGCGAGGCTGAGGCTGCAGTGAGCTGAGATCGTGCCATTGCACTCAAGCCTGGGCAACAGAGTTAGATCCTGCCTCAATAAATAAATAAATAAATAAGATAAAATAAAATAAAATAAAATAAAAAAGCTTTTCCCAGTCATGAACTATTAATCTTCTTAGTCAGCTGTTCATCCAACCATTATTTATTAACCACCTACTAAGTGCCAGGTACCTAAGCTAGGTACTAAGAAAACAATGGAAAGCAAAGCAGACATAGCCCTGCTGTATAGAGCTGACTGCGGTTCTTAACCGTAACCTCTTGCGAGACAAAAGACCATTTTGAGACTCTGGCTGAAGGTTTTACGCTCTTGCCCAGAGAAACACACATCACTACTTACACGTAACACTTTGCCAACATTCACGGGGCTCCCGAGAAGGTTCCCCAGGAGAACCCCTGTCCTAAGTGAACTTTTTGCTCCAGTCACACCTGTCCACTGCCATCCTGGAACCCTCTTTGATCATTCTAGCAGAGGCTTTTAAGCCTCTTAAAAAAGTCCCCTTTAGCAGTGGCAACTTCAAGGAACCCCAGGGCAAAAGCCCAATAAAAACTGCTTGATGCACAGGGGGCACTGGAATCACTTGTACAGGTAACTGTAGTGTATTATAAGCTTGTTTGGTGCAAGGAAAGCTGACTGGTTCATTGCCTGAGACAAAAGGGTTATCTTGTAAAATCTGAGCAGCCCACTCCCATATCTGAAATCTGTGTGCTCCCTCAAGGTCTTGACGTAGTTTCATGTGCTGATCTTTGGTTTTCCGACACCTTTGGAGGGGTCTGGTGCCTTGTGCATGACCATCTCCAGTCCCTCTGCTCCCCTCTCAACATTCTGTATCCCTTCCTGGCCACCATGGCCAAAGCACTTTGGCCATGAGGCATTGTAGGGCCAACTTCCTATTCCATCCATCCTGGCTGAATAGCCTAGGGTCAAATCTTCCAGACCAAAGTATCCAGCTTCCGTCTGAAGATAATGGCTCCCTAAGGAACATGTCTGTCACGGCCAATTTGAAAGAGCAATCTAACAGGCGCTTCCTCAGGACCCCTTATGAAAGCTCCATTCTCCACTGCTGCCTTTATGACTGAGCTCCAGCTAAGGTGCACCTGCGGATCTCTTAGTAAAGGGATTATTGACCCACAAGCTGAGTGGTCACAATCCATCATGGCCCATTCTACAGGCCCCTCTGCTCCTGGGGCTGGCCCAGACTCCGTGGCTCAAATATGGGTCAGTCCACAGCCCTCTTCCCCATCCCCACCATGCACCAATTCCCAAGTTCTTCCCTCTGCCCCATCCCCACCCCAACAAAGATGTAAGGCCAGGGATTTTATGAAGTGCCTAGGACTGGCAGAATCCAAGGTCTCTTAGATTGATCTAATGTAATGGATCCCGGGTGCTTGACCTGTCAGCCAGCAGACAGCTGGGTCCTGGAGGAGACAAACCTCTGAAATCAGCTGGTAACCCTCTGCCCTCTTTGTAACCCAATTCCTGCTTCTCCCCAACTCCTGGGATTTCAGGCCTGGAAGGGATACTAGATCCCATCACTTAGCAGATGAGGACGCTAGGCCCAGAGAAGAGAAGTAGGGGGACACATAAGCAATGAGTGAGACTGAAATCAAGATCTCCTGGCTCCTACTCCAGAGCTCTTCAGTTGTCAGATTAAAATGAAAACTGAGCACCCAGTTAAAGAGGATCCTGGGGATCCCCACCCACAAGCTGCAATCACAAAGCCTGATGGCAAAGTCACTTACCAGGCCCTAGGGGCAGGAAGAGTGCCAGCCAAGCCCAGTAGGTAGAATGCATTACTGAGAGGTCTCTAGGGGCTCCCTGGGACAAAAAGAGTGACAAGCCAGAGCTGGCATGGCTGGGCTTCCTGGAATAGAGAAGAGAGCCAGAGCCCGGGCAGCTGCCAGGCCCTGCCAGGCAGACACAAATTCATCAAAGGGTGAGGGGCTACGACATTCCTCAGAGTCTGACTTAAAGGCAGCTTCCATCCATCAAGGCCCAGGTACCCTTCAATCCATATTTTTGGGGCATAATTAACAGGCTTTTAGTTGGATTGAATCTTATTTTTGGTGTCTATACACAGGAGGCCCACAGAAGTAGCCCACCCAACCCGCTCAATGCTTTGTGAAGTGCCATTTGGCAGAACCAAGCTCTCAGATGGTGAGCGCAGCCAGGAAAGATGGTATGGTACTAGGTTCAGGGCCTCAATCGGCCTCCTACAAGCTGCATAAACTCACTTAACCACTCTCTGCCTCAGTTGCCTCAAATAGCAAACAAGAATAACAACACCTGCTTCATGGGATATCAAAAGGACCAAGATGAGATACACAGAAAAAGCACCTAGCATGGTGCCTGACACAAACGAAACCCACGATGAATGCATATTTGCTTACGGTTTTTGTTTGTTTGTTTGTTTTGTTTTTTGTTTTGTTTTGTTTTGAGATTGAGTCTTGCTTTGTTGCCCAGGCTGGAGTGCAGTGGCGCGATCTCAGCTCACTGCAAGCTCCGCCTCCTGGGTTCACACCATTCTCCTGCCTCAGCCTCCCGAGTAGCTGGGACTACAAGCGCCCGCCACCACACCCGGATAATTTTTTGTATTGTTAGTAGAGACGGGGTTTCACCATGTTAGCCAGGATGGTCTCGATCTCCTGACCTCATGATCCACCCGCCTTGGCCTCCCAAAGTGCTGGGATTACAGACGTGAGCCACCGCGCCCAGCCAACTTACAGTTTTAATAAATCAGATCACTGCCAGTGTCTTCCAAGAAATAAAAATTGCAAAAATGCTCCTAGAACCGTAGGGTAGCTGGCATGTACATCTGAGTGGGGTTACAGCCACAGGAGATGTCTTCACTGCAATGGCCAAGCCTGGGTCTAGGATGCAGTAGTTCAGATTGGCCAGGAGCAGCTGTGGGGCCATGTCCACTTCTCTCACACTCGCTGATCCGGGGGCCTCCAGATGCAGGCACCTCTGTCTCATCCAAGAACTTTCTGGTCTCTGGAGCTCATGCAGCCCATGCACATGGGACAGGCCCCAAGTGCTAGACCCTAGCTAGTGGCCATACTCTCCCACTGTGCCCCAGTGGGATTGGGCCCCGGGTGGCCACAGTTTTATGGTCTTCTTTCCCTTCCCTGTCTCACTTCTCCACTCTTCTATCAGGCAAATGAGTGCACTTTTAAAAAACCATAACCCCCTTTCTGTGTGGTTCCCAGGACCACCAACCACATAACCACTTGCACTTACTTCTGTCTTCACTTGGGGTCTGTTTCTGGGGGAGCCACGCCTACATGGGGGGCAGGCCAGGCACTGCACTGAGGGCCTGTCCCCATCACTGCCTGCAGGGAAGGTTCACAGAAGGAAGCGAGAGAGGATGCAGGCTGAGCTTACATATGCAGAGGGGAGGGAACAGAGGGCAGGGTGAACCAATTGATAACCTAAGGTTAAGACCAAACTCCTGGGAGAAAACAGATTGCCCATTGCTGAGTCAAAACAGAACAGCATGTCTTTGAGTTCACAGATTCCTCTTTTCTAGGCTATAGTAGGGCTGGCAACTTTGCCAGAAGGATTATCAGGACAATTTTTAAATGCCTCAGCACCCTGAGACAGTGAGCAGGGCAGTGTGCAGAAAGCTCACCCCACACCTGACTCTGGGCTCTTAAATCCTTCCCTTGGACCACACAGACGCTCCTGCAGAGCTCAGGAGCTTCCCTGCCCCAGGACCTGGAGCCACCTTCCAATCAAGGATAGAATCACAGCATTTTGGGGATGGAAAAACACGGAGGGCATCTCCTCCAAGCTCCATCTGAGGCATGAATCCCTGCACATCATGTCTGCAGCACCTTTCAAGGGAGCAAGAACAATGTGTACACATGCACACACGCAAACACATGCACACTCCGTGTGCTGCCCTGCATTCCTGGTCAATCCCCCCAGTGCTATTTGCCTTGTACAACACATGCACACATCAGCCCCACACAGATTAAGGGGATTAGCTCTTATCAAGAGCTTTGTATCTCCAAAGCTCTTATCAACATCAGCTAATTAAGCAGACAGCCCCCCTTCCCTTGGCTGAAGGGTATAGAAAGCACAGGACAAGAATTGACAAGACCTGAGTGCTAGTCCCACTGTGGGGGCATGTCTTCTTGTACAAGACACAGAGAAACAGGAAGCAGTTATTATGATACCCCACACAAGAGAAGAAGAAACAGAAAGTGTGAGGAACTTACCCAAGGCCAATCAGCTAAGCAGCAGCTGGGCTCAGCTGTGAACTTTGGTCTCTCCAACTCCAGAACCCGAGCTCTCTGAGTCACAACGACACATGGATATGAGTAATCATCCTCATTCTCACCAGCCAAGACCCCAATGGCAGAGACCAGCCCTCCAGCCTCAAATGGCTCTTTATCCCAGCAACCCCACCACTCACACACAGAACCCTGCTTAATACGAGGGTCACTGATTAGAAATGCTTTTTTCTCACACACACACTCGGGTTTGCACCATGTGCCCATGACCCTCCTCCCCTACCTACCTCACTCCTCTTTGTCCCTGTGTTCCCTGCCCCGCTCAGGGCTCTACACACGGTGGAAGCTCAGAGCTCTGGTATGGCCTCTGTCTGACCCACCCAGAGTCAGCAGGGAGCACTCTCCTGTCACAGACAAAGCCCCAAAGCCAGTTCCCATCCACCACAAAGTAGCCCGATAATGAGGGCTACACTGACAACTTCTAGTGTCAAGTCTAATAATTCCCTTTAACTGAGATCTTTTGCCTTCAGTGAAGTCATCAGTGGCTTTCAGGAAATGATCAGAAAAACCCTTTGGATTTCCACCTGTCATGGGGAATCCCACATGCTATACGTTTCATCATAGGGACTCAGGCTTAGTCAATTCTTTCAAATGTTGGCACCCCTTAACAAGGCTAATAAGATTTTTTTTTTTTTTTGCCTCAAAAGTCTTAATAGGATAGAAAATTTAAGGAAATCAATCAGTAATTAATTACCCATTAAATTATCTGCCCAGTATTATGAGGACACAGAAGTATTTAGTAAAATCCTTGCTCTCACGGAATGTAGAATGGATAATGAGAAAAACTAGCATTACAATGAGATAACAGCTGAACAGGCTTCCACACTACAAATATAGTAGGAAATTTATCATTCATTCATTCAACAAAGTGCCATTTAAACTCTACCAATGGTAAAGTCTACTATAGATGGACCCATGGTGGTTCACGGGCGGACGAGTTGTCCCACAGGGATAGATACGAGGTGTATCGCAAAGGAGATACATCACATAAGTAAGTGATACAGGACAAGGTAAAGTATGACAAGCATGTCAGGAGAAGAATGAATTAAGTATTACAGGAGCGGTACAGAAAAGATGGAATTACTAGGGAAGGCTTTGTGGAAGCAGCAGGACCTAAGTTACAATCGGCCCTGCAAGGAGGTAAGGGGTCACCAACTTTCTATCCCTAGGAGGGGGTGCCCTCAACCCAAAAGCACAGCACTCCCTGCACTGCACAAAAGAACTCAGGATTCATCTTAAGAAATCAGAAGCTAGCAGGTTCACACGCACTGGCTTCATCCCAGGTGGGGCGCACCAGGCCTGGAATTAGAGCACTCATCCGTCCAATGAACATTTCAGGAACACTGATGCTGCGGGGGAAGGGAGGAGGCACAGTCTCCGCCCCCACCGAGCTTATAGGCAGATGGGGGAGAGAGACAAGCAAACTCCACCAACAAGAGATGGATGAAGGGTTATACCACACACAGGAGTGTGCTGAACTGAGACTGGGGTAGTGGGCAGTGAGGGATTATGCACGGAGGAAGGGTGACTAAAATGAATCTTGAAGAACAGATGAGAGCTGGGTGTGCAGGCTGCAGCCGTGAAAGCAAATCATGATGATAACAGTAACAATTATGATACACCATTATCACCATTTTTTGAGCGCCTTCCTTGTCTTTTGCCAGAAACTGTACTTGGTATTTCACACACACACGTGCATGCATGCAGACACGCACACGTTAATGCTAATCATTTTTTAGTGTGTGTGTTCAGGATGCAAGTGATCCTTACAATTATACTGCATATTAAATATTATTGTTCCTCTTTGACAGATGGAGATACTAAGGCCCGAAGAGATGAAACCACTTTCTCACAGCCACACATCCAGTAATCAGCAGAGCTAGGATTCAAATCTCTCTACATCCTATCCGCTATTCCACACTTTGGAGCTACTGGGTGGAGTTCCTATGTGGCCTCCTGGACAAATGGGCCAAGGGAGTCATCGAGGGGCCAGAGTCCCTAGATCTCTGCACCCCAATCTAGAGTCCCAGGGGCTGAACGAAGGTGAGCTGACCCTCTCCTGGTTCTGCCTCGAGCTGTCAATCCAAATCAAAGTCTTGTCCGCTCACTGGGCCTTGGTTTCCTGTTGAAAACGACAGGACATGGGCCGGACGTTCTTTCAAGGCTCTTCCTGCGCTGACATTCTGAGACTCTGTGGTTCTCATGTAAAAGGCCTGAGCACCAATACAGAACCTGGTCAGAGAGTTTCCAATCAACATGTTTTGCTTGCACCCAGGCTTGTGACTCACTAGGCATAACCTGTAGCAAGAATCCCCTTGCTGGGGAGGGGGACCTCCCTAGGGCAGAATGGGCAAATCCCAGAGTTCCTGAAGCTCAAGACACTGCAGGCATTTCCTATTTCCTGCATCCTCCCTTCACTTCTCCTATCCTGTCGTTCCTTTGAAAACTTAGAGTGAGCTCCGCAGACCACAAAGAACATGCTGCACTGTCTTCTGGGCATGCCACTCCTGAATGACAGTGTCCCCTACCATCTGGTCTCTCACAGACTCCAAGCCCCCAGCCCACTGTGCTCTCCACCCTCCACTCCGGCTGCCTGGGCCAGCCCCAGGACAGGTGAGAGAGCTCATCAGCAGAAACCACGAAGCCAGACACCATCCCTGCGGCCACCCTCTCCCAGCAACACACAGCCATGCCACGTGTTCCGAGGCTTAGGGGGTTGGCATCCAGGAGTGCTGCACACAAGAATAAACAATCTCATCTCTGAGTGTATATTTTGTCTTCATTATGCCACTGTGAAGGTGTTAATATACAACTTACAACATATTAATCACCCCTCTAACTTCCAAACGCTAAATGCATCATTAACATTCATGTTTTCTTCAATTACTTGGCTGTTCTGGGGGAAGGGAGCAAATCAGCTCCTCACTGAGTCACTCTCCTGTGGAAGGCTCACGGATCATAATAGGCAGTCCAGGCCTCCACCTGTATTGTGGAATGAGAGACTCCTGCTCCGAGCATCGCCATAAAAACAAAGCGAAACCAAGAAGCGAGAGACAGGAGAAGGCAGATGGGGAGGGAAGGAGGGATGCACACAAGGAGGAATCCCATGCATATCAAAGGCTCACAGAGACCAATCAGTCTAAGCCCTGCATTTCATAAATGAGAGGACTGGGGCTCGGAGAGGGGAAGTGACATGTCCAAGATCACACAGCAGGTTAGTGGAGAGAGCCGAGGAAAGGAGGGACAGGAAAACCAAGTGTAGAAGAGGAAAGAAAAAGCAGTAGAAGGAGAAAGGGGTAGAAGGCAGGTCCATTAAGATGTGCAGGCTGGGCGTATGGCTCATGCCTGTAATCCCAGCAATTTGGGAGGCCGAGGCAGATGGATCACCTGAGGTCAGGAGTTCGAGACCAGCCTGGCCAACATGGTGAAACCGCATCTGTACTAAAAATACAAAAATTAGCCAGGCAGGTGGCACGCACCTGTAGTCCCAGCTACTCAGGAGGCTGAGGCAGGAGAATTGCTGGAACCTGGGAGGCGGAGGTTGCAGTGAACCGAGACCTCCAGCCTGGGCAACAGAGCAAAACTCTGTCTCAAAAAAAAAAAAAAAAAAAAAAAAAAAAGCAACTGCAAAGATGGGGGAAAAGGGAAAGCAGAGAGGGAAAAACAAAGGTAGGGAAAGCTACCTTTGGGAAAGGGGAAAGGGGGAAAATGTCTCAAACAGCCAGGAGTGGAGGCACATGACCATGGTCCCAGCTACTTGGGAGGCTGAGGCAGGAAGATCAGAGGAGCCCAGGAGTTTGAGGTCACCCTGGGCAACACGGCAAGATGGCAAAAACAAACAGCTCTAAAAAAAAAAAAGTCTGAAACAGATGCAAGCCCAGAACTGTCTTCGACTTCACCCCCACCTGCCTGCACCCAGATCCCCGAGGTGGGAGGGGCTGGGGGAAAGAGAGAAAACTCTGAGAGGGACCAAACAGGCCCAACTGAAGCAGGAGGGGAGGCGCTGGGAGCACGCAGGGTTGGGCCTCCACCCCAGGCTTCAGATTGAGCCAGACTAAATATGACATGCAATTAAAATGTCATTACCCCACAATTGTGCAATCCAAACTTCACTTGGAATTTGTTACAGGCACTGGTGGCTACAAAATCAATCTGCTATTGTATTTCAGCAAATCAGATTCAACACTCTCCCTGCCAGTGGGTTGCAGACTAGCTCTGAATGGAAGAGGAAAGAAAAAAAGGCTCCTGCTGGCAGGTCACTTTTGTATCCACAGGCCGCCAGCCAGCCAGGCCTATCCACCTTGAAGAAGGAGCATCCAAGGTCAGGAGACACAGGCGCTTCCAGAAGGGTGGGGCTGGGGGCAGAGGAGCAGGGCAGGAGGTAGCAGGGTCAGCTTCTGGGGCACCTTCTGGGCCCTGCAGAGACACAAGCCCTGACAGTTGTTTGCACCGTAGTTAAAAACCCATATGCTTCATCACAACCTACACAGTGCTTTGAAAGGCATCATTCTTGTGAGTCTCACAACTTAGAAGGGGGGTCACTGCTTCCTCCACAATGAGGAAAAAGCCCTAGAGGGGTGAGGATCACAACCAAGGTCACCTCTCAGTATGGGTAGGGGCAGAGACTGTGTTACTGATGACAGCATTTAGCCCTGAAAAATACACATGCGTGCACACACACACAGAGTGTGGCCAGTGGGGCTGGCCCCAAGAGCCTTTGTAAATGTGTCCTCTTAGCCTAGTGATTTTGAGTCTTAGCAAGTATTCCTTGCACTCCGCCTCCCAGATTTCTCCTTTTCTTCCTATACTTTTTGTATAGATGGGGTCTCACTGCATTGTCCAGGCTGGTCTCAAACTCCTGGACTCAAGCAAGCCTCCCACATTCTCTAAGCTCACTGCTGCACTCCCAGCTGGCTGGAAGCCTGCAGCAGCCTCATTGCTGGCCTCCTGACCTCAGCCTCTCCTATCTCTGACCTTACACACCTTTTCCAGAATCATCTTCTAAAATGCCACTTTGACCTTGACACTTCCTTGCTCAAAAACCTCGTACAGCTGCCTCTCTGGCTTCTGCTCCTTACCACACGACTGAAAACATTCCCTGCAAAAGCCCCATGACCTCCTCATTGCCCAGCGAAAGCTTTTCCACCCTCACCTGATTTGACTCCTCTCGGCAGCCACTGTCTTTTCCAATCTCTTCCAACTGGCAACCACCCCCTGGAATCCAGGGTCTCACCTGCCCTCGTTTTTCCCTCCACCTTCTCCAGTTGCTCCTCAGTTGACTTGCCAGGCTTTCTTCCCCAGATTGTTCTATAAATTCCTGTGTTTCCCAGCTCTTTCCTCTCTCATCTGCTCTCTGCTCTTCTTAAGTGACTATAAGTGACACAATCTGGGCCCGTGGCTTTGGCTGCATCTCTACCCAAATAAAGCCCAAATCTGTGTCTCACGCCCACACCCCTCTCCTGGATTCCACACCCCATCAATCAACTTCCTGCTGGGTGCTTCCATGTGGCCAGCTTACAGGCACCCCAAACTCAACATGGCAAAGCTGAATTTGTCATCCCCTTTCTGCCCCCAAATGGCCACTCCCCCAAATTCTTTCTATCTGAATGGCATTTCCACCCAACGTGTGGTCCTGGGAATCAGACTTGACTCCTCCCTCCCCTCACCCACCGTGCAGATGCCCACAGGGCCCTGCCCCAGCCCCTTCCCCAAGCTGCAAGCACCTGGGCTCTCTTCATGAAGGCCTTCTCCCGGCCTCCTGCACACCAACGTGCTGTGGTGCTAAACACAGGTGCCCCTCCCTGCCTCACTGTGCCATTGCTGATTCCCATGATCGCCCCTCAACCAAACCCGTTACAATACAAGTCATTTTCTCAGGGTGTACTTTTGGGGAAACCCAGCCTAAGGGCCCACCAATACTGAACCGGTCACCACCATGCAGTCCACTTCCTGAATGTCTCCCCGAAGCCTGTCCTCCTCCTCCTCCTCATTTCTCACCTGGACCACTGAGCCGAGCCTCCCAACTGGCATCCTTGCCTCTGGTCTTGCCCTGCTCCAAACCATCCTCTCATCCAATGAATTGTGGCATTCCCTTGCCATCTCCAGGAGACCACCCAAATTCCATCACCTTTGTGGCTTCTAAGCCCTCTGTGACCTGCTCTTACCTCCTGGCCACCCTAAACTCCTACCAGGCCCCTCCGGAACCCTCCATCCCCAGCCATACAGAATAGCACCCAGCCTCAAAACATGCAGATTCCCCTCCATGCCACTGCTCCAGCAGCACGCCCTGACTGGAACGCCCTTATCCTCCTCGGCCATCTGCAAACTCATTCTTAGCTGAAGCCTGAGCTCAAGGGCTGTTCCTTCTCTAAAGTCTTTCCACGGCCCCATCACTCCCAGTCACCTCCGTGGGAGAACTGCATGCCCTCCTCTCCATGCTCACAGCTCCTAACGACACACTTCTCCCCCAACACCTGCGGCACTCTCATGCACAACAGCTTTCCATCGTAAAATCCCCAGGGCCTAGCTCAGTATCTAACACTTAGTAGGTGCTTCTTAAACCTCAGTTGCCAGCATGAGCAGATGAATGGACGGAATGAGTGTGCTCACAGGCCTGTGGGAGGACACAGTTTCTCCCCTCGGGCTCTACCCCTGGCTTGGCCACTGTCTGATGCGGAATCTAGAGATGTCTGGCAGAGACCTTGTCTTTCCTTCCACAAATGTTTACAGCGCTATGTAAATAACTCTCCCTGGGGATGATACATGTGGCCATTCTGCCCTGGGCCTGCCATGGTCCATGCCAACTGGGCCGTCAGGGTGGCTGCTCAAGTGAGACGCTGAGGAGCGTGGGTCTGCAGAGGAGGGGCGTGGGGAGGGGATTTAATACAACACTGTACGAGGACAAATCTGGGCCCCATGCCATGAAAAACGTGAATCTGTCCTTGACTTCAGTGGCAAATGAGGCGTCAAAACATATCAAAATGCGATATTCAATAAATGGACGTATTTAATATTTTATGAGACTGGAAATCAGTTACTGAAGGTTTGAATGATAAATCAAGCACCAAGCAGATGAACTTTTTCAAGTGTCTGCACCTGAAGGGTATCATTTCTCAGGAAGGGAGATGGGAGGAAAGAGAGAAAAAGAGGGCAAGAACAAGAAGCCTATTAGAAAAGGCATAGAGACCCCAGGTACACCCTCTCCCCAGCCACCGCCTGTGCGGTCTTTCCCTGCTGCCCACCAGCCTCATTGACCTGGCACAACTAAAGAACTTTCTCCATCCTACCAAAACCCTGTAACTTCCTTTGGAATTCCATTTAAGCAGCTTCCCTGACCCATGATCCCTCTTGCACCAGGCCCACGGCAAGCTTGTGCCACCTCTCCACGCTCTGTGCCCAGCGTGGCTGAAGGGCAGGGGGTTTTACACATCTACCTCCCTGCTATGCTGTAAGCTCTCTGAGGATGAAAACAAGGCCTCCCTCACTTCAATATCCTCCAGGGCCTGGAATGTCCCTGACACAAGGTAGAACCACAACCCATGTAGAATTTGGACTGAAAGAGGAAGCTCTTGCAGCAAAAGCCATGGACAACAGCTACAGAGGACCCACCCCACTCAGACGCTAAGCTGGGAACTTGCTGATGGCTGTCACACTGCTTCTTGATGTCATCCTCGCAAAGACCCCATGCTGTAAGTAGTATTTGTCTTATTTAACTGATGAGGAAAATGAGGCTCAGAGAGATTTTGTCCCCTGTGCCTAATTCTATTCTGTACACTTGGAGAGGGCAGGAGACTGGCCCACCTACTGTTGTAAGGGCAGAGCAGTGTCAAGTCTTCAAACACTTTATTGCATGAGTGATGCTGGTGCCTAGCCTCCCTCAAATACTCGTTTTGATATTTAACAGCCATCACTGACAAGTAACACGTTCATCTTTCCCAGGGGTCCCTAACTTGGCCAGTCATCAGTATCACTTGGAAAGTTTTTTAAAATTCAGACTTGGCTGTGCTGTGCGCACTGGCTCACGTCTGTAATCTCAATACTTTGGGAGGTCAAGGCGGGAGGTTGCTTGAGCCCAGGAGTTCAAGACCAGCCTGGGCAACATTAAAAATTAGGCAGGTACGGTGGTGCACACCAGTGGTCCCGGCTACTCGGGAGGCTGAGACAGGATAATTTCTTAAAGCCAAAAGGTAGAGGCTGTAGTGAGCCATGATCATACCACTGCACTCTGGCCTGGGCAACAGAGTGAGACCCTGTCTCAAATACATATATATATCAGACTTCCAGGCCCCACTTCTGGCCATTCCAAGTAAGTCTGAGGCAAGGTCTGGCCATACACATTGTTTTCTCTTATTAAAGCTCTCTGGATGACTCTGACAAAGAGGCAGATTTGGGAACCACCAATGCAGCCCTGTAAATCTATCTGGATCTTGATTCTGTTTTCTCCAGCTCTGGCTTATCGCTAACAGGGGCTGGCTGGCCCCTTCCTGGGACAGGGCTTCTGCTGTTTCTCACCACTCCCATGTTCTCTTTTCTCATGAAATCCTCCCCTGTCTGTATTTGTCTTCAGGTCACAGTTCCCACTGCTGGGCGATGACTGTGACCCTCTCCTATCTGACTTTAACTTCCCAGGTCTGGGCACAAGCCCAGTGAGGTCTTAAACCTGCCGGCCAGCCCATCTGGAAAGCCACCTTGGTAGCATAGTTAGCTTTGTCCAAACGGTGCTTCCCCATTCCTGACCAAGATGAGTGTTACCTTTATTTAGTTCATGCCTTCCTGAGATAGGAAAAGCAATGCGATGCCCAGGGGGTACCACCTGCTAACAGAGGGCTCCCCACACCTCGGCACCTCTGGCATCTGGGGCCAGATCATTCTTTGTGGCAGGGCTGCCCTGTGCACTGTAGAATGTTAGTAGCTTCCAAACGAAGGGGGGCAGATCATTCTTTTTTTTTTTTTTTTTTTTTTTTTTGAGAAGGAGTCTCGCTCTGTCGCCCAGGCTGGAGTGCAGTGGCGCGATCTCGGCTCACTGCAAGCTTCGCCTCCTGGGTTCATGCCATTCTCCTGCCTCAGCCTCCCGAGTAGCTGGGGCTACAGGTGCCCGCCACCACGCCTGGCTAATTTTTTTTGTATTTTTAGTAGAGACGGGGTTTCACCGTGTTAGCCAGGATGGTCTCGATCTCCTGACCTCGTGATCCGCCTTCCTCGGCCTCCCAAAGTGCTGGGGTTATAGGCATGAGCCACCGCACCCGGCCAGGGGCTAGATCATTCTTTGTGGCAGGGCTGCCCTATGCATTGTAGGATGTTAGCAGCTTCCCCCACCTCCACCCACCACGTGCCAGTAGCACCCCCTCTACTTGTGGCAACAAAAATGTCCTCAGATATTGCCAAACCTTCCCCCCAAATGAAAACCAAGGAGTTAAGCCCCATCAAGGGGTATGACGCTTGAAGGCAAAGGACTTGTCTTTGAACCCAAGCCCTGGGCCCTATGCCCGGCATGTGTTTCTTTATTTTCAAGATGGGGTCAGGGACATCTTCCAGGGCAGGCTTGTCGTGAGGCGTAAATGAGACTGATTTAAATAAAGCAAGGTGGATGATCATGCCTAGTACAAACTGGAGAGAGTTTTCAAAGGAGGGCTGAAAGAAAATGCCCACAGGCAGTACTGTGCAGGTAAACTGGCTCTGAAAAAATAAACAACGAACTGCAGAAATAAAAAGCCCTGATTTGTAGTGTTTGCTGACTTCTATGGTGGAATACACCCAAGATGGCCAATTTCAAGCTGCCAGCCTGATGTCACTGAAGGCAGAATCAGGGAGAGATGTGCAGATTCACACTCTCGAGCCGACCAAGCCAATAAAGTAAGTGTAGCCTGGCAGGTGTGTGGCCTCAGGGAGAGGTGGGCCTGTGGCCCATGGGAAAATGCCTGCCCTACCCACAGGCATTCAAAGTCATTGCCAAGCCAAACAAAACAGCAGCATGTCTGCACATGACCTATCTGCCAGTGGGACTCAGTCTCCCCATTTGTGACCTCAGCTCTGGAGATTCCCCATCAGAAGATCATCCCTCTGCCACCTTCCTCCTTCTCTCCTACCTTCAGGCCTGTATCGTCAGATCTAGCACTCTAATATTAATAAGACACTGGCCGGGTATGGTGGCTCATGCCTGTAATCCCAACACTTTGGGAGGCTGCGGCAGGAAGACTGTTTGAGGCCAGGAGTTCGAGACCAACCTAGGCAACATAGTGAGACCTTATCTCTACAAAACATAAAAAAATTAGCCAGGCCTGGTGGTGCACATCTGCAGTCTCAGCTACTGGGGAGGCTGAGACGGGAGGATTGCCTGAGCCCAGGAGTCCAAGGCTGCAGTGAGCTATGACTGCACCACTGCACTCCAGCCTGGACGACAGAGCGAGACTCTGTTTCAAATGCTAATAAGAAGAAGATACTAACGAAAATGCAGCCAGAAAACTAAGGCGAGACAGATACCCTCATACCCAGATAGGCCTTCAATCGGAACTATGGGCTTCGGGCTCAGCCAGTTCTGTGTTCAGAGCCTCCTCTGTCAACACTGGAGCATGCTCTTTTACTTCTCTGTGCCTTGGTTTACTCATCTGCAAAATGGGTTATCAATGCCTGTCCAAAAGGATTGAAATGAGGTGAGCCTGAGGGAATTTCTAGAAGCTGCCAGGCCAATTCCTTCCTTCCTCTTCAGGTGGGTCCTCATATGGCTACCCACCCATTCCCAGAGAGGGGCTGGCACTCCCTGAACAGTCCCCTGGGGAGCCAGCAGGATGGTAATCAATTCCTATAGGGCTCTGTTTGTCCACTAAATGGAGATTGGCTCCAGGAACAAAAACTCAATCAGTTGAGAATAGCAAAAAGATGTTTTCAACCTTTTTATCATTTTAGAGAAACTAGAAGGGGGGCCTCCACAGCTTGTCAAAAGCAACCAAGAAGAAAGAGGGGGCAATCTACGGAGCTGGCTCCCAGGGGCTTCCTGAACTATACTGTAAGGAGCCGCTGGATGAAAGAGGAGGATGAGAGCCCGGGGAAGGCAGCCCCGGGGTACCTGGCTGGGACTGAGCTGGGGAGAGGGACTCTGGCAAAATCAAAGAGAGAGGATCAATGGCTCAGAAGGTGAGGGTTCCATTTCAATCCTCCAGACCTGTAGGAGTCAGGGGTCACTGATAGCCTAGGGTTCCCCATTTAAAAAGAAGCCGCTTAGCCCACTGTACCAGAAAACTATATAAGAAGCTCACCCAGCTTCTTTATCCTTCATGCTGCTCTCTTCCTCTCATTCAGCCTGGACCAGGAACACAGAGGGCACAGCTCACTTCTGTTCCCATTCAGCTCTGAGTCATTTTCACCCCAAACTCAGTCACTTTGTATTTTATACTTCCCCCACACGTTGAGCCTACTTATTCCTTATTTATTTTGCTCATCTCAGCCCCTTTACTTCTGGGAGTGATTCCAACTTAAAAAAAAAAAAAAAAAAACCACACACACAACAACAACAGAACCAAAAAAAAACCAGTCAATTATGAGACAAGCTGCTTGCAAATGAGAAAAAGCCTCCCCTCCTCAATTTTGCGCCCCCCCACACCCCGCCTTAAACAGAGGGACCTGATCTTTAAACAAACAGCCACTAATGTGCTATGTGAATTGAATCATCAAGTCACTTGCCCTGTGTAGACCTTCCTGGACAAGGTTCTTTTGGGGTTTGTTTTTGTTTTCGTTTGAGATGGAGTCTCGCTCTGTTGCCCAGGCTGGAGTGCAGTGGCGCAATCTCGGCTCACTGCAACCGCCACCTCCCGAGTTCCAGTGATGCTCCTGCCTCAGCCTCCCCAGTAGCTGGGATTACAGGCGTGCACCACAAAGCCTGGCTAATTTTTGTATTTTTACTAGAGATGAGGTTTCACCATATTGGCCAGGCTGGTCTCAAACTCCTGACCTCAAGTGATCTACCTGCCTCGGCCTCCCAAAGTGCTGGGATTACAGACGTGAGCCACCACACCCAGCCCCTGGACCAAGTTCTTCTTGTCCAAAATGTGGGTGCTGTAATAGTTCTCATGAGTTTTGCTTGTTTGTTTGTGACAAGGTCTCACTCTGTCACCAGGCTAGAGTGCAGTGGCACGATCCGGCTCACTACAGCTTCCATCTCCCCAGGCTCAAGTGATCCTCCCACTCAGCCTCCTGAATAGCTGGAACTACAGGCGCATGCCACCACACCTTTTTGTATTTTTTGTAGGGATGGGATCTCAGTATGTTGCCCAGGCTGGTCTCAAACTCCTGGCCTCAAGTGATTTGCCTGCCTCAGCCTCCCAAAGTGCTAGGATTACAGGCATGAGCCACCATGCCCAGCCTCTCATGAGTTCTTAATCTTTTTGAAGGTCACTGACCTCTTTGAGAATCAGAACAAAGCTACAGATTTACCCCTTCCAATTTCACTTTCCATGCATATTTGTGATGCTGCCTGTAATGCCAGGGACTCCCAGAACCCCTGAAGATCTTCCTGGTGGGGAGAGGGTCCCCAGACCCCTGCCTCTGCACTCCTGGCTAGGATCTCCTCCAGTCCTGACTGTGGGAGGAAAACAAAGACCAGCATCCCTCCTCAGCCCTCTGTTCAAAGAGCAGAACAAAAACCAGGTGGGCTTTGCTGGGAGGCCCAGAGAGCAGGAACCCCATTTCCCTGAGTTAGCCTCAGGCACTGCCTCTGAAAGGCTGCCATTCAGGCAGCCAAAGCTGATTTGACATTTGTTTAATTCGCAGGAAAACTCTAGTTTTCTTTTTTTTTAAGACAGAGGGGGGAAAAACTCCCATAAAACCTCTTACTCTCTTGCCCTAATGGGACCCATAAAGGCTGACAGTGCACCAGGAATCAGCCACGCTGAGAAGCCGGAAGCCTGGTGGGTGGAGGTACCCTCCCGCTGTGGGAGGAGCAGCTTTAAGAGTCTCATTTTTCTGCAGGCCTTAGGGGCTCCCACATTGAAGGTCTCACCTTTCCCTTTCCCCAAACACACCTGAATCAGGGCTGCCAGCACTACTCTCCCTGGAACCTTCCACCCAAGGGCTTCGGCCACCTGCAGAGTGGGCGGATGGCAAGGTCGCTTCTAGAGCTTTTCTGATGCGCCAGGCCCCATGCTAGGTGCTCATGCCAGCATGAGAAAGCGTCAAACCTAAAACCAGCCTCTAATGTTCAAACATACTCTGGCTGCAAGAGACACCAAAAGCCTTTCTTTCACCTTTATGTCACGGGCTCTGGGGCAGGGGTTCCCTTGTGCTGAGTTTGACTTGCTCCTTGCTCGGGTGAGTCACCCAAGAAGGCTGAGCTTGGGGACAAGGCCCAAGGTGTTTGTAGCTCCTACTGCCTTTTCTCTCCCTGCTGAAAGGAGAGTTTCAGGGCAACCTGGAACTGAGGCCCACACCCCAGGAATACCCAAAGCTGGCAGCCTTGAAACTGGTTTTCACAAACCTCTGATCAAAGTACTTTCTGCACTGAAAACGGGGCACTATATCCCTGGAAGCACAAGAGGGAGGCTAGGGGGCTGAGAATACAGTAGCAGAGATGGAGCTGGCAAGACATCTAGAGACTCCATCACTGACTCATTCTTCTGAACCGTTCCTTCCTTCAAAGGGCCTAAAACCCTCTGGTCTTCATCTCCCAGATAACGGCGGAAACTCTGTTAAGTCCAGGTGGAGAAACCAGGGCATGCTGTGAGCCTGAGAAGAGGGCAGGCATGGGGCACCAATGTCCCCTCCTCCATCCCTGGAGCCTCAAGCCCAGAACAGGGACCTTCCCCACCACCAACTCCAAACATGCACTCCAGGTTCATCTGCAGCAGCTGGTCCAGGGAAATATTAATAACAATCATGAAAGGTAATGACTAGTTGTGAGAACAAGGATCAATTCAAAAGGGAAGTTGTGTTTTCACATTCTCTGCGTGTTTAAAAAACAGCAACACACGCATCAAACAAACAAAATGAGGCATCTGTCTGGCACAGCCTCGTGATATCCCGTCCAGATGTGGAAGCTCAGTAAGCCCCCTCTCCACACCCTTAGTTTACAGGACCAGGAGCTGTGAAATGGCCTTTGAAGAGTGGGTGTTACCCTTTGCAGTAACGCAGAATGACCACAAAGCCTTCCTCGTTCCTGCAGGCACACCCCTTCAAATGGGGCTTCTTGGCCCCTCCCATCAAGAGAAGGAGTCCATTATCCATCCCTTGAGTCTGGACTTGGACATATGACTTCCTTTGGCCAACCGGACATTAACAGACATGAAATAACAGAGGATGTAAAAAGTACTTAGGCATCAGGCTTCCCTCTTCTGCAAGATAGACAGGGTCCAAGCCAGCTCAGTTACTTTCAAAGAGGAAGAATGGATATCTACATCTACATGGACATGGAGAATGTGTGAGGAAGAGGTCAGGCCTGGGCGAGCCTCTTGGAAGATAAGAGGCCATGTGGTCCTTGCCACAGCTGATACTGAGGGAGGCCATCCCAGTTCCTGCAGCCCCAGACAACCTGGCCAAGACCAAAGGAGCCATCTAGCCAAACACAGAGCCATCAATAATAGTCAAGTTCATTGTCTTGAGCCACTAAGTTTTGGGGAGATTTGTCATATGGTGGGAGTTAACCACTATACCGTGCCATTCTCTGTCAAGGAAAAGAACTGGTTGGCTCCTCAGGGGGTGGGCAGGTTCCACCACGCAGGCCAGGAAATGTCCCTGGAGCCGATGGAGAAAGACCACAAACTCTGCACTGGAGGTTGAATTCAAACCACCGTTCTGCTACCTGCTATCCAGATGACCTTGGGCAAGACACTAACTCTGTGAGCCTCAGTTTCCTCATCTGCACAAGGGGCACAGCAAGCCGTTTCATAACGCTGCTGTGAGAAAGAAATGAGAGAATGGATGGAAAAAGTCGGATGCACAGCAAGGGCTCAACAGATGCTTGTGTCTCTTTTTTAATCAGTCAAATTCGATGGTCAAGGCATCTTCCACCTTGATTCCAGAAGAGTGGAAAGAACAGAAGGGGCCCAGACCAGCTCCAACTGCGAGGCCAAGGGAGCGCAGGAGGGGAAGTCTGTTGTTAAAACAGCCGCTTGGCTCTGTCGCTGAGGCACTTAGTTTTTAATCTCTCTGAGGAAAGAGACGTTTCATCCAACATTCACCGCATCAGCAACTCTCTAAGTAAAATGCAGAAAACATGACGTCTTTATTCATTCCATCAAGCAGTAATTAGGGCTCGGAACAGGAGTCTTCAACGGCAGGCACTCCCGCTCCTGAAAGTCAGGCAGGTTTCTAATTGGGCTGGAGAACAACTTTGGGGAGATCTCACAGAGGTCGCTAAAAGGGACTCATCCACAGTCACAATTTCCCTTTCGCTTTCAGATGCTTAGAGAAAAATTCGAATGCTGCACTGTATTAGGAAATCAGACAAAGCGGGGGGCTGCACTGAACAGGCAGCACGCATGGCCCACCACCTCAGGACCCCCACGGATCCCTGAATGCAAACACTCTGGCAAAGCGCACGGCTGAGGCAGCCAAGTAAGACTGAGAGGCAATTTGCTTTTTGTTCTTTAAAAAGAATCAGCTAGAGAAATTGCCTTTATGTGACACTGAGACTCTGCTGCCTGCCACGGGGCTCAGCTGGGGGCGCCCGGGGCTCGGTCAGAGAACAGGTCAGATCTTCACCTGTTGGGTAGTCAGCCAAGGAGGGAGAGGAAGGAGAGGGAACTGGCAACTGCCCAGCTCCCACCGTGTGCAGCCCCAAGAGGGGTGCTTTGCATACATGATCTCACTGCATCCTCCCCAGAACCCTCTGCGGGAAACATCATCTCCTCATCATGGTGGGAAGGCACTTGCCCCGTCACCCAGCAGGTAAGGAGCAGAACCAGATTGGAACCCAGGTGGAGAGGGAGCGGCCCCGCAAGGTGAGTGGAGCTGCCTCTGGCATCCAGGGGCCCAAGAACAAAGCTACCTGGGGCTGCCCTGGCATGAAGCTGTCATGTTCCCAGCTCTGGGAGCAGCCGTTGACTAAGCCAGGGGTCCTGAGGCCCCCAGTGCTTACATATATAGAAGCCCCAAGTGAGGGGAGAACTGGATGGAACACAAATCTCAGCCAGGCGCGGTGGCTCACACCTGTAATCTCAGCACTTTGGGAGGCCGAGGCGGATGGATCACTTGATGTCAGGAGTTCAAGACTAGCCTGGCCAACATGGTAAAACCCTGTCTCTACTAAAAATACAAAAATTAGCTGGGTGTGGTGGCGGGCACCTGTAATCCCAGCCACTCGGCAGGCTGAGGCAGGAGAATCACTTGAACCCAGGAGGCGGAGGTTGCAGTGAGCCAATATGGCGCCACTGCACTTCAGCCTGGGCGACAAAGTGACACTCTGTCTAAAAAAAAAAACAAAAACAAGTCTAACTGCTGAAGCCCCTTCTCAGACCCTCTGCCCTCATTTTCCCTACACATACTCTCCCTTACTTCTCCAGTGTGGCCCCTTCTCCATATGCTTTATAGAGAGACAGAGGCTTAGGCATAGAGACTTACATATAGACTTCAACGTAGACACATAGACATAAAGGCATAGACATACACACCTAGACACAGACATCCATCCTTCCCCTTTGGAAATAATTTTGCTGGCTTGAACCCCACTCTGTCCTTCTCCAGTCTCTCTCTGAAGCGCTCCCTAACACCCCATCTTCTACTTCCCTGGAAGATTTCATTGTTCCCTCATCGGTGTTCCCACAGCCTCTTTTCCCACACTCATCACGTTGCATTTTTTTTACTGGTTAATAGACCTGTCTCCCTTTCTAGAATGTAAGAATGGAGACAATTTCTTTTTCATCTTTATAACCTCAACACTTCACACAATGTGTGACACACAGTGGGCATTCAAAAATATTAATCAAAGGAACTAATTCAACAAATACTTTTTGAGCACCTACTACAGGCTGCATGCTAGGGATACGGTGACTTAAAAAAGCCATCCCGGTCGGGCACAGTGGCCCGTGCCTGTAATCCCAGCACTCTGGGAGGCCGAGACGGGCGGATTATTGAGGTCAAGAGTTCGAGATCAGCCTGGCCAACATGATGAAACACCGTCTCTACTAAAAATACAAAAATTAGCTGACCGTGGTGGCGCACGCCTGTAATCCCAGCTACTCAGGAGGGTGAGGCACAAGAATCGCTTGAACCCGGGAGGTGGAAGTTGCAGTGAGCTGAGATCACGCCACTGCACTCCAGCCCAGGCAACAGAGCAAGACTCCATCTCGAAAAATAGAAATAATAAATACAAAAGCAATCAGGGGCCTACAGTGCAGACTGGGAGGTGCTCTGCCTGCTGAGAGCAGTGTCCCCAGGGCACATGGTCAGCAGAGGGATGCTTCCAGGAAGAAGTGGAAGCTCAGCTGAGACCTACAGAAGAGTGGGAGGTGTCTGGGTGAAGGAGGAGAGCTGTTCCAGCAAACTGAGATGCATATGCAAAGACTAAAAAGTGACAGAGACTAAAGAACATTCTAGAAACCACCATTCCATGTGGCTAAAGTAGAAACTGTGAGAGGTCATCAAGCAGCAGAGGATAAGGTCAGGAAGATGAGCACCACTCCTCCATTCACGCCCTCAGTCAGTAAACAGGTGGTGAGCACCTTCCCTCTGCCATGCACCTTGTAAGGTGAGCAAAATACATACAGTCTCTGCCTTTATGGAACTTACAGTCTAGAGGGGAAGAAAAAAAGTATACCGAAAAAATAATTTCAAAATGTGCTAGGGGCTGTGGATGAAACTAACAAGAAGCAGACATAAAGAAAATAATACAGCAGAGAAACCTTTATGTGAAAACAATCTGAAACTTAAAGGATGTGTGAAAAGCAGGACGAAGAGTGCTCCAAACAGAGGGAATGGCGTGTGCACATCTCCCGAGGCAGGAGAGGGCACAGCACGACCACGGGCTGCAAGGCCAGGGAGAGTGGAACACAGCGAGCGGGAGGAAAGATACTGGTTAGGATGTGCTCAGCCACATGCAACAGACGGCCTTCCTAAATGTGGCTGGAACCATAAAGGCATTCATTATCCCTTTGAAGAGGAGGATGGCAACTTTGTGGTTGATCCTGAAACTCATCTGTGGCTTTAGAGGCCTGCTCCTTCCATCTGCCTTCCTCGGTATGTGGACAGTGTCTCCCTCGCTGGGGGTGGCTCCTCACCCTCCGACACCCCTAAAGCAGGAAGGACGCATGCAGGCATCTCCTCTTCACGAGTCACTCTCGTATGAGGGCAGCCCATCTTTCCCACAGCCACCAGCAGACATTCTCTTCAGTCCCACCACTTACCCCAATCAGTGGCAATGGAGTCATGGTACGGCTATGAGTGAATTGGATTAACCGTGGCCCAACTGCAGTGAATCACAGGAGGGCACACCTTCCCTGAAAATACCACCACCTCTTTCATGGAAGAAAAGTACCCTATATCTGAACAAAATCAGGCTTCTGCTGACATGGAAGATGGGAGGAAACAGCTGTTAGGAAGGCAACTGATCAAGAAGACAGTGCAAGAGGAGGCTGGAGAATTAGATGGGCCAGATCATACCCTATACGGCATTACAAGGGCCTTATAAGGCATGGCAAAGAGTTACGATTTTATTTATTTATTTATTATTTATTTATTTAGACAGGGTTGTGCTCTGCTGCCCAGGCTGAAGTGCAACGGTGCAAACACAGCTCACTGCAGCCTCAACCTCCCAGGCTCAGGCGATCCTCCCACCTCAGCCTCCTGAGTAGCTGGGACAACAGGTAAATGCCACTGGCTAATTTTTGTATATATATTTTTTAAGACACGGGGTCTCACCATGTTGCCCAAGCTGGTCTTCAACTCCTAGGTTCAAGCAATCTGCCGGCCTTGGCCTCCCAAAATACTGGGATTACAGGCATGAGCCACTGCGCCCAGCAGGATTTTATTCTAAGGGTAATGAATAGCTACTGAAAGGTTTGAAGCACAAGAGTAGCATGAAACAATTTAAATGATGTATTTGAAATGCATAGTTTTTAAAATGCTGTGCTGTGTGAAGAACAAGGAACAAGAGAAGTGGAAGGAGAAAAACCAATTAGGAGGCTACTGTCTTAGGTCAGAGGAGAGATGGTGGTGGCCTGGACTGAAGGGTGGCAGGGCAAGTGGAGAGAGAGAAGGGTATAAATTTGAGGCACCTGCTGGAGGTAAATTGGCAGGACTTGGTGGGGTATGGGATGTGGAGAGTGAGAGAACGGAGAGATCAGGAATGACTCCCATTCTTTTGGTCTTGTAAACTGGTGGACAATTGTGCCATTTACTGAGATGGGGAAAGAGGTAGAAACAGATTTGGGAAGAGGAATAAAGTGGTTTTCCATGTTTAGGATATATGGAGGATATTCAAATGAAAAAGTCAAGTAGATAGATAGATGGAACTGCTAGAACAGCACTCAGGAGAGAAAGTTGGAGGTCATCACTGTATAGATGGTATTGAAAGTGTGGCAATAGGTGAGTTCACTCAGAGAGAATATACAGTTAGAGAAGTGGGGGGCAAGGCTTGGGACATCCGACATTTAGACAGGAGTAAAGGGGGAGTCAACAGAAAGGGATACGAGAAAGACAGACCTGAGATGGGGGAAGCAGGAGGAATGGAGTGTTGAGAGCCTGGAGAAAGTGTCTCGAGGGAGGAGGGAAGTGTCGAATGCTGCTGAGAACCAAGATGAGGACAGCAGAGTGTCCACAGGATTGGGCAACATGGAAGCTACTAGCGACCTCCCCAAGCTGTTGAGTGGATTGGTGGGGCAGCCGCCAGATTGAAGTGGGCAGGAGAGTGATCGGGAGGTGAAGTGGAGGCAGTGTATGCCCACAACTCTTCTGAGTTGTTTGGCTACAAAAGGGAGCAGAAATGGAACAGAAGAAGAGGTACAACTGCAGGCGGCTTTTTTTTTTTTTTTTTTGAGACAGAGTCAGGCTCTGTTGCCCCAGCTGGAATGCAATGCGCGATCTTGGCTCACCACAACCTCTGCCTCCCGGGTTCAAGCGATTCTCCCACCTCAGCCTCCTGAGTAGGTGGGATTACAGGAGTGCGCCACCAGCCCAGCTGATTTTTTGTATTTTTAGTAGAGACGGGATTTCGCCATGTTGGGCAGGCTGGTCTTGAACTCCTGACCTCAGGTGATCTGCCCGCCTGGGCCTCCCAAAGTGCTGGGATTACAGGTGTGAACCACCACACCCAGCCAGCTTTTTCAAAGATGACAGAGAACAGAGCACATCCCTGCCTTGCTGCGAATGATCCAAAGGTGAGATCCCTGAGAAGGTGAGGGGCTGGGAGGCAGACATGCGGACGGCCAGCCCCTCAGAGTTGCAGGAGGGGCACATGTGGGTGGGAGGTCAGGCGGGCTTGCAGAGTTCAGGGTGTAAAGGGGCTCCAGTCTGATGTCTTCTGCTTCCTCCCTGAAGGCTGAGGTGAGATGCTGCGCTCAGAGGGAGGGTGTGGGAAGTGCTGAGGGAGATCTGAAGCCAGAGGAGGCAGGAAATCCAAGCTTTGGGGAGTAGAAAGGGAGTCCACAAGAGAAACATCATTCGATAAAAAATCTCAAAAGCCCCCTGCATTGAACTATGATTTTCAGTTAGGAAATCTTCCAGCCCAACGGAATGCAGTACCGAGCAGAGGAGAGAATCAACTGGGAAACTAGCACAGCAAGCTTCGTTCTTGTTCTCAGGGTTCGTCATTAAAGAAAAACAGGTACAATCACGTAGGGGGTGCCAGGCCATCGTAGGACGGCGGCCATCTCCGAAGAGGCGTGTGCACACACACGTTAGCAGGTCAGACGGCATTTCCCCATGGACTTCCGCACAAGTTCTGGGCTGCTTCATCATCTTTTCAGAAGGATCTGTAATTGGCACTGATTCTTAAGCTTGAACATAAAGTTTTCCAGTCCCTAAAGCCTCTCTGTCAAGTACTTAATGACCTGTAAAACACTTAAATAAACCAAAAGATCTCTGATTTTAAGGACCCCAGCAGCAAATCTTTTTCTGTAAAGCAAGGTCTTTTGTGATGTAAATGACCTCCACCTATTGGATTTTCCTAAAGAGAGGTCCACCTGCATTCTAGGGCTTTGTGACCTGAGTGGAGCCTGCACGAGTGGTTTGTACTGACATCTTTTATTTCCTAGGACACTGATACACATCTGCTCAAATTAATTACTCTTCCAAGATCTCTCCCCTGATTCAGCTGGTGGGAATAACAGTCCCTGTGCCGATGCAAATACAGAAGAGGAGGGAGGGATGCAAGAAGAGGAGGAGGGATGCAGGAGGAAGAGGCATGGACTAGGCATTGTGCAGCTTATTTTATAAAAATGCAAGCATCAGCACTTCACTTGTACCCAAAATGTTTGTCTATGAGCATCAATCCATAGGCAAACACACAACAGAGCTGTCTAGGACAAAGAGACAGAGGAAAAAGCTGGGTACATTCATCCCTAGTACTGACTAGGGGAACTTCTGAGAAGAGGCTGTGGTGGAGGGAAGAGGGAAGAAGGCAAAAAGCCCAGAGGAGGCAGAAGGCAGCTGGGGTGCACACTGAGTGTATGCTACAGTTAACCCTTACAACACGCTTTTACATTAAATTCTAACCTTATTAGTGCTATGGCTAGTGGGAAGACACCAAGAGGAAGAGTGAACATGGGATGGAGTTGGATCGAGAAGGCAGCCATGGGATGGTGCCCTATTAAGGCATCAGCTTCCCTGCCAACCAGTAGCACAGTCATGCCTAGGCCCATCTGCCAGCATCACAGCCCAGCTACATACAGGCTTGGGAGGCAGGGTCAAGGGGCATCCACCAGCCCCAGGTGAGTCCTAGTGATGCCTCCCTGCCTCCTGACATCCAGGTGCACAGCCATGCCCAGGTCCATCTCCTCCCTTGACTGTGGGAGACACCACCTGGGTACCTCCCACAGTCAAGGGAGGAGATGTGCAAGGGAAGCAGAGACGATAAATTCAGACACCATGGTCCTATTCTTTCACATGTGGCTGGATCGCGCAGTATGGTGACTTGCCTCCATTTACGCTTCCAGTGTGAGAAGGAAGCAGGTGAAGCAGCCAGATCTCCTGTGATTTAACCACTAAACATAACACCTCTTGGCAATGACCATCATCATTTGGGAGTGTCCTGGGCCTCAGGTGAGAGTCGGCCTACAGAAACCCCGGGAAGGATGGAAGCCGGGGATTCGTTAAGTCCCTTAACCCTCAACAGCTTCATTTAACCTGCCAGGAGGACAGAGATAGCAGTACCCATCTCAGAGGTTGCTGAATCAACAATCTGTATAAATCACTTAGCAAGGTGCCTGGCATATACTAAGTATTCCACAAATGAAAGGCTAGCCAAGGCCTAGAGGCAAGGACCCTGTGGCAGAAGCTGCTTCTGAGGGGCCTAAAATCCCTGAGTCATGCTTGAGTCACCATATGGTGAGCCTTGGGGTTCCCAAAGAAGAGGCCTGAGTCCAAATCAAGGGAATGAGCAAAGCATATTTATTCATCCATTTATTCACTCTACAATTGAAGCGAGTGCCAATTACATTCCAGGCACTGTGCTCAGCCTAGAAATACAGCAATAATCACAATGCTACGCCAGCAGCCGGGTGCACCTGGATGTCAGGGTGCAGGGAGGCATCGATAGGACTCATCTAGGGCTGCAGACCCAGGCCACCAGACTAACATGTAAGGCCAAGTGCTAGTTCCAGGTAAGAGAGCAGATTCTGCAAGACAATTTCATTCCAATTCAGACAAAGCCTGTGGCTGGGAGGAAATGTTCTGCCCAGGCAGAATGAATTCAGTGCTAAGGCCTGCAGGTGGAGGCCTCCTGGGGCCAGATGAGAGGAAGCAGAGGCAGGGGTAAGGTGTAAGGTCAAGGTGAAGGCAGGGTGTCAGGGGCAAGGTGCAGGGTCATGAGTAGGGTGCAGGGTCAGGGGTAAGGTGAAGGCTCTGGTTGAAACACTAAAGAGAAAGAAGAAAAAGGCAATGAAAGGAATCCTTCATGGATGAAAAACGCATTGAAACACACCCTCCTTCCCAGCTCCAGACCTTGGCCTTGGACACAGCTATGTCCTTGAACCAGCAGGATGCATGGGTCAAAAGCACTGAAAGCTGCCTCTGCCTCTCTTTGGCTGTGTTACCCTGCAACCCTCACCTCCCTCCCTGGGCCTCAGGGGATTGGGTCCAATGACCTTTGAGGTCCTTTCCTGCTCTGGCCTTCTAGGAGTGAAGGGATAAAGAAGTGTGAAAATGCCAGCTGCCCAAGCAGGACTGTGTGTGTCCCTCTGGCCTTTTTGGCTATCAATACCTTTTAAATATATATGAAAAGAGACAAATGTGCCTGTCTCCTGTTGAGGCCGGGAATTGTGATGATAGGAGATGCTGGGCAGGCAGCGGGTGGTGAGAGACCTGAGGGTTCGGGGAGGGTTACGCTTTGCTTTCTGGGTTCCCTTAGGAGCCAAGGAATGCAAAAGGAATGCTCCCAGAGCAAACGGTGGCCGCTGGCTGAAGGATTTTGTTCAGATTTCCAACGTCCTGAGCCCTGTCCTGCAGGAGTTGCATCTAATTCAAGAGACTCGACTGCTATAGTGAGACACGGGTGGCCAGCAGCGTGGAGGTTCCGAGGGCTGAGCTAGCAGGAGTTCCCAAGCTTTATCTTCAGTCAAAAGCAGGTGTATCCAATCTGTCAAGCCCTCTCTAGAAAAGCCCTTGGCATTTAGATGGTGGCCAAGGTAGGATTTTGACTTCTCCTAGGAAGAAATAAGGGCTGTATACCTACAGCCTGCCAACTGCGTTATGGTTGGCCTAGGCAGTAAATTAAAACGATGTAGTGCAGCGGCTCTCAAGGTGTGGTCCCCAGACCAGCAGTGTGAGCATGAGTGTCACCTAGAAACGTGTTAGAAATGCAAATTCTTGAGCCTATTACAAGTTGTTTAGCCACTACTGCCTTCAGCTTGGCCTGCTTGGTGCATGTCACCACTCAGTTGAGGCCCAGAGGGCATCTGATTTTTCCAACCCTTAGCAGAGAAGGTAGTTCCATCCTGAGCAAAACTTCCTGGCAGTGTCCTGATACCACAGCCTCTCTGCACCATCTGCTCATAAAGCCTCCTCGTTATTTCTAGAATAAAGTCCCAACTTTCTTGACCTGAAAGCCAAGGCTCTTCTAGACTTTCCAGACCCAGCCAACATTTGCACTCTTAGCTCTACCCCCTATACCGACAGTTCTCAACTGGAGACACCTTGGCTACCCAGGAGACATGCAGTGAGTCTAGAATTGTGCTTGGTTATCACAAATTGGGGGCTACAGGGCGTGCTACTGGCATCTGGTGGGTAGAGGCCAGGGAGACTGCCAAACACCCTAGAGTACACAGGAGAGCACCCCCACAACAAGGAATTGTGCGGCCCAAAATGTTGAGAAGCCTGCCCTATACTATCCCCTGCCGCCAAACTCTTCCGTTCATTATTCCAACTGTGTGGTCCTTTGACTTACACCCTTGACCTCCTGGGATGCCTCCCGGCAGCCACCACCCCTCACTGAGTCCTCCCACAAACCCCACTTCTGCTGTCAGGCTTTCCTGACCAGTCTGGATCGCAGTAAGTCCCTGCTGAAAACCTACTCAAAAATTAGCCAAGGAAAGACCCTGTGTCGTGCCTGCGGTCTCCCCATCCCATTGAGACCATAGAGGGCCCACTGCATTGTTCCCTCTATGCCTGAACAGAGTAAGTACCAGGTATGTGCTGGGTGACTGGTGGCCAGGCAAAAAGGAAAGGAGTTGGCTGGCAGGATGATCACCTCTTCCTAAAACTCCCACTTCAAGAACACCATACTCCAAGAAGCCTCCCGCAAATAGATCTTGAACTGGGGTACTGAGAAACCAGAGGGCCAGAAGCTATTTCACCTCCTCCTGGATTCCGGGTGGCCCCAGGAGCGGGCCAAGCCCAGCCACACACCAGCAGAGACAGGTGCTCTGGACATCTCTGTCTCGTGCCCCTCTGGCCGCCCACACACCTGCCCTCCTGAATTTGCAGCCCACCCCCAGTCAGTGTGTCACAGCTCACAGTCTGGAGTGATAAATTCATGAATACAGTTTGACAAATCCCGGCAGCCAAGTGACTGACAGCGGTTTTCATACTGAGCCCTGCAGAGCTGGAATAATTATGCCATATCAGGATGGAATTAGAAAGATCTCTTAATAATGCAGCTAGTTGCTCCGGCAGTGGCATCCTTGTCCAACAAGGCCCTGCTCCTCCCACCCAATTCAAAAGGCAGCTCACTAGCCTTCTGGTGCCTGTGCCACCCCACAGACTTACTCAGCACCAGAGCTGACTGGTACCTGGCCAGGTAGTCCAGCAGGCCTAAAATCCCCAAGACTAAGCGTAGCTGACCACTGGCTGAGCCATGGCGAGGCTGGCCTTGCAAACGGTCTAGGATGAATGGGCTGGGCCTGAAAATCAACCCTAAAGAGCTCCTGACTTGCTCCCCTCACAAGTTACTGGTCCAAGCACCTTAACATGCCCATTCCTACCTAGAACTCCATTCTGGAGACATCATGATAATAATAACTACATATGTCTGACACTGTGCCAAGCGATTTACATATGCTATGTCATTACATACCATTATCCCTATTTTGAGTGTCACAGATTTTAAGTAACTTTTCCCAGGTGACACATGCAATAAATGGCAGAGCTAAGATTCAAACCCTGAGCTATCTGATCCAAAGCTCACGGTCTCCTTTCCATGTGACATTATAAGATTTTTTTCCATGTCAAAGTAGCTCCAAGTTTCCCTCCAATCACGTACTCACACTGGCCGCGGTGCCTTCCCCAGGGGCCTCTCACCCCGATTGTCGGTGTCGTTATATTAGGGCTTCTTTTCATTCCAGTTCCCCTTATATCATCTCTGCCTGGCTTTATAAAACAGCCCCATCATAAACATCAGCTTGATTACAAGCAGAGACTGCCGCCTCTAATAAATAAGCATGTGTAATGCATACAGAGAGAGAAAGAGACACCTCTATATTTTCAGTTTTGTAAAGACAAATCGCCTCGATTGTTTAATCAATAAAAATGCCTCTCTAACTCCTACTGTTATTACAAAGCAATTTCAGACAGAGCGAAGAAACAGCATCACATCTGTATTCCTGACAGGGTCTGATTAGGCCAATGGATGAGGCATCAGACCTGACACCAGTTCCCTGAAGGCCAGAATCTGGACCTCCCCTCACTACTATGCCTGGGGCAGCGCGACTGCAGGGCCTGATCCTAACCACACATCAGGAATGGAGAGGCTAAAGCAGGGAGAGGTTTCTCGGCACCCTGGGGCTTGATCAAATCAGGGATCCCTAGGGACAAACATACTCTCCAGGTCGGAGGAAGGGTCCCCTTGCTGTGGGACAGAGGGAAGGGAGACTACAACAGGAAGACAAGGTCACCCGAATGTCCCATTGTCACCTCTCACTTCCCATCCCAAGCACCGCTGAGTCCACACACTCGGCATCTGGCAGTAAAGGAGAACTCCTCGCTGATCTTCCTGTCTCCTCTAATTCACACCAAGGCCCTGGTGACCCACCTAAAACATGTCTCTGAGGAAGGAAGCAATAGGCACTCCCTTACAGCAGGCTTTTCATTAATTCCCCAGTGTCTATGTGGGAAAGTCCAAACTGCTCTCCCTAAATGAAGGCCCTTCCTGAACTGGCCCTGCTTTCTCTCCCAGCCTCATCGCCTGTCCTCCTCCCCATGCACCTTTCCCCCGGCTACTCTAAACTCTTTTCAATTTCCTCATCACCCTACACTTCATGCCCCTAAACCTTTGCATATTCTGGTACTTCCCCTGAAAAACCACCCCCTAGATTATCTCTTGGCAAACTCCTCTTCATCCTTCAAGACCCACTCACATGACCTCCCCTAAGGCTCTTCCCTACTCCCCCATGTACTCCACCCAGAGCTCCTGCTACAACTACAGCTCCATGGCTGTATTCAACACGTGTCCAAGTGTCAGCTCACACACCTGTCTGTGTATGCCAATGCTTTGCAAAATGCCTATCTCCAGCTCTTACCTCTGTCCTGAACTCCAGACTCATATGTCCAGCTGTCTCCTGGACACTCTTATGCCCCATGGGCATCTCTAAAACACAACTCTGAATTCCCAACTGCTAAAGGTGCTTCTCTCCAAGACCCTCCCATCTTAGAAATGGCACCCTGACCCAATCAGTTTCTCAAGCCAGAACTCAGTCACCATTAGTTCCTCCCCCTCCTTCATGTTCCACATCCAAAATCACACCTTGTCAATCCTTATCTCAAAAACGTATCTAGAGGAAGGATAGACTTTTCAACAAATGGTGCTAAAATGATTGGATACCCATTTGCAAAAAAAAAAAACAAAAACAAAAAAAGAACTTTAATCCATACTTCTCACCATATGCAAAAATAACTCAAACTAGATCAGAGTAGAAGAAAACACTTGTGATCTTGGATTAGGCAATACTCAGATACAATACCAAAAGTACAATGTATAAAAGAAAAAATAATAAATTAGACTTTATCAAAGTTAACTACTGTTCTTCGAAAGGCACTATTAAGAGAATGGAAAGGGCACGGCACAGTAGCTCACACCTGTAATCCCAGCTACTCAGGAGGCTAAGGCACCAGAATCGCTTGAACCAGGAGGCAGAGGTTGCAGTGAGCTGAGATAGGTCCACTGCACCTCGGCCTGGGCTACAGAGTGAGACTCTGTCTCACAAAAAAAAAGAAAAAAAAAAAAGAGAGAGAGAGGGAGAGAGAGAATGAAAAGAACTCAGAAGAATTTAAAGCATAGTCTCAAAGAGATATGTGTGTACCCATGTTCACAGCACCATTATTCACAATAGCCAAGTTGTGGAAGCAACCCAAGGGTCCATTGACAGATGCATGGATAAACAAAGTGGGGTATAAACATACAATGGAATATTATTCAACCTTAAAAAAGACGGAAAGTCTTACTGAATCTATTCCAAAAAATTAAAGAGGAGGGACTCCTCCCTAACTCATTCTGTGAGGTCAGCATCATTCTGATACCAAAACCTGGCACAGACACAACAAAAAAAGACAATTTCAGGCCAATATCCTGGATGAACACATTAACAGATGCAAAAATCCTCAACAAAATACTAGCAAACCAAATCCAGCAGCACATCAAAAAGCTAATCTACCATGATCAAGTAGGCTTTATCCCTGGGATGCAAGGTTGGTTCAAATCAATAAATGTAATTCACCACATAAACAGAACTAAAAACAAAAACCATATGATCATCTCAATAGATGCAGAAAAGGCTTTTCATAAAATTCAACATCATTTCGTGTTAACAACCCTCAACACACTATGCACTGAAGGAACATACCTCAAACTAATGAGCCACTGATACAGTTTGGATATTTGTCCTGCCCAAATCTCACTTGAAATGTAATCCCCAGTGTTGGAGGTGGAGCCTGGTGGAATGTGACTGGATCATGAGGGTGGATCCCTTGTGGTTTGGTGCTGTCTTCACAATAGTGAGTTCTCATGAGATCTGGTCATTTAAAAGTGTATGGCAACTCCCCTTACCTCTCTCTCTGTCTCTGTCTCTATCTCACTCACTCCCACTTTCACCATGTAACTGCCTGCTCCCTCTTCACCTTCCACCATGATTGTAAGCTTCCTGAGGCCTCCCTAGAAGCTGAGCAGATACCAGCACCATGCTTCCTGTAAAGCCTGCAGATCTGTGAGCCAATTAAACCTATTTTATTTATAAATTACCAGTCTCAGGTATTTCTTTATAGCAATGCAAGAATGGCCTAATACAGTCATCTATAACAAAACCACAGGCAACATAATACTGAATGGAGCAAAAGCTGGAAGCATTCCCCTGCAGTACTAGAACAAGACAAGGATGGCTACTCTCACCACTCCTATTAACATAGTTCTAGAAGTCTTAGCCAGAGCAATCAGACAAGAGAAAGGATCCCCACAGTCTCTGCTCAAAAGCTCCTAGAGCTGTTAAACAACTTCAGCAAAGTTTCAGGATACAAAATCAATGTACAAAATCAGTAGCATTTCTATACACCAACAACGTCCAAGATGAAAGCCAAATCAAGAGTACGATTCTATTCACAATAGCCACAAAAAGAATAAAATACCTAGGAATACAGCTAACCAGGGAGGTGAAAGATCCCTACAACAAGAATTACAAAACACTGCTGAAAGATATCAGAGATGACATAAACAAATGGAAAAACATTCCATGTTCATGAATAGAAAGACTCAATATTGTTAAAATGGCCATACTGCCCAAAGCAATCTACAGATTCAATGCTATCCCTATCAAACTACCAATGACATTCTTCACAGAACTAGGAAAAACTGTTTTAAAATTCATATGCAACCAAAAAAGTGTTTGAAAAGCCAAAGCAATCCTAAGCAAAAAGAACAAAGCTGGAGGCATCCTGTTACCTGACTTCAAACTACACTACATGGTTACAGTAAACAAAACAGCATGGTACTGGTACACAAAACAGAAACATAGACCAATGGAACAGAATAGAGAGCCTCGTCCTTACACCAAATACAAAAATCAACTCAAGATGGATTAAGGACTTAAATATAAAACCTAAAACTATAAAAACCCTGGAAGATAACCTAGGAAATACCATTCTGGACATAGGCATTGGCAAAGATTTCATGATGGAGACACCAAAAGCAACTCCAACAGAAACAAAAATTGATAAATGGAAACTACTTAAACTAAAGAGCTTCTGCACAGCAAAAGAAACTATCAACAGAGTAAACAGACAACCTATACAATGGAAGAAAATATTTGCAAACTATGTATCCAACAAAGGTCTAATATCCAGAATCTATAAGGAACTTAAATTAACAAGCAAAAACCAAACAACCTCATTAAAAAGTGGGCAAAGGACATCAACAGACACTTTTCAAAAGAAGACATATATGTGGCCAACAAGCATGAAAAAATGCTCAACATCACGAATCATTAGAGAAATGCAAATCAAAACCGCAAGGCGATATCATCTCACACCAGTCTGAATGGCCATTAAAAAGTAAAAAAATAACAGATGCTGCTGAGGTTGCAGAGAAAAGGGAACACGTATACACTGCTGGTGGGAATGTAAATTAATTCAGCCATTGTGGAAACCAGTGTGGCAATTTCTCCAGGAACTTAGAATTAACATTTGACCCAGCAATCCCATTATTGGGTATATACCCAAAGAAATATACATTTTTCTACCATAAAGACACATACATGCATGCATATGTTCACTGAAGCACTATTCACAATAGCAAAGACATGGAATCAACCTAAATGCCCATCAACGGTAGACTGGATAAAGAAAATGTGGTACATATACACCATGGAATACTACGCAGCCATAAAAAAGAACAAGGTAATGTCCTTCGCAGCAACATGGATGGAGCTGGAGGCCATTATTCTAAGCAAACTAACATGAGAACAGAAAACCAAATACTGCATGTTCTTACTTATAAGTGGGTGCTAACACACTAATGGCAAAAACTGCAATTACTTTTGCACCAACCTAATAAATGCTGAATACACATGGACACAAAGAAGGGAACAACAGACAGCAAAGCCTACTCGAGGGCAGGGGGTGAGAGGAGGGAGAAGACTAAAAACTACCTATCAGGTACTATACTTATTACCTCGGCGATGAAATAGTCTGACCACCAAACCCCCATGACATGCAATTTACCTATATAACAAACCTACACATGTACCCCTAAACCTAAAATACAAGTTTTATATATATACACATATATACATACGTATAATGTATATGTATATATATACATACTATTTAAAAAAAAAAAAAGAAACAAAGACTGTTATTACTTTTCAGGCCTGGGTATCTGAATGGCCCTATAGATGCTCATGGTAGAAGAAACTTCTGTTAGGTTCTTCTCAAGCCTGCCTACAAACTATTCTTAGTGTGAAAAATCTTCCATTCAGGCTGGGCGCGGTGGCTCATGCCTGTAATCCCAGCACTTTGGGAGGCTGAGGCAGGCAGATCACGAGGTCAGGAGATCGAGACCATCCTGGCTAACACAGTGAAACCCCGTCTCTACTAAAAATATTAAAAAGTTAGCCGGGCGTGGTGGTGGGCACCTGTAGTCCCAGCTACTAGGGAGGCTGAGGCAGAAGAATGGCGTGAACCCGGGAGGTGGAGCTTGCAGTGAGCCGAGATCACGCCACTGCACTCCAGCCTGGGCAACAGAGCAAGACTCCGTCTCAAAAAAAAAAGAAAAAAAGAAAAATCTTCCACTCACTGAAATAAAACAGTACATGATGAACTATTCAGAAAAAAAAAAGGAAGGAAATTCTGACACATGTTACAACATGAATGAACCTTGAGGACATTATGATAACTGAAATAAGCCCGTCGCAAAAAGGCAAATGCTATATGAGTCCACTTACATGAGGTATCTAGAGTAGTCAAATTCACAGAGACAGACAGAATGGTGTTCTCTAGGAACCGAGGGGAAGAGGGAATGAGGAGTTGTTATTTAATGGGTACAGAGTTTCAGTTTTGCAAGATTGAAAGAGCTCTAGAGACTGATTGCACAACAACATGATGGTACTTAACACTGCTGAACTGTACATTTAAAATGGTTGAGATAATAAATTTTATGTTATGTGTATTTTACTACAATTAAAAACAAGAAACTACAAAATCTGGACCATCAAACTAAGATTCTCCAAGAGGCTGTCTTCTGAAACCGTTCTCTAAATGACAGTAAAGGAAGTGTCTGTGTCAAGGAATTACATATGTTTTAATCCTTGCTCTATTTTCATAAGTATACTTGGTCTTGTAATTTAAAGAAGACAGAGAGAGAGAAAATGAAAAGACAAGCCATAGACTGGGAGAAATTATTTGCAAATCTCACATCTGATAAAGGACTTGTATCTGGAATATATAAAGAACTCTCAAAATGCAATAATAACAACCAATATAAAAATGTACAAAAGACTGAAAGATACTTCACCAAGAAAAGATACAGGGTTGGCAAATAAACAGATGAAAAGACACATCTTAAGTCGCTAGGGAAATGCAAATTAAAACTACCATGAGATACAACCATACGCCTCATAAAACGGAGAAACAAAATTTTTAAGATTTGTTTTAAGGATAATACTAGTGAGGATGCAAAGCAACTGGAACTCTCATGCGTTGGTGATAGGAAGGGAAAATGGCACAGCCACCACAGAGATCAGGTTGGCAGCTTCTTAGGAAGCTAAACATACACTTACCATATAGAACCCACACCTAAGTATTTACCCTAGAGAAATGAAAACTTAGGTTCACATCAATGTCTGTACTCAAAACCGGGTGCAGTTGCTCATGCCTGTAGTCCCAGCTACCGGGGAGGCTGAGGCAGTAGGATCGCTACACCCTAGGAGGCAGAGGTTGCAGGGAACTATGATTGTACCACTGCACTCCAGCCTGGATGACAGAGCAAAACCCTGTTTCTAAAAAAAAAAAAGAAAGGAGGCCAGGCATGGTGGCTCACACCTGTAATCCCAGCACTTTGGTAAGAACAGATCACTGAGGTCAGAAGTTTGAGACCAGCCTGGCCAACATGGAGAAACCCTGTTTCTACTAAAAGTACAGAAATTAGCTAGGCATGGTGGTGTGCACCTGTAATCCCAGCTACTTAGGAGGCTGAGGCAGGAGAATCACTTGAACCCGGGAGGTGGAGATTGCAGTGAGCCAAGATCGCGCCACTGCACTCCAGTGTGGGTGACAGAGTGAGACTCTGTCTCAAAAAAATAAATAAAGAAAGAAAGGAAAGAAAGAAAGAAAAAGAAAGAAAGAAAGAAAGAAAGAAAGAAAGAAAGAAAGAAAGAAAGAAAGAAAGAACCCTTGTACTCAAATGTGTAGAACAGCCTTATTTGAAATTGTCAAAAACTGAAAACAATCCAAACGTCCTTCAACGGGTAAATGAATAAACAAACTGGCATTTCTGCACAATGGAATACTATCCAGCAATAAAAAGGAATGAACTACTCACATATGCAGCAACATGGATAAATCTCAAATACATTATGCCAAGTGGAAGAAGCCAGACTCAGAAAGCTATATACTATGTGATTCTATTTATATGACATTCTGAACACGATCAGTGGTCGCCAAGGGTGGGAGGTGGGGAGGGAGTGTGACTGCCGGGGGTGTGGGGGAATTTGGCAGGTGACGGAGATGTTCCATATCTTGATTGTGGTGGTGGTTACACAACTCAGGACTTTGTCAAAAGTCATGGAACTTTATGCTAAACGGGGAATTTTACTGTGTGTAAAACATACCTTAATAAAAACCTGAAACTGTACAGATCGGGACCCGCCCACACATGTCTGTTGCCTCCAAGGCCATACTATGTCCAAGCCTCTGTCAGTTCTCACCCAACCTACAGCTACTCATGGCTTAACTCTTCCTCTCCTATGATTTATCCTTTATAAGCTGTCAAAATAACTTTTTCAAATATAAATCATACTGTCACTCCCCTGCTTAAACTCCTCCAAAGTGATCTTATTTTAGAATAAAATCCAAATTCCTTCCCTGGCACACAAGGCCAGCATGCTTCTCTGACCTCCTCTCATTCCGCACCCCTATGTCCACCCTGGCCATCTGTCCATTCTCTCGAAGACACTCACCCTGTCCCCACCTTGCTACCGCCTTGTTCCCCTTGCCTGGAAGGCTCTGCCCTGAACTCTGTGTGGCTGGCTCCTTCTGAAAGGGGCTGATATAAGTGTGGTCTCCTCAGTTCACCCTACAAAGCACCTGCCCCCATCATTCCGCACCCCCACGCCTCATCCATCCAAAAAAAGGGGGGGGGGTTATTTTGTCGTGTGCTGTCACTTCCCAATCATCCTTGTTTATGGCTGGCTGTCCCCACTCCACCATCATGCAGCCTTGTTCACAGCTGGATCCTCAGTGCTGGGACAGGGCCTGGCATACAGTGGATGCTCAATAAATGCCACTTGGGCTGGACTATCATATTCAGGTAGGAGTATGCCTCCAAGCCTTCCTGGGCACTCACAGAGGGATAGTGTATGGCTTCCACGTGGCAGAAGCATGGCCCTGCCTGCAGGAACTCCCGCCTCAACCCCCGCTACTTAACCCGCAACTTCTGACAGCTGGTTAGCAGCAGAGTCAGGGCTCAAACCCAGCCACCCATGGGGCTGGAGACAGTTGCAACCCTCCCCACCTCCGTCTCTGAGTATTTGTGGAGATGAGCCAAGTGAGGAAGCGGGACGACATAGCAGGGTGTTACCAGAAACCAGGGGCCGGGCGGGGCGTTCGCCGGGAGGGGAGACCACTGGCCAGCTGGGTGCAACCCTCAGCTCTGCCTGACTCCAGCTCCCAAGGCCGAGGGGCAGTGGCTGAGTGGCTGTTGGGATTCGGAATCCAATTCCACCAAGTTGTACTGAGTGCCAAGCATGTGTCTGGCACTGTACTAAGCATCCGTGTATCCCCCTCTATGGAAGGGAGGGAAGGTGGAACATGGACTTACTGGATGCCCTGTATGTTCTAGAAGCTTCAGCTGTGTTACGTGTAAGGTTGCAATGGTATCCTCATTTTTATGGGACCTCACAGAGGTCATGCATGTTGTGTGTGGCAGAACCTCTTGGTGTCCACATCTATGGCTATTTCCCTTGCACACCTAGGAGCAGCTCTAAACTCCAGCTTCTTGGGCAGCACTGATCCAGCATCTCAGCCCAAGGGCCCCAAAGGATCCCACTGCTGTTGTAACTTCTCACCTCCCCTTTCCTCTCCCTAGGCTGTGCCCACATCTATCCCTCCATGTTCTCATTTCCTGTCACCTATGGGTAAAGACACACAGCTGAGATCAACTTCAACCAAACAGCCCAGCCCCAGGGGAGGCAACAGGTGCCCTTCTACTTCCCTGCCCTCTGGTCGTGTTTCTCTCCTTCTCCCTGCCTTTGTCTCTCTGTTCATCTCTATGTCTCTGTCTCACGCATGCACACACATGCACACACACAGACACACAATTGCCACTACCCCTTTACCAACTCACTTCCTTCAACTGTCCAACTCACTCTGCTGAAAGGAAAGGACCCTGCCAGACCAAGGCTCTGAGAAGCCACTACAGGGGATGGAGGAAAGGAAGTCTGGGCTGTGGCTATGGTCCTGGGGCCGAGCTGAGAAATCCGAGCACTGCACAAGGGCTTGTGGCTGCGTAGATGCTGCTCCAACACCACTTTCCTCACTAAGCCCTCAGCCAGCTAAACACCCACCTGCCCCTGCCGCCAGCAGGGAAGGGCTCTGTCCAGCAGATACTCTGGGCCAGCTCAGCAGCTGCCCAGTGGTATAATTGGGGAGGACTGAAGACAGGAGGGCAGGGATTGGCATAATTTCATGTCTGGCCTTTCCCAACGAAAGGCAAAATGACTCTGTGATCCCCTGGCTCTCTAAATTAGCTGCATTTTACAATCCCTCTGCCTGGCAGGAAATGTCCCATTAAATCTTAATGATCTGCCTTCCAAGAAACTCCCCAGCCCCTTTGGCCCCTGAAGGACACCTAGCCCTGGAAGATCAGGTAAGAGGCTAGTGGAGAAAAAGGAAAAGACGAACCCCCCGAGATGGTGTCTGGAATGGGCTCCCATCCACCTTTATTGGGCAACTGCCTTCAGAACCAGAAGAAGCCCCTTCTAACCCAAGAGATCTCCATCATCCCACTCTTCCCATAGGACTTCTGCCCTCCACACACCCCTCTCAGGCCACAGTCCACTCACCCCCTCAGAAACCCACCTGGCTCTCCTCCACCCCATGCTCCACATGTCTCTAGACCACAGCAACTCCACAGGATGCAAGTTCAGGACAGCACTGTGCCTGCCCCGCCTCTCCACATATGCACCAAGGTGAGGACAGAATCTTTCCTTGAAAGAAACATGCCATATGACCTTCAGGATTATTCAAATATTAACCACCTGGATAAACAGTTTCTCTTATATTCTCATTATCACCTTTCTTGCTGAAGCCAGCTAAAGCGCAATATTTCTCTTTTATATCCAGCGGAGAAGATGCTTCTGGTGACTCCTGGGGAGAGGGGAAATACGACAAGAAAGTGAAGGAAAGCGCAAGCTTAGGAGAACAGGGAGCTGAGTCCTTCCAGCTCCCCACCCCGACTCAGGCAGGAGCTAAGGCAAGACCTTAACCAGAAGGCTGGAGGTCACCCAGAACCAAACATTAGCCGGCCATGTCCCGGGCCCAGCACAGGCTGGTGGTCATAGAGGGGCCTTGGGAACACAGGCTCCTCTATGGGGATCTATCCAGCTCCCAGAACTCCTAGCATGACCGTGGCCTTGTTACCTCTTGGGCCCTCTCTGAGGGCACTGCCACCTGCCCCTGTCTAGGGTGGCTGCCCATGACCATCACAGCTGTAAGCAGAGCTCTTCATCGACATTGCATTAAACACTACACATTCTTGGCTGAGCCCTTTCCTTCCTGTCTTTATTCTCTCTCATCCCACCTTACCTTTGGCCTCCATCCGCCCAGGTCATAGAAAGCTAAGCGCAGGTGTGTGGATCCCTCTCTTGCTTCTCCCATCACCCCTAGCCAGCAAAAGGTCCCACCAGTCAAGAGCAGCTGTACTCTTCTCCAAGCCCAGGAGGGGAGCAGAAATGGGGGGTCTTCCTGAAGTCTAGCGTCACCTGGCAGAGAAGACAAATCTATCACCTATTTTCATGTTTGCAACCAATTTTAAAGTTATCATTGTGGATTCTTAAGATGTCAACTATGAGGAATCCTATTGTCCTACTAATTAATTCAACAATCTCCCTGAAATAATAGGAGTTGTAATTGTAATTCCAAACTCACCCCTCGACCACTGGAATCAACTAATTAAACAACAATCAGCCAGCAATGGGCTTTCATGGGGAAGATGGACTATTCCTTTTTATAGCTGCAATTAGGCGACACATTCAATAATCAGAATGAAATACAAATTTACCCAGGAGCCCAGTAAATTATGGCCACTCACACTTTGTTTTCCTATGGTTGCCTCCCAGAAAATAAAAGGGGCTGCATCTTCCAGCTGCATGCAGCAGGATGCCGTCTGGATGGCATTTTTTTTTTTTTCAGAGACAGGATCTTGCTCTGTTGCCTAGGAATTTAGTGGTATGATCATAACTCACTGCAGCCTCGCACTCCTGGGCTCGAGTGATCCTCCTGCCTCGGTGTCCCAAAGCACTGGGATTACAGGCACATGCTACCACGCCTGGCCTTGGATCGTCCTCAAGCGCTCCTTGCGATCCCTCCCCAACACCAGGGGGCTTTCTGCTGCTTGGTTCATAAGCACAAGGAGAAGAGAGGAGGGGGCCGCCAACATCTGTAGGGACGCCCAGCAGGAAGTCAGAGTGACCTGTGGTTTCTGGAGGGAGAATGGGGCAAGAGCAGGAGTCAGTTCTACACTTGTGCCTGGGTAGGTATGTGAGGCACATGCCCCAAACCCACGCACACACCCCAAACCCACACCCACACTCTAAGTAGCACACCCCATTCAGCGGCGGCCAGCACCTGCCCAGATGCACAGTGGAAAGAAAGCTCTTTGCATTTCTTGCAAAATGTTCTGTGGGGTGGAGGAGGCCTGGAAGATAGATGGTGAGAGGACCCGTGCGCCAGAGGGAAGAGAAGTAAAACGACGCAGACAAGTTCCATGAAGAGCCACTGAATAAGGTGTGAAAATTAAATCAGGTAAAAAGGCTGGGCAGGGAAAGGGGAGGGAGGCCTGAGATGATAAATGGAAAGATAGTAGCACCAAGGCACCATGAGCCCGCCACAGACTGAGCTAAGTGGAAAACGTGTGCTCTTCAGAATTCGCCAAAATGCTCGTGTCCTCAAAGGGAGGGAGCGAAGGATCCCAGCATGAACGTGCATAACTGAACCACCTCCACCAGTCTACCTCAGGCATGGCGGGCACAACAGGGTCCTCTGGAGCTGAGAAGCCTGATGAGCAGGGAGCCCATTCTTCTCTTCCCAGAACTCTTAGAAGGCTATGCAGGATGCATTCTCAAAGCATGACACAGCTTTAGGAGAAATGCAAATGAAGGGAGTTCTTTGCAGAAGATATAGTCTTTAGTTCCCATGTCCTCAATGTTAGACATTCCTTGAGGTCAGGGGTCCCTTTCCTGTCACTCGGTGTAGACTCAGGCATATAGTAGGTGCTCAATGAATTCTTATTAAACAGAGATGCCTGGGTCTGGGACACCTCTTGGCTCAGTGGACACTGCAGGGAGACACAGAGGAAAGCGCCTCCCCTCCCCACAGACTGATGGAATGCTTCTGTAGACACAAAGTGATGCTGTAAGAATTGGTTCATTCCTTCATTCAAACACATTTATTGAGCATCTACTCCATACCAGCTGAGTGCCTGGCACCACGGGTTCAATAGTGAACAAGACAGATGTAGCCCCTGCCCTTACAGATCAGGGAAGAGACACAAGTCATCAAAAGCCAGGAAGTATCAAAAATGCAATGTTATGGAGGTAGAGGGTGTTGGCCTTCCCAAAGGAGAAGACATTCAAACAGAGGCCTGAAGAATGAAGGAGAGTGAGCCAGGTGCTTCCGTGTCCTCATGTGCAAAAAGGGAGTAAAACAGTGCCCGTCTCATAGGACTGTTGGGAGAATTTAAGAGACCATATACGTAAGGTGTCACCACAGCCTCTGGTACTGTGACTTGTTTGCTATTTTGGCTATTATTGTTATGATCATCCCTCCACCATTCCCTCTTTGGGAGAAGACCTAAAACCAAGGAGGACCATCCAGCCCAGCGACGTGATCGTGGATGGCTGCTCCCGGCACAGTCCCCCATACATTCAGCATAATCACACAGCACAACCACTGCTCAATTCAACCAGCATGACAGAGCCCCACCACGCACCTGGCACGTGGGAGGAGGTGTGTGACTTGCTATTAAGGAGCTCATGGATAAGGCTGGAGAGAGACACACAACAAATACTACCTTTCATCGGGTGCACTCTATCCCTGAGTCACCAGTGTCGGTCCCAGGGGAGAGAGGATTGATTGGTCAGGAGATACTCTCAGGACTCTAAGGCCCTCCTTGGGTAGCAGCCCCGAGCCTGGAGTCAGCAAGATGAATCAGCAGGAGCCCGAAGGCCCTGCCATCAGCCTTGCTGCAGCCAAGCTCAGTGTGGGCCTCTGGGATGTGGAAGGACCCAAGGAGAGCCTGGCTTGGCTGTAAGCCCAGGCCACCTCCAGATAGAAGGGCTGGGAGAGGGTCCCTGAGCCCCAAATCCTGGAGCTCTGTGCTCACCTGGCTCTTGAGTCAGGCCCATCCACACACTGTCTACAGAAGCCAGGACCAGCACCTGCTGACTCCCAGTCCAGGCCACACCCCACTGCTCTCTCTGTTTCTAGTTTTCCCCATGTGTCTTGCCAGCCCTCGTCTATCTGCTCAGTGACCATTCTGAGTCCCAAGTGCTCCAACTCTGTCTCTCCATCCCCTGTGTACCTCTTTCTCCCACCCAGTGAGACAAATTTGAGCTGGACCTCCAAGGACCCACAAGCTAGAGCTAAGGACAGCTGAGGCCAAGGGTCCCCAGCAGTGGCGGGGGTGATCACAGGTGGGGAGTGGGTATGGGGCCAGGACTAACAGACTGACTCCTCATTATGGGAACAGCTTCCCCTCAACAGCCACGTGCCAAGGTCTTTTTCATCATGGCCCAGCTCTTGGAAGCTGTGAAGAGTCTGATTAAACATCTTTAGCATCATGTTCAAGGAGAAATGCCCACACAGATGACTAAAGGTTTATATCCTGGTGACAATGGCAGGATTAACTTTATTGATCAAGCATCACCATCATCAACAACAAACATTTACGGGGCTCACTCTAGCAGACCGCTTGTCCTTCAACCCAAGCAGTGAAATACCCAGGACACCACACCAAACTGGCAAAACCAACCTGGCTCATGGCCTCGAGGTAACTACAATCCACAAGAGAACACTTCGCTTTAAACACATTTTAAATACCTCAAATTAAAAGACACAACTGTATTAGATCAATAAAAGACTACTGAATGAATGAATGAATGAAGTGAATGAGTGAATGGAGTATGGTTACCTCTCAACGGCTTTGGGTCCAATGGTCTAATTTAGAGATTACTAAGGCCTCTGGCTTTCCAATCTTCTTGCACAATATTTAATGGCCTTAGTTGGGTCATTTCATTACTAATTTGTTCCTCAATCAGAAGAAGGGAACAGCGGAAATGAAAAGGGGAAAGACACAAATCCATCAGTGCTGTTCCCTTTAGCAGTTCTGGGAGAGGGTTTAGTGGGTAAGAAAGATTGAAGCTTATGGCTAAAGCAGGGCTTGGGAATTATCAGTGGATTTTATTTATGCATGACTTCTGGCATGAATTGCCATTTTGCTCCCACTCTACCTGGAAAACTTCCCAAGAAAGGCAGTGCTTTAGGAGGTGATGATTGTAAAGACGGGAGGGAGAGAAAGAGCCCAGACAGGAGGAGGCAGCCTCCTTAAAGCAGGCCAGGCAAATCTTCCCAAAGACAGCCTGCGAAGGAGACAGGCATGCTCTCTCTCCACTCCCCGCCTCGACATGCTCATGCCTTCCAAGTTGTAAGGGACTTCAGGTGAGTTCCCACCTGATCTTCTCCGCAACGCTCTACTCCCTGACCTGCCCGATTCAGATGGAAATTTTTCTGGGCAAGCGCTACCAGGCATGTTGTAGTGGGGATGTGTTATGGGCTGAATGTTTGTGTCATCCCTCAAAATTCCGGTGTTGAACGTCTTACCCCCCAAGGTGACGAAGTATTAAGGGATGGAGGCTTTGGGATGTGACTAGATCAGGAGGGTGGAGCCCTCAAGAAGGAGACTCGTGCCTCTCAAAGAGACACAGAACTTGCTCTTGCTCTCTCTGCTCTCCGCCATGTGAGAAGACAACAGGAAGATGGCCATCTGCAATCCAGGAAGGGGGCCTTCTTCAGACCCTGGATCCGCCGGCATCTTGATCGTGGATTTCCCTGCCTCCAGAATGGTGAGAAATATGTGTTGTTTAAGCCACTCAGTCTATGGTAGAATGATCTGTTATAGCAGCTCCAGCTGACATAGACAGGATGCCTCCGGTGACTTCCTGCCAATCAAAGGACCATGAGCAGGGCTGTGCCACAGTAATGGCCTCACTCCTCATGTTCCCCAACATGTTCCCCACCACCAAGTAGGTCGTTCACCCAGGAAAGTTTAAAGAACCCAGGTCACCTCACAGACCTGGGGCTTCTGTCCTGGCAACCCAGGCCCTAGACATAGTCTAGGCAAAGGTGCAGGGTGTCAGAAAGACAGACATCCACAATGGGGGCTGGCAAGAGAGGAAGAAGAGGAGAGATGAGGGGGGTGGGCCAGGCCAGGTGGATGAGGGGTGGTGAGAGCCAGGGGAGGGTGTGGCTCCTGGGCCCCCACAGGAGGAGGAGTTAGAATCATAGCTTGGGGGAGGAGGAACACCTGATGTAAACCAGCAGACCTGGGTTTGAGTCACAATTCTGCCACTTACTAGTGCAGCATGCAGGAGGGTCCTGCCACCAATCAGCTTTCCTAAAAAATCAAAATCTTCCAGCAAGATGAGGGACTAACCTAAGCAAAAGGAACATGTAAGCTACAGAAAACGGGAGATCCAGCCCAGGGGAAAAGAGACTGCTGTGCACAGGTGTGGAAGGCAACCAGCCAGAGTGCAGGGTGTGCAGCGGCATGCAGAGGACAGTCGTCACCATGTCCTCAGCTGCTGCACAGCTTTTCAATCTGAGAAAACTCCTGGAGAGCACGCTCCATCAAAACAATGGAGTAAACCAAGAAAGAAGAAGATGCAAGGTCTCAGAAATAGGGAATGTAAATCAGGGAAAGGCAAAAGGAGTCTAGGGAGGAGGGGGCCAAGGGAAGTCCCAGGAAAACAGCCGGGCACCAGGCCTACAAGGCAAGCAGTCCAGACATAAGAACAGAAGTGTCCAGGAGTGAAGGCTCCAAGACACAGGGGCTGACTGATCACCTGGAGAGAGTGACCTTGTGGAAAATCATTCTGAGAGGCTATTGGTAAGGACAAAGAAAACTAAGCAAATGATAAAACAAGGCAGTTACCAACTTCAGAACAAAATGAGAGGTAAGGAAACAACTGTTTCACAATAGTTGTAAATAATATTCACACAGATATAATGTAAATTCTGACTATTCATTTAACTAAAGTTTAAATACCACATATGAGGGGAAGGTGTCAGATGGGATGGTAGTATAAGAGACTAAATCCTCATTACCATAAACAGAAAATTGGCTGGGCATTATTCACACCTGTAATCCTAGCACTTTGGCAGGCCAAGGTGGTAGGATCACTTGAACCCAGCAGTTCGAGACCAGCCTGGGCAACACAGCAAGACCTGTCTCTACAAGTAATAACAAAAAAATAGCCAGGTGTGATGGTGCACCTGTAGTCCCAGCTACTCGGGAGGCTGAGGTGGGGTGATGATCCCTTGAGCCCAGGAGGTTGAGGCTACAGTGAACCGCGATGATGCCACTGCACTCCAGCCTGGGTGACAGAGTGAGCCACCCTCTTAAAAAGCAAAAGCAGAAAGTCAACTGATAATGTATGCAATCGATACATTAAAATATAGCAATGCACACATATTTAGAACTATAGAGATGTGGAAATCTCAGAAAAAAGCAGCTAAACAGTTGAAAGCCATTATTTCAAAAAAGGGAGGTTGAGGGACAGGAAGGGTGGGACAGAGAAATACTGAATATTGTTATAAGCCTTTTAAAATATGATTTGACTTATAAACTATGAGTAATTATCACAATAGCTTTTTAAAATCCCCAACCCCTGATCCTCTGTGGTTGGCAGTAGAGCGAGGTTCCCCACGAGACAAGCTGCAGCCTTTTCGACCTTGATCCCTGTCGCCTAAGCTTCATCTCGCCCTGGCGGTCTCTCACTCTTTATTGTTGCCACCAACAGGAGGGGCTCCCGGAGCAGCCAACACCATTTTCATGTAACTCTGCTATGGAGAGTTCTATGTAACTCCTTTGCTATGGAAATGGGTCCTGGCCTTAATCCCAAAAAGCACAACTAATGAGACTAGAATGATTAAATAAGACTTTCTAACAGCCTGGAAATACAAATGGGAAAGGAACAAGAGGCATACACATCTAGCAGATGTGGTCTTTGGGAGTATGGGAGATTAGACCCTCCCTCAGGTTCCCAGTTTACCCTACCTAGCTCCCCACCCACCACATAGGGGCTACCACTGTTCCCTACACCCAGCCTCCTCCAAGTCTGTATTTGCAAGAGCAGAGTCCAGAATTTCTCCTCTGCCACTGTGGAGTCCCTCTTGCCACTCCTGTTCCCTGGCTAATGACCCTACCCTTCTCCCCAAAGTCACTCTACGCATCACTACTCTTTAGGGAAGCTACTCTTCCCTCTCTCAAATTATAATTCAACAACAACAAAAAAATCCCTGACATTCACAAGGGAATACCCATATATAGAAATGGGGGCATGAGAGAAGGGGAGCTTCTTAATTTTGGACAAAGCAGTAAACATCTTGAAGCCTTAGTTTTCTGACCTGTAAAATGGGGATGATAGTATCTGTTCCAGTCCAAGAGTGGTTATCAGGATCAAGTCAGATAATGGATGGAAGGCAGCTTTATAAACTAGAAAGTCCCTTATGAATGTGAATTATTAGTATTATCATCATTGGTCATAGTAATTTTCTAAATTAGCAGACCATAAAGAGATCCTTGAGTGGTGGGGACCAATGCACCCAAGTTCAAAGCCTCCATTGCAAGTAGCCCTTTCCCATATTAACCATGGGGCGGGGCGTGCCTGGTAGGTCTATTATCCAGCTTGTAGCACTGCCAGTTGCCCCGCCTGGAGCTGCAGATGCCCCGGGCATAGACCTTGGTGCCTCAAGCAAATGGCTCTAAGCACCTGTGCCACTTCCCCTTCATAAAATCAAATCGCTCACTAATGCTCCTCAGCTCCTTTCATCCAAATGGCAACAGCCGTTGTTCTTATTGGATTGTAGATGAATCACTTGAAAAATATTTTGGGGCACATTAGAGAGGCTTAACATAAAAGTACCTGAAAAATGGTTCTGTTTTGTTTTCCACTTTGCAAACCCAAACTGGAGCCTGGGGTTGTATTACATATTTTTGTCTTCTTTTTTTAACAGAAGGGCTTTGCTCATTTCCTCTCCATGCTGGGAAAAGGGACACGTTAATTACTGCTGGGTGGGGAGCAAACCTCTCTGAGGGTCTAACTCCATCTTTGGCAAGAAGGATTGCACAAGAGGAGAGGTGAGACTTAAATGTCAGCCTTCACATCTCCAAAGAGTAACTGGAGGCCTGGCATGGTGACTTACACCTGTAATCCCAGCACTTTGGGGGGCCGAGGTAGGTGGATCACTTGAGGCCAGGAGTTCAAGACCAGCCTGGCTGACATGGTGAAACCCTGTCTCTACTAAAAATACAAAAATTAGCCAGGCATGGTGGTGTGCACTTATGGTCCCAGCTACCTGGGAGGCTGAAGCAGGGGAATCACTTGGACCTGGGAGGCAGAGGCTGCAGTGGGCCAAGATTATGCCACTGCACTCCAGCCTGGGCAACAGAGCAAGACTCTGTCTCAAAAAAAAAAAGAAAAGAAAAGAAAAGAATGCCTGGAAAGAAGGTGGTGTACATCTCCATCTCCACTGAGGACAGAACAGAAGAAAATGGAAGCAGTAAGAACTCAACTCAGGCAGGATACCAGGAGAAACTGTCTTATTATAAGGCAACATTTGACTGCATCCCCTTAAGAGGTTGTGAGTCTTTGCTGGAGAGTTGTTTGTTTTGTTTGTTTGTTTGTTTGTTTTTGAGGCAAGGACTTGTTCTGTCACCCAGGCTGGAGTACAGTGGTGCAATAATAGCTTACAGCATCCTTAAACTCCAGGGCTCAAGCAATCCTCCCGCCTCAACCTCCCAAGTAGCTGGGATTTTAGGCAGGCACCACCATGCCCAGCTAATTATTTTATTTTTTGTAGAGGCAGGGTCTTCCTGTTTCCCAGGCAGGTCTTGAACTCTTAGACTCAAGTGATCCTCCTGCCTCGGCCTCCCAAAGTGTTGGGATTATAGGCATGAGCCACCATGCCTGGCCTACTGTAGATTTTATGCTAGACAACTATCTTTATGGGATGTTTTTGGTCTGTACCTGCCTTGGAGAAGGGGAATAGAACATAAGACTTTTAAAAAGCCCAACACTGTCACATAAGACATACCTCCTGTTGACATCCCATACCCACTCACTACCTAGGGCCAGCCACAAGTGTCTGAGAAGGGAATGTGGGCTTCCCAGTGTAGCCAGGGATGTCTCTTTCATGGATATCATCACTCTCTTCCCCTGCTCAGCAAGTGCTGGCCACTCTCTGTGGTCTCCCTCTGGAGTCCCAGCACACAAGGCCTTCAGTCACATGTCCATGTGTCTGTACCAAACCCTTTGCTCTGCTAACTAACACGAAATCCCCTTTCTAATCCCTTTCTTATCCTGCTGAGAGCTCTGGGTCTTAATTCCATTATTTAACACATCATAAACATCAAGGCTGGGGAGATGCCTCACACCTGTAATCCCAGCACTTTGGGAGGCCGAGGTGGGAGGATTGCTTGAGCCTAGGAGTTCAAGACCAACCTGGGCAATACAGAGAGATCCCATTTCTACCAAAAAATTAAAATTAGCTGGGCGTAGTGGCACACCCCTGCATTCCCAGCTATTTGGGAGGCTGAGGTGGGAGGATCGCTTGAGCCTGTAAGGTCAAGGCTGCAGTGAGCCATGATCGCACCACTGCACTCTAGCCTAGGGAACAACAGAGCAAGATCGCATCTCTAAAAAAATAACATCAAAAAACAAGCTGGATGTGATGGCATGGCCTGGGGTCCCAGCTACTGAGGAGACTGAGGCAGGAGAATCACTTGAGCCCAGGAGTTCAAGGCAGCAGCGCAGCACAACCACACCTATGAATAGCAACTACACTCCAGCTAGGCCAACACAACAAGACCTTGTCTCAAAAAAAAAAAAAAAAAAAAAAAAAATTAGGAGGCCGAGGTGGGCGGAACACGAGGTCAGGACATCAAGACCATCCTGGCCAACATGGTGAGACCCCATCTCCACTAAAATACAAAAAACAAAAATTAGCCGGTGTGATGGCACGCGCCTGTAGTCCCAGCTACTCGGGAGGCTGGGGCAAGGGAATCACTTGAACCCGGGAGGTGGAGCTTGCAGTGAGCCAAGATCGCACCACTGCACTCCAGCCTGGCAACAGAGTGAGACGCCGTCTCAAAAAAAAAAAAAAAACTGAGGGTATAAACAAGAAAAAAAATCTTGTGATATGTCCCTAGACTCTCCCTCTTAGTTGATGTCAACCCATTAATTGCTCACCAGTAATGAAACCACTTTATTGTACTACCCACTCAGAAAACTGAACCTCAAGACAAAAAAGGGTTTACAAGTTGTTGGAACAGTATGTGCCACATATGCTCAGCACCTTCTTTATTCCAAATCTGGAGGGTCCAAACCACATCGTAGGCTGGCCCAACTTCGTCCGTAGATTAGCTGGCAATCACCTTAAATAGTCTATTTTAACACCAGCATGGGCTTATCTGACACCTGAGACCTTACTCAGTCAGAAGGAATTTGAAGTCTGGCCTCCTTTCTCAGTCACTTCCTGGCTGGATGACCCTGGACAGGGTGCCTAACGTCTCTGGACTCCAGTTACTTCCTCTGAAAAGCAGAATAAAGAATATCTTGCCTAGATCAGAAGATCTCTGGAAATCCCTTACAGCTCATAGAGCTACAACTGTTCACTAAACGGCCTCTACAAATGAAGAATTTTTTGCCTTTTCATTTGTCAAATAAAATCTGAGGCCTAGGGTAATAGGCAAAGAACAGGCTTTAAAGTGCAAAGCACAAATCCAGGCTGCCATTTACTGTATCTTGGATATAAAACTTAACCTCTGTGGGCCTGGCTCAGATTTTTATCCTAGAGACAATGACGCCTACTTTCAACACGGCTCAAGGGGTAGGAAACATAGCATCATCCTTCCAGCCTAATACCAAAGTCACACCCCAAGCCCAGAATAACCACGTGTGTCTCAACTCTTTCTCCTAGATTTCCTGTCTTGCTTTTCACTCTCTATAGGAAAAGATGGTTTTGTCCATTCCCTGGCAACTAACGTGCTATTAGTTAAGTTTTCTCATGTGGCCAGGTATTACCTCTGAATTATAAGTGGAAAGACTGAGATGTAGAAAAGAGCCAGGGGGCAGGAGTAATTAGTGAGGCAAAGCCTGCAGCCAGACCCTGTATTTCTACTCCGGTCTCATTAACCGTGAGCGCTGCCGGGCGCTGGAGGCCCCCTTCTCCTACCTGTCGTCCTTCCTCACTCGGCTGTGTTCTGTTGTACCTCGTACAATATTGGATCTGTAAAACGCTTTATATTCCTTTAGCCAACACAGGGATGATTCAGAACAAGATTGGGTTATTACAAATTCAGGAGGCACTACACACACGGCTGTCATGTTTCAGTTACCCTTTCTCCCGGTTTAATAAAATTTGCCACACTAATACAAAGCCATCTTTTATCGTTTTCCCTGCAGTTGTAACAACTTGTCCAGCGCATTCCTGCTAATTAAAGGAGGAGAGGATGCAGCAGCTCACTGGAAAGTGGGCTTCTAGGGAGGCTGTCAGTATCTTTGCAGCCACTTAGCTCTGGTTCTTAGAGTCCTTTAATCGCCGGCTCCTCCATGACATGAGGCCTAATGAGGTCAGCAGCCGGTGGCGACATGGCAGGCAGTCCCGCGTGGCGGCGGCCGGGACAGCTGGGCGCGCTGGCAGGAGAGCAGGCACAGCGCTCCCCACAGGCAGGATGACGCGGGCTCCGCAGCCCGTCCTCCCACGCTGCCCCGCATCACTGCCTCGGCCCTGACGTGCGTGCGACAGACTCACCGCAAACAGTCCCCAGCGGGAGCACGAGGCCGGGACAGGAGGTGGGCGGCTACACAGGACACCCCACCCCCCCCACCCCCCCGCAGCCGGCGGAGCCGATCGCCGGAAAAGGGAGGCGGTGGGCGAAAGGAAAGCGGGGAGCTGGGAGAGGAGCTGTAAACAAAGAGCTGCCCTTGTGCGAAGTCCTGAGCCGGGTCCAGTCAGCCCGCTTCCTGTGGCCCACGCACTGCCCGCCGGCCCACGCGGGAGCCTCGAGGGGCGAGGCGGAGGCTGGGCGCAGTCCTTGCAGCCAGCAGCCACCTCCGCGCGCTCCGCCGCGGTCCAGCTAATTACCTGCTGCGGCGGCGGCCGTGCCCTTTAGGGTGCATTAGTATTCCCGCCGCGGGCGCTGCCCTCGCGGCGTCGGCACCGATGCCCGGCCACCTCCAGGCCCGAACGACTGCGGCTGCGGGAAGGCGGGTCGAGGGGGGCTACGGCACCCCAGGGAGAGGCCGGGAGCCGCCCGGACCTCGGAGGGGATGGGGTCCTCTCTGGGAGGCACCCGTCTCCTTCCTGGGTCCTAAGACCCTTCCCAGCCCTGCGCTCCGACCCCACTCCTCCCGAAACGTCGGGGAATCGGGAAAGGAGGGCCACGGGCAAAGCGGGGGCGGGCGCCCCCTGATTAGCATGCGGCGCCGGTTGCCCGGGCCCGGATTCCCGAGCCCCCTCCCCGCGAGCGCACACTAATAAGTTTACAAATGGAATCCGGTGGCGCCGCTTGCAATAAAAGGCAGAAGCTGCGCTCCGGCGCTTCAATGAGAGCATTTTCCCCCGTAACAAGGGGCTGGATTCAGCTGCCTGGTGCCGTCTGAGCGGGGCGAGTTGCCAGAGTAACCAAGGCCTAGCGCGCACGTGGGGAGAGGGAGCTGGCTGGGGCTCCAGCGCTAGCCGCCGCCTGCGCGCCCGGGCCCTTCCTCAGGCCACCAGCCACTCCTCCGGGACATTGCCTCCCCCACCCCAACTTCCCCACTACATAAACTGCCTCCCTACCCACCCCCTAACCTTTCAAAGGCTCTCCGGCAGCTTGTGTTAAATTCATGAGACACACCGGGAACACCTCCTCCGCGATGGGAAAATAATGTTTAGGCCTGGAGTGTCACTGGAGAGGGGGCCCAGACGGTGACTGTGCTCAGAGCGGGCGTGGAGGCACAACCGACCCCAGGTGTGGGAGGCGCCAGAACTGGTGCAAACAGCAGTGAAACAGCAGGTGGAGATTCCAGAGCCCTGGGTAGCTCAGGAGGTAGGCTTCTGAATGACCTGGGGAAGGGTGGAGGGGAATTCAGAGCCAACTAACCCTGAGTGCCACATCTAACTTCCTGAGAGGAGGCTCCAAGGACGGGAGCTCCAGAAGTTCCTGGGGTCTAGCAGCTGCGGGGAGACCAGCTGGACCGTGAGCAAAGCACCCATCTATCCCACCTGTAACACAGGGCTGGCTGCTGCTGCCTTCTCCCAGCCTTTGGCCTAGGTTGGTTTAAAAAAAACGAGTTCAAAAGCTGAACCCGCTTTTGGTCTTCAGCTCTCAAAAGTTCACATTTTGCTCCAGAAAGTTAAGGCTGCTGTCCACCCTACTTCCTTCCCAGGGACCAAAAATATAGGGATTGTTTCTCTCTTTTTACAAGCTTGTCACTGGGCACAGGGTTCTTCCAGGCCCCAGAAGTTGTTCTCTGGAGCCCAGAGAAGCTGGATCCCATAGTTCCTCTCCTGAAGCTAGGCTGAGGGCTGCTAGGCAGCCGCCTTCCAAGTGGCCACATGCTAGTATCCTAGGAGATGTACACCCAAACACAGTGCTTACCGGCCAAGCAATCCCTATCCCACATGGACAAAGAGGCTGATACTAGACACTGCGAGTATGTCTAATAGAGAAAGAGCCCACTTCCTCTGCAACTGACAAAAGAAGGGAGCTGATTCCCGGGTTTTACCCAGGGAGACAGTGAAGTGGAAAGACACACTTCACCATCCCCGTTCTGGAAGCTGGGCAAGCTGGGTGCCAGCCTGCATGACTGACATCTCGGCAGTCACATACATCCACAGCCCACTGGACGTCATGCTTCCGCAGAAGGCCAAAATAGGGTCCCCCACTGCCACCAGGCAGCTGGACCCTGCAGAAGAGGGCTGGCTGCCCATTCTGATCCCCTGACCTGGCTCCTCCCTTTTCCACACGATACCCCCCATGCCCAATCATCACTAAGTCCTGTGGGTTCTACCTTCTAGAAAGTCTCTCAAATTAGTCCAAGCTGCACACATTTCTCACTAGCACTGCCCTACCACCACCAGAGGATCTCAACCTGTTCCCTTTTGTGTAAATCTCCCCAGCCATTTCCTGGCACCCTTAGCCTGGTATACAAGGCCCCCCATGAACTGATCACTGTCACGTCTCCAGCTTCTTCTCTCCCCTTGTACCCTGGCTCCAGCCTGCTTGCCATGACCCAAACACAAATCCTCACTTACTTCTGTGTGTGCAAGCTCTTCCCCAGCCCCCACCAGCCTCACAATACCCTAACTCCCCTTCTTCCTCTGGTTGGTTCCTTTACATCCTTCTAGGCTCAGCTCAGGCATCACCTCCTCCAGGAAGCCCTCCCCAGCTCCCTGCCATCCATCTGAGACTAAGTTAGCCTCCCAAATACACTTACCTGCTCCTTCACTAGACTGTGAGCTTCTTAGGGCCAAGGCCGGGGTCCCTGTTGACTTTTTCACACGTCATTATTTCACAATCATTGCCTTATTGGAAAATGATTAAAAGTCTCGGCTTTGGAGTTAGTGAAATGTCAGTTTGATTCTTAGCTCTTCCATCTGCCATGTCACTTAATTTCTCTGAATCACAGTTTCCTTATTAAAATGGATAAAGGTAATATCTTAAGGCTGTTGGGCTTAGGTGAATCAATGGGTTTAAAGGACTTAGCACAGTGCCTGGCCCATGGTGAGCAGATTCTCCCTCCCCTTATTGTGTGTACGCCCTCAGTGTCAGCCCATCTGGCACATTCTAACAACTGCTTCCTAATTGCTGAGCTAATGAATGATAAGAGGAAGAACACGACATCCTTCTGGGGCTCTTCACCACCTTGGCCATACCCTCCTGGATATTCTTTGCCTTATTTGGCACCCTTTTCAAGTGGGCCACAAAGAACTTTTGACCAAGTCACACTCCCATCATCAGCTGTGTAGCGTGCAGCAGTCAGATCCAGATATATGACTGGAGGAGAAGGCAGGAAAAAGAAACAGCTAAGACTGAAGGTGGCTTTGAGCCTCTGGGTCATCTTGGGGTTTGGAGGAGAGGGAGGAGATGTGGGGGTGGCCAGGTTCTTCTGGAAGACAGAATCGTGTGGTAGTAAAGAGGCCTTACCCACATCGCCTTCTCTTTGCTGTTTCCCGACCCCTAGGCATACATGGGCTGCCCCCGAAGGTGTGGCCTGGGACACCCTTTCTATATATGAGACCCTCTCATGGCTTTTGCCATTGCTGGAGCGGGGGTATGCCTGCAGGGAACTCTGGGGAGTCCCCGAGTAGGCCCCCCTAGTCCCCACGTGGCTCTCCAGCAGCAGAAGGGACCTAGAGTGCTGCCTGTCACCAGCGCCATGTTGCTTCCTCCCAGGCAGAGGCCTTGCTGGTGAGCGTGCAGGAAGAGAGGCGAAAGCATGAAGGAGAGAAGGGAGAGGAAAGCTCAAAGCCCAGTAGCAGGCGCCTTGATGCAGAAATATCTTCTAGAACATGAGGGAGAAGCGCTCCATCAAAACCTTCTGGATTTCCAAGTCAGCCGGGCTGATGACCCGCAGCAACCCACCCTCCCCTGGCTGCCGCTAAACCCAGGGCCTGCTCCTGCCCCACCTCCCAGTCCCACCCCACCCCTCCTTACCCAGAGACCACACACCAGGGGACTAGACAGGCTCACTCCCTCCCTGGCTGTCTTGCAATTTTAATTTCTCACCTTCCTAAACAGCCAAGATTTATGGCACACTTGACAGAAATATTTAATTTTCCAAATGTCTACTATTCAAAGGCTGTGGAAATCTCCAGCCCTAACATTTCCGCATTAATATCCATTTAAGGCTGAGGCCAAATAAAGATCTTCCCAGAGGCGTGGAAGGGGGGAAGGAGGAAGATGAAATCCTTAGCAGACAGAAAGGACCCACAGAAAATCCCCCACGAGATCATACCATCCCCACTGCTCTTCCACTGAAGTAGATGTTAAAGCTTTTTAATTATTGTCATTAACATCACTGAATGCTTATTATGTGCCAGATACTGTGCTAAGCAATTTAAAAGCCATGATCTCATTTAATCCTCACAACCCAATAAGGTAGCCACTATAATTATCCCATTTTATAGATGAGGAAACTGAGGCACCGAGTGATCTAAGACCACTCAACTAATGAATGGAGGAGCTGAAATTAGAACCTCAATTTGACTCTTACTATCATACTGTCTCTTGTGTGTGCCTGATGGAAACACTCTTTCTTCCCAGACTTGTATATAAGTCTAGCTATACCATATACACACATATACATACTATATTCAGTTTACTTCCGTATATCACTGTGAAGGAGACTCATTGATGAATTCAACGGGGACACTGTGTAGGCTCCCTGCTACACCCAGAGCACTGCTGTGTGGCCAGCATAACAAATGCGGGGCTAGGTCCCCTGTCTATCATGACCTTAAAATCTGCTTGGAGGCCAGGCACAGTGGCTCACTCCTGTAATCCTAGCACTTTGGGAGGCCAAGGCAGGTGGATCACCTGAGGTCGGGAGTTTGAGACCAGCCTGGCCAACATGGTGAAACACCATCTCTACTAAAAATACCAAAAAAATTAGCCGGGCGTGGTGGCACACACCTACAATCCCAGCTACTTGGGAGGCTGAGGCATGAGAATCCCTTGAACCCGGAGGTGGAGGTTGCAGTGATCCAAGATCGCAACACTGCACTCCAGCCTGGGCAATAGAGTGAGACTGTCTCAAAAAAAAAAATCTGCTTGGAAAACTGGGCATATATTCAAAACAATGCCACACCAACACAAGGAGTACAGGAATGTCACTGCTAGGGACTCAACTTTCTCCTGAGATACAGAAGGAAACCAGAAGACCTCAAAACAAACCAGAGAGACCCTCTCAGGCCTCCCTCTCAGGCCTCCCTCTAATAGGCCTGTCTCCTCTCGCTGCTGGTGTAATGCAGATACAGTTAATATGCATTAAACGCAGAACACAGAAGAGGCAGGCATGCTGGCAAAAGTAAGAGGCAACTGACAAAATGAAGAGGAAAACATAAAAAGGTGATAAAGAACTCAAGAAGTCAGCAGTCTTGGGCCACTTGGTGTGTGGGAAAACAGAATCACCTACTTGCCCCAGAAGTGTCTATTAGTGCACAGGTAGTAGCTGGTGTTTATAATAATGACCCTGAGTAATGAAAAAATGATCAAACCATGTTCTGTGCATGTTGTTTTGGAAGGCCTGCATACTTTTCTTATATCCATTTGGATAGAAATATTTCATTAAAGTGGCCAAAATAATTTTTGTTAATGTTTTGGTGATGAAAGAGGTAAGTTAGATTCTCCTGAGATGCCAGCTGAAATACAGATTCCAATGTGTAATGAAACATCCAGCTGGTCAGGACTAGGAGTCCCTGGTGGACAGGAATAGGTTCTGTCTGGCCCACTCTGCTCAGTGCCCAGCATGGGTAAGCACCCAACAAAGGATGGCTGTCACCAGGATGCTGGTGCCCACGAGCTCATTTATCCACAGCCAAGAGATTAGCCGAAGCGAGGGAGTCTGGGACCCCTCCAAAGCTAGTCCTGGGGAACCATGGATCTCACTTCCCCAGCTCCTTTGAGGCCAAGCTTAGGGCAGAATTGCCACCTAGTAGCCTCAGCAGGCCTTTGCTATGCCACGAAGGTCACCACTCCTGGGCTTCTCAAGAAAGGGTCCTAATCTAAGTTGTCAGCAGCCAACCCCCAGCTGAGAACAGAGAAGGCTTCTCCATCTCCCTTGGCCTGGTCCTAAATAGCTCTGGTCACTTGCTGCCAGGGAAGATGACGGGAAGAATAAACACAGCAAAAATATGAGTGCCCTTCAGCATCACCATGGTGAGGCCTTATCAAGGATCTCAGCAGTCTGGGTAAAACCAACATTCACTGGTAATGAGCCAGAGCAAAAAAAAGAGTAAGACACAAGAGAAGGTCCAATCTATGCAACCCATACCATGTCCAGAAGGGGAAAACTCTTGCTCACGTTCAGTGTGAACCTAAAATGCCCCCCAACCCTCTCTATAAACTAAATACGCGCAATTGTCACTTGTATATAATCTACTCACTTTGTTAATTTTCCATCATTTATGTTGTGTATAAATGCCTGTCTCTTGTGTGTGCCTTCATCAGCACAACTGTCAGAACTGAACACATCTGTGAGGGTTTTTTTTGTTTTGTTTTGGTTTGGTTTGGTTTTTGAGACGGAGTCTCGCTCTGTCGCCCAGGCTGGAGTTCAGTGGCGTGATCTCAGCTCACTGCAACCTCTGCATCCTGGGTTCAAGCGATTCTCCTGCTTCAGCCTCCCGAGTAGCTGGGACTACAGGCGCACACCACCACACCCAGCTAATTTTTTTGAATTTTTCGTAGAGACAGGGTTTCACCATGTTGGCCAGGATGGTCTCAATCTCCTGACATCATGATCCGCCCACCTCGGCCTCCCAAAGTGCTGGGATTACAGGCGTGAGCCACCGTGCACAGCCTGAGGGTTTTAACTTACTTCATATAGGAAAAGGAGCTGACATTATAGAATACCTACTATAGTACTGACACTTCATGTGCTTTATCTCATTTAACCTCATAACAGCCCTCTCAAGTAGATATTATTTCCATTTTACACATAAGAAAACTGAGGCTCAGAGAGGTTAAGTAACTTGCTCAAAGTTGCACAGCTTGTAAGTGTCAAAACAGAGATTCTGTTTCAGGTCCCTTGACTCTGACTCTAAGGACCACTGTCGATTACTTCTTTTTTTTTTTTTTTTTTTTTTTTTGAGACGGAGTCTCGCTCTGTCGCCCAGGCTGGACTGCAGTGGCCCAATCTCGGCTCACTGCAAGCTCCGCCTCCCTGGTTCACGCCATTCTCCTGCCTCAGCCTCCCGAGTAGCTGGGACTACAGGCGCCCGCCACCGCGCCCAGCTAATTTTTTTTGTATTTTTAGTAGAGACGGAGTTTCACCGTGTTAGCCAAGCTGGTCTCGATCTCCTGACCTCGTGATCCGCCTGCCTCGGCCTCCCAAAGTGCTGGGATTACAGGCGTGAGCCACCGCGCCCGGCCCGATTACTTCTTGATGTTATCACCAGCAAAAGAGCTGACAGAAGCCTCTCTCGTGGCAAATCTGGGGATAAAGAAGACCCCTTCCAGATTCAGACGAGAATGCTGCTCATTTTCAGCCTGAGCCTGGCTGGTATTTCAGGGGCTGACTTAACATGATGAATGGGCTCAGGGCACACATGAGATGTAATACGTCTTGATTTAGGGAAGCGCTAGATAGGTCGTCTGATGAAATTTTACTTGCAAAATTAATTCAGATTGTCTTGGCTGAGTACTCCCATCACCCAGACAGCAGGAGAGGCTGGGAAACTGCAAACAAGTGGTCAAGAGAAGAGGCTGCGGTGGACAGGACAGCAGCAGCCAGGGCAGGCACAGCCTGTGAGGAGACTGGATGGCAGGAGGTACCGTTTTCTTCCCCCAAGGCAGCGGACCTAGAGCGTGCAGCAGAAAGACTGCAGGCAGAGGGAAGGGATGGTGTGCTGAACACGAGAGTCCTCGGGGGGGACAGGAGAGGCAAGGGAGGGGCTCCTTCTGAATTCTATCCGGTCCTCCAGTGCACTAATGGAGCCACAAGAGAAAGACAGTCAGCCCTGGGTCCCTGAATGCTGCCATCAAGCAGGCTCCAAGGACAAGCTGCCTGCTGTGAGTCAGGGTAACAGAAGCCTCAGTCAGGCCAGGTTTGCAGCAGGAGTCAGAGGTCGGTGCCTTCTGTGGGCAGGAGGAGACTGGACGGGTCAGCTCAGGAGGGATGTTAACTCACACCAAGAAAGGGAGGCAAGCAGCTGCCCGCTGTCAGGAGGGAGGCCAGAACCCAGGTAAGGGTGACAAGGCGAGGGGAAGGAGACTGACTAATGAGGAGGAATGAGAGGCCCCGCGCAGAGTTGAGCTCAACTGACATAGAGGGCGGGGACGTGACTGCCAGTCACAATTAAGGAAGGAACGGAGAGGAGATGGATTACTGTAATTATGAACCTATGGAGCACAGTTTTAAAAACGTGTTCCTCTTGTGTATATGCAGGAGGTGACAGGAGGGTGCTTTTTTTTCCTCCTAAAGCAAAGGACGGGTTAAGCCCATTCCCAAGACAGGTGTTACCCAGTAAGTTGAGGACCCTGGGGTCTTAGAGAGATCAGGTGGGCCGAAAGGAAACCAGGCTGATCCAAAAGAACGTAGGCGCACCCAAGAAACCCTAAACGCACCCCTCTGGAGTGGCAGGAGGTGAGTGGCACTGACTGGGGTCAGGGGTGGAGGGCAGGTAGGTGCTGCCTCCCGGATGCATGTGGAGTTATCCTTGCGAAATGACTTGATCTGACTTACATTTTAAAAGCTTTACTCTGGCTGTGATGTGAAGAACAGACTGGGGGAGTGGAGAGAGGACAGGTGGTCTGGATGAGGATGGGAGTGAGCAGAAGGTGACAAGTGGTTAGATTTGGGGTATTTTTGAGGGCAGAACAAACAAGACTGAGGAACTGGAAATGGGGTATGAGACAAAGAAAGGACTCATGGGTGAATGCATGCATGCATGAATTCCCTCCTGGACTGCGCTGTGACAGGGGCCGGGGGACACTGATCCTTCCCTCCCCCAGGCTTACCAGCACTCCCCGCCATCTTCTCTTCAATGTAAACCTTGACCTAAAGCTGCCCTCCCTACCAGGTGATCATTCCCTCTAACCCACATTAGACGGCGCTCTGTGTGCTGGCATGGCAACCTTGCCACCTCCTGAAAATGCATTTCCATGAGAAGAACTGGTTTCAAGTAGCCGACAGTCTAACATGTAAGTAAACCATTAGAAATATGACCTGTCTGTGGTGAGAAGTGCCTGTGTCAACCTGGTCATTGCCCCAGTTGTCACATCCAAGACAAGGCATTTTCTGTTGCTCCCAAGACGCGTGGCCCCAGCATGGCCATGATTCTTGGTGGCAGGGACATCAATAATGACGGTGGGAAGAAGCCCCAAGGCCTCTGAGGACAAGGATGAAGTAAAAGGAATTTGCAAACTTTGTGCCACCCGCAGCTTTCCTGAGAAGTCGAAAGGACCCTGGGCAGAAGGAGGGCAGACCTCCCCTCTGCCCCTCCTCCACCTCACCACCTGGGCATTGGATGTGTCTCGGTCCCATTTGCCAGATAAGAAACTCCCCAGAAGTGGGTAGGTCGGGAAAGGCAGGCGGACCGTGAGGGAGAAGACGACCGCTGTGTGCATCTGGTGGCAGCCTCAGCCCCAGAGCAAATTTTACTGAGTGAAGAGGAGAAAGTGTGTGAATGCTGGCTCGGCGAGTACATAAGCAGCCCGGTAGAAAGCTTTTTTAGCAAGCTCTATGCAAATCAGACTTGGAGAAACAAAAGCCAGACCTATGCCTGCTGTGTCAGCTCCAGAGCCACGTTTCCACTTCTCATCTGGCCCTTGCTGCCTCACAGTGGCTTCTGGTTCACCAGCCAGTAATGAGAGCTCCCAGACCTAATGCATAAACAGGAAGCCACTTGCTGGGTTTTGCTTTTGGACAGCCAGCAAAAAGCATAGGGCTCTCTGGGGCATGCCGCCTCCATTTGCAGGAGTTAAGCCTGAAGTCATGGGAAACATGGATAGATAACATGGTGACCTGCGCGTGCAGGGCCTGGAGGACATCTGGGCAGCAGCCTGTGGTCTCGGGCTGCAGAGCGCCTTCTCATGCCTCACAGGCTTCAGAGGCAACCAGCTTCTGTGGACTCGCATGGACTACCTTTACGGGATGCCTGTGTGGGAGTGTGGTTGCGGTCTCCCTCTGCCTACCTCCTCCAGTGCCGTCCTCACCACACCCACCAGGCAGGGCAGACATTCCTCATTTGGAAAGAGGGGAACAGATGCACATGGACTCTCCAACTGACTCTCAAGAGACTGGAAGGGGCCAGGCGCGGTGGCTCACGCCTGTAATCCCAGCATTTTGGGAGGCCAAGGCAGGCAGATCACTTGAGACCAGGAGTTCGAGACCAGCCTGGCTAACATGGTGAAACTCCGTCTCTACTAAAAACACAAAAATCAGCCAGGCATGGTGGCGGGCGTCTGTAATCCCAGCTGCTCTGGAGGCTGAGGCAAGAGAATCGCTTGAACCCGGGAGGCGGAGGTTGCAATGAGCAGAGATCGCGCCACTGAACTCCAGCCTGGGCGACAGGGCGAGCTCCTGTCTCAAAAAAAAAAAGAAAAAGAAAAAGAAAAAAAGAGAGCGACAGAGAGAGACTGGAAGGAAAAGGAAGCCAAACCTCTCCCCTTGACTTCATACCACTCACCAGTTTGGGGAGTGTGGAGAGAAAGTCCCAGGAAAACACCTAAGCGGAGGCAGGAGCCCATGCAGGGGCTGCAAGGTTGGGAGACATCGTCATCCAATGCTGAGGCCTGACCCCACCTGCACTTACTACGCCAGGAGATGCTGCATGGGCTTTCACAGCTAAAGATAGTTAATTGCTACCAGCATCTATCCAGAGCGGTTTTAGAACATAAACCTTGTCTGCCAATGATATCCTGGGTTCAGAAACTCATCTGTAGACTTAACAGATATTTTTGCTGGTCCCATTTGGGCCCAACTCCAGTTTTGAAACTTCATCTATTCATCTGCCTTTCACTTAGGCAGCCTTATGGGTGCCTACAGCACAGGGCTACTATAGATGCTGTGGGTGGGGGTGTGAGTGGGTGGGGGTGTGAGTGGGTAGGGGTGTGGAACCTTTAACATCATCCACAAGTGTCCCCAAATCCATCTTAGTCTCATCTGCACCAGCCTCCAAAGTGGCTTCTCTGTTTTGTTTTTTTAAATCCTGCCAAGTCTCAGGAGGCTTCTCTGTTTTAAAGCCTGACCTTGACACTGTGACTTGAACCTTCCCAGTCCTCCTCTGTCCCCCTCCACTCTGTCAGCATTGAGAGGGCACACTCTACTCCGGAGAGAGACATCTCAGGGCACAAGTGACATACAGGCAGGCAATTTACAGCTCCTGGGCTTGCTCTGCATCCAGCAGTGCTGCAGTCTGCACCCCCAGCCTGCTCCCTAACCCCTTTTAACTTCCCCTCCCCTCCCCAGGCCCATAGGGCTCTCTGCTCACAGCTCCAGGCCCTGAGGAGGCCAAGTGCAGTTTGCGAGTTCCAAATATAACCCCTGAGTTCAGGTCAAACCTTCTTTTCCCTACAGCCTCTTGGAAAATGAACCAGTTTCTCATTTTTCCAGGCCCAGGTCAAGTTCCTGCAAGTTCAGAGACTTTAAATCCCTTTTGTTCCCCTCTCTTTCCACATCCTCCCTTTCCTTCTTCACTCTAGCCCACTCCCCACTTCTCCTCTGAAAATGTTCTCCCCTTGGTCAACAGTGGCTTTGGAATGATAGATCCCAGCCTCCCGTGACTTCCTAGTGGCATATGACAGGGTTGGCCCCTCCTCCCACTCTTCCTTCCTCTGGGTGTCCCCAGTGCCACATCTCCTGGTTTCCTCCTGTTCCCCTGTCTCTTCAGAAGGCTCCTGTCCTGGACCCTCCAACACTGACTCTCAGAGTTTCACCACTGGCCCTGTTCCTTGTCACTCCACACACACACTGGCTGGGCAAGTTCATCCAAACCCTTTACCTACTGCCTATGGGCCGATGGCCCCAAATCTTTATATCCAGCATCTTTTCTATCTAGAAGGTAACTGGAGATGCATAATTACAGCCCACTCTAATCTCTCCTTTGCAGATAACCCCAATCCTTTGTCCCTTCCTCCCTTCTTTTTTTTTTTTTTTTCTTTTTTTGAGACGGAGTCTCACTCTGTCCCCCACGCTGTAATGCAGTGGCATGATCTTGGCTCACTGCAACCTCTGCCTCCCGGGTTCCAGTGATTCTCCTGCCTCAGCCTCCCGAGTAGCTGGGATTACAGGCACCTGCCACCACGCCCAGCTAACTTTTGTATTTTTAGTAGAGACAGGGTTTCACCATGTTGGCCAGGCCGGTCTCTAACCCCTTACCTCAGGTGATCCACCCGCCTTGGCCTCCCAAAGTGCTGGGATTACAGGCATGAGCCACCACGCCTGGCCTCTCCCTTCTTTTTTACTCCCCTGGCTAAATCCCAAGTCGAGCTAAACCCAGCTATCCACCCTCTCCATGCCTGCACCAGCGACTGAACGTTCCTGTAGAAAACCACAAAGCCAGTTTGACTCCTTGCATTTTCAACTTACAACCACAAGCTCTAGCCAGGCCCTCAACAGCATCCTGTGCCCTCCCTACAGACGCAGTAAAGTTGTCACTTTATTCCCTCAGGCTGCCATGGTATGCTTTTCCCTGCACCTCAGCCTCCCCAACACCCTCAGCTCATTGCCTTGTCTCTCCATCCATCAGAAAACAAGGTGTTGGGGAAAGCCCTCAAATTGTTTTTCCTCTGCTCTCCATCCCAACAATCCCCAACACAGAAGACTTCTGTGACCAAATGTGTGGGGGTGGGGTGGGGGGTTCTCCCCACCATCAAGCAATCAGCTCTGCAGCAGACACCAATGGGGTATCCTCCAATTCAACTCCAACACTGTCTACCTGGAGATAAACTCAGATCCCACTGGGTGAGGGCTCAGTCCCAAGACTGCCCTCCACAGCCAGACACCAGTTGCAAGTCCAGGCCCCGGGGGAAATTCTGGCCACCCAGCTTCAAGTTGAGATTCCCACCACCCACCTACTCTTTGAGTTTGATTAATTTGCTGGAGTGGCTCACAGAGCTCAGGGAAACACTTACTTATGTTTACAGTTTATTATAAAGGATATTACAAAGGATACAGATGAAGAGATACGTAGGGTGAGGTATGGGGGAAGGGCCGCAGGGCTTATATGCCCTCCCCAGGCACCACCCTCCAGGAACCGCCACGTGTTCAGCTATCCAGAAGCTCCCAGAACCTGGTCCTCCTGGGCCTTTTATGGAGACTTCATTGGATAGACGTGACTGTTAACCACATAAAATTTTATTTATTTATTTATTTATTTATTTATTTTACAGAGTCTCACTCTGTTTCCCAGGCTGGAGTGCAACGGTGTGATCTCGGCTCACTGCAACCTCTGCCTCCCAGGTTCAATCGATTCTCCTGCCTCAGCCTCCCGAGCAGTTGGGACTAAAGGCGCCCACCACCACGCCCAGCTAATTTTTGTATTTTTAGTAGAGACAGGGTTTCGCCACATTGGCCAGGCTAGTCTTGAACTCCTGGTATCGAGCAATCTGCCCACCTCAGCCTCCCAAAGTGCTGGGATTGCAGGCACAAGCCACCATGCCCGGCCAACAACCATGTAAAAATTTAATTGGACAAAAAGGGTATGATCTGGATGCAGAACGGCCTGCCTGTTCAGATTCTTCTTGGCCTCTCTCTGCAGCATTCCTTCCTCCTGGGTATGAGGGCGGGACCCACTCTGGAATAAAGGTTTCATGACCCATAGTCAGATCAGAGTCTTGCCTTGGGCAGGTGAAAAGCGGGCAGGAGAAGGTCAGAGACAGAGAGATTCTGTTTACAGTAACAAGGGCTATGGGAGTTATGAGCCAGGGACCGGGGATGAAAACATACATATACAAAAGCAAACAGGAACTCGTTAACTTCCCACCACCAAATCTACCGGCTTCCCTCACTCTCATCTCATGTTCTCTGCCCTCCCTCCATGTATGTTGGGAGAAGTGTTCCTGCTCCCATAAGAGGCCAAACCATTCGTCTCGTGAATCCCAGCCCCTGACCTTCTCAAGGCCTTCATTCTGGAAGTCACCCTTCTGTTCTGAGTTATCCATGAATACCCCCACATTAGATCATGCCCTTCACTGTGCACTCATGCATGCTCCGCTGTCTCCTGCCCTTACAAATGAAAGACCCCACTCAGCCCTGCATGCCCATCCAGCCACTGCTCTGTGCACCTGCTCCTGTGCACAGTACTCCTCAAAGAACGGTTTGTGCCCACTCCTCCGTTCCTCTCCTCCCACTCACTCTCCAACCACCCCAGTCTGGCTTCTTATCCAGGTCACCAGTGACCACCTCACTGTTGTCAAACCCTCCACTCATGTCTGTATGCTTCTCCCGTGTGACTCCCGGGGCCTCAGGACTCACCTGGCCTCTGTCCTGTCTGTGGCGCCACATCCACCCTGGCTTGCCTCCTCCCTGGCCACTCCTCCTCCATGTCCACTGCAGGGCTCCCCGCCTCTGCCCGACTCTAACATTGGCATACCCCAGAATGCCATCCTCTGCCCCTCCTCAATATCTGTATCCCCTCCTACATTGCCTCTTCCTTTCCTCTTAAACACCGATGACTCCCAGATTACATCTCCAGCCCTGACCCTTCACCCTGCCGAGAGACTGATGATATCCAACTGCTGACGCCATCTCTCTGCTGAGTTGTCTAATCAGCATCGGCTCAAAGGAGAACCCCACCCCACCCCCCAACTCACCCCACCCCCACCAACCCCTGTTCTTACTCAGTCTCATCTAACAGCCCCATCCTCCTCCCACTCACTCCAGATCCTTGATCCACCTCTTCCTTTCAGCCCTGCGGCAGCAGCAACCTGGGATGCCAAGTCCAAAGGCACCAGCACCATTGCATCTGTCTGCTCTGCCACCACCCCTGGGTGTAAGCCCCTTCTTCCCCCTGTGACGCTGCACCAGCCTCCTGAATAGCCTCCCACTCCCACTCCTGACCCTCTGCCGCCCATTCCCCGCAACCAGGCAGCCACAGCAATTCTGTTAAAATGTAAATCAGACCATGGGATCCCTCTGCTCAAATTCCTTTAATGGCTTTTCATTGCACTTAGAACCAAACCCCTTGCAAGTGACAGAAAACGCAACTCAAACTGCCTTAAATGATAAAGAGTAATTTATTGATAGCAAAATGGCTGAGGCTGCCGTCTACCTCGCAGGTTCACATCTCAACATCCAGCATAGCCTTTTTCTAAGGGCCACAAAGGGGCTGCATAGACTGGCAGCAGCCTGGCCGTTCAGTTGATTCCTTGGTCCCTAGGGGCTCTGTCCTCCTTGAGGATTCCATTGTGTCCCCTGTCTGCAGCAGCTGCCCACCTCTCCCACTCCTTCTCTGCACCCCAGATCTCCCAGGGGCCCACGACCCGCCCTCAGCCTCTGCTTGTCTTGTCCCAGGCCCCTGCTGTGAGCTGAGCAGCGTTTTACTGTTGCACACGCCCTAGCCAGGCTCCGGGAGGGGGTGCCTGCTGTGCCCCTCCCTATCCTGTCTCTGCCCTCACCTCTTACAGGAAAGGGGCCTGCACACAGGTGCCACTGCAGCCCCCCGTGAAGGGCTCACTCCTTGTTTGTTAGTGTGTGTGTCTGTCCACATCAACAATGGTACCACACGGGGACATGTTCCTTCTATTAAAGAACAGCCAAGGCCGGGCGCGGTGGCTCACGCCTATAATTCCAGCACTTTGGGAGTCCAAGGTGGGTGCATCATGAGGTCAAGAGTTTGAGACCAGCCTGGCCAACATGGTGAAAGCCCGACTTTACTTAAAAAAAAATATATACAAAAATTAGCCAGGTGTAGTGGCGTGTGCCTGTAATCCCAGCTACTTGGGAGGCTGAGGCAGTAGAATTGCTTGAACCCAGGAAGCAGAGGTTGCAGTGAGCTGAGATCACGCCACTGCACTCCAGCCTGGGCAACAAGGCAAGACTCTGTCTCAGTGAAAAAAAAAAACAGCCAGGAAACAGGCATCCTTCAGAGCCCCCTTCATACCACAGCTGCCTGGGATGACAAAGCCAGGAAGAGGGGAAACCTGGTCATGCACGAGGTGCTGTGTCCTGGGCCTGCCTGGAGCTAGGTCAAGCCTGCCTGAGGCCAAGCCAGGCCCACACATCAGACAGGCACCGTATGGTCTCAGATTCTCACAGGGAACATATGCCCTGAGCAGAAGTGCCCTCCTGTGCAAGACAGCCCTCTCTACCCTGCAGATTCGGCCCCTTCTGCTGAGCGAGTGTGATGGATTACTTCACCTCTTGGGATTTCAGGGTTTTGTGTGTAAAATGAAGGGGTCTCGGAGCTGGGGTAGGCAGCCCCACAGACAGATGTGCCTCTGCTCTGGGGTGTTTGCTCTGGAACTGTCATACAGGGCACAGAAATCTTCCCTGTCCAAAATCCTCCCAGCTGCCACCAGAGGTCTCTTCCCAAAATGTCAAAAGGATCATGTCGGGCCATTCACTCTCTTAAAACCCAGTGCTTAGAAGAGGAAGTCTGAATCCCTCAGCAAGGCTGTGGGGACCGAGGTGCCTCTGTAGCCTCATCTCCTCCCGCTCCTCCTGCAAGCTGATGGCCAGCTGAGCAAGACACCCTGCACTTCTCTGACCACACCCCTTGTCTCCAGGCCACCATGCCTTTGCTGGGGCCATCCCCTCTGCTTGCAATCCCCTTGCCTCTTTGCCCTACGTCTCCACTTGCACAATCTACTTCGTAAGTGAGCCTCTGCCCACATGGCCCCTGTGCATCCTTGACTACCCCACCCCCAAATCAGAATTCAGGACCCCTCACTAAGCATCCATGGCACTGGGTCCTACTCCTGCTGTACCCAGTACTTATCACGTGTCATGCATGGTGTCTATTTTCATACTTCGAGAGCCCCTGGGTGCCAGGCAGCACAAGGGAGACAGCGTGGGCCTCAGAGTCCAGCAGGCCTGCAATTGATTCGGGCTGAGTCACCTACCAGCGCCAGTAACAGCTGATCACTGTCACACACAGGCTTCAGGCAGGCTGCCCATGCATGCATTCTCCCAGCGTCCTTCACCCTGTGGACAGCAGTTCCCATGTGTGCCCTCCCACAGCCACCCTCTGAGTCACAGGCCGGGCAGCTCCGCCCACCCTGGCAGGTACCCAGCAGCCCTGGGCTGCAGACTCCCCTCATACCCGGCATATTTATCCCGCTAATGAGTTCTTAAAGCTCTAACAGGGCTCTTTCCACTGAGCAGGTTCAGTAACAGATTCTTATAAAAAATAAATTCAGCACATTAAACCCAGATTTCAGCATATTAGTAGACCCATGGGGAGGGGCCTGAATTTACCAAACACTAGGCAGTTGCTGTCTTTTAATTAAAAAATAATGATGACAAGCTCATGTAATGTCTGGTCCCTCCCTAAGAAAGATTTTCTGATTTCCCATGTCAGACGTTTCCATGGAAAAACCAAGTGTTTATGTCAGGACAAAAAAAAAAAATCCCTGAATGTCTGGAAACAAGAAGCCTTCCCTGCTTGGCTCCTCTGGTGCCAACCCCTCAAACACCTTCCTCCCTCCCCTTATCTGACTGCTGCCTTGAAGGTGTCGGTGAGATTTTATGCCTGTGTGAGCATGTGGTCACCGCCGACCAGAGTCTAAAGGAGCCCAGCTCCATCTCACCACGCTATTCACTCATCCCTCTGTACTCCGCTCGTGCAGACACTCGCCCACTGGCTGAGGTCACTGCGTGCTAGGGGCGAGACATCCACAGATGCCCAAGGCAAGGTCTCTGGCCTTTGGGAGCTCAAAATCTAAGATGCCAAGAGCCACGATAGAGGAGTGCCCAGGGTACCCTGGAGGCAGAGAGAAGGGTGAGTGTGTCCAGGACAGGCTCCCAGGAGAGGCACTGTGGAAGGAATGGCCACTGAGCTGGCTCCTGAGGATGAGTGGAGGGAAGAGAGGGAAGGGGACTTCAAGTCGAAGGGACTGTCCACGCAAAGGAACTGAGGCACACAAGACAGGAGAATGTGGAGGAAGCGCTGCCAGAGCCCAAGGGGCAGGGTGCCGGGGAGGTACGTGGAGCTCTGCATGCACGAGGCTTAAGCTGGACAGTCAGGCAATGCCAACCCCCCGACCTTGCTGTTCTTAAGCTGCGCTCAGCCCCAGAACCTGTTGGGATTAGAGAGGAAGCAAAGCCGTATTTGGTTTCTCTAGCAAAATTATGAATCATCATCTTGCATTTCCATTTCATGCCCAGTTCTGGGCCTGAAGTTCCCCACAAATTCCATCCTTACTCCTAGTAGCCACACAGTGGGAGGGGACTTCAGGAGGTGGGCGGAGCATGTGTGACTCAGGAACGGGAGTGACATACTAAATAACTCAAGGCTAATGAGGGAGCTGAGCCAGAAGCATGTCCCAGGTCCTCTCCACATACTGCACGTTCCCTAGACTCCATCCTTCACCTTGGACACACTCTGTGGGGCAAGACTCCCATGGGGATATGCTATGAGCAGCCCTCTCACAGTGCTGGACTCCCATGCGGACTGCATCCCCCTTCCTCTAGGTGGATCTCTAGGGAGAAAGAATCAGGCTGTTGCAGGGGCAGGCACAGAAACCATGTCGCCCTAGCCCAGCAGGTGCAGTCTCCACCACCTAGAAGGACACAGGCAGGCGCGGTCCCTTGAGAAGTCCTTTGCCATTCCAGAGAGAATCTTTCCCAACTGAAAAATGCCCCTGACCACTTTTCCGGACCAGATCTCATTTTGGCCCATCTCCCTCAAGGTGCAGTCCTGAGAACTAACCCAGGACTGCAAGGGAGACTGCAGGAGCAAACCCACAGCAACTGGGGGCGAACCAATTCAACAGGAACAGCAGCACCAACGCTGCAAGGGCTGGTTTGCAAGGAGGGTCCCTGCTGCTAAAATCTCCTGTCTCCTCCACACAGGGGTTCCCCCTTGGAGGATGCAGCCCTACAGAGAACGGCTGTACCTCAGGGCCAACACCTGACCCACCCACAAAGACCACGGATTCTTTGGTCATGGGCCACAGAGACACGAAGGGGAGAAACCGAGGGTACCCAGCCACACCGAGGGGCACCAACCCACAAAGCAGAAGTCAGGAGAGATGTGAAGCCATCTGGTCAGAGCAGGAAGGGTGGAGCCTGGGTGCCACCCTTGGCTCTGTCTGAAAACATGCAGGAAAGCACTCAGTGCACAGCACAGGCCTCCGCAGTTCTCAGTAACTCCTTCTCAGTCTTTATCAAGCCTGAGTTAAAGAACGTCTAGGTGTTGTTATCCAAAGATCCCTAAAACTGGTGCTCCCTACCTGACCATTATAATCAAGATTTCTGGATTCCAGGGCAGGTGAAACTCAATCAACAGTTCTCCTCCCTTTCATTCAAAATCCATTGCCACTGTTGTTTCACACAAGACAGAGGTAGTTAAGAGCCTGGGCCCTAGAGTCAAATGGTGCATATTAAAATCTCATCACTTCTTCGCTGTGTGACCTCTGCCAAGTTACTTAACGTCCCTGAGTCTGTTTTCCTCATACACAAAAGAATGGTTAATAATAATCGTACGTCAAAACACCTCGAATAGTGCTTACTACAATACGGCAATTACTCATTCCATGCCAGTTACTATTGTTATTGATAGTGGGCTACATGGTAGGATTGTTGGCAATTTCCACCCTCTTACATTTGCCTCACTGTATTTTTTAAACTCTCTTCAATGAGCACATATCACTTTATAACAAGAAAAAAATGTATCTTAGGAAAATAACCTTCAATTAAATTCACTTAATATAGTTTCAGCCAAATGAACACCCTTAACGACTAGAGATAAGGCAGTTTTGAGGGAAAGAGCTCCATTTCTGGTTTGACTACATAAGGACGTGTAGTAAGAGATGCACAAAAGGGCTCAAAGCTGTGGCTGAACAGTGGGAACCCTGCAGAGAGCCACAGGAAACCGGCCAGTGACCCCGCGGGCCAGGCCTGTATGTCCCCTGGTTTGTTCACAGCTGGCCTCTGGCCAGCTGTGAGGCCTTCAGTCAGCTGCGTAAGCTCCCTGCCTCAGTTTCCCCATTCACAAATTAGAGAAAGCGGGAACCCTGCAGCACACGGTTGTTGTGACAGTGGACCACACTGAGCGCACCCTGGGAGTCCGGGCTGTGCTCAACAAGCCTCAGGTCCCCTTGCCCCTAGGTCTTCAGTTTCATCTTATGGTCCCTTAGTGGAAAAGGACAAATATGGCTTCAATGAATCCACTGAAGAATCTCTGTTGATTCTTTCTAACCCTCCTTATCCAGCCTTAACCTCTCACATGTACATTAGGACCAGAGCTCTGATGACCCACAAGACACCTCCTTTCCATGTCCCCGTGGTAACTCAACCCTAGGAAACATCACAAGGTAGGGGGTGGAGGGACACAACTTCCTAATAACAGCTGTGCTGAAATGTCCAGGTTGAAAACAAATAGTACTCTTTAGCCTGTAATCCCAGCACTTTGGGAGGCCGAGGCAGGTGGATCACCTGAGGTCAGGAGCTCAAGACCAGCCTGGCCAACATGGTGAAACCCCGGCTCTACTAAAAGTAGAAAAATTAGCCAGATGTGGTGGCACATGCCTGTAATCCCAGCTACTCAGGAGGCTGAGACTAGAGAATCGCTTGAACCCTGGAGGCAGAGGATGCAGTGAGCCAAGATCATGCCACTGCACTCTAGCCTGGGTGACAGAGCAAGACTCCATCTCAAAAAAAAAAGTATAAAAATAGTATTATTTAACCACTTTGTTAAGGTATGATTGACATGTAAAAGACCATACATATTTAATGTATACAACTTGATGAGTTTGGGGACAAGTATACACTGGTGAAACTACTATCACCACCAAGGCCACAGACACATCCATCAGCTCCCACAGTTTCTCTCACCCTCTTTATAACTATTTTCATATGTCTATGGTAAGAACGCTTACTATCAGATCCATCCTCTCTGCAAATTCTAAGTATAGAACACAGTATTGTTAGCTATGGGCACTATGCAGCGCAGCTCGCCAGAACTGACTCGCCTTGCATAGCTGAAGCTTTGTGCCCTCTGACCAACAACTCATTTCCCCTCCCCACCAGCCCCTGACAACCATCATTCTACCCTCTGCTTCTGTGAGCTATTTTAGATTCCACATGTAAGTGAGATCATACAATATTTGTCTTTCTGTACCTGGCTTATTTCACTTAGCACACTGTCCTCCAGGTTCATCCACGTTTTTGCAAAGGTAGGATCTTCTTCTTTATTAAGGCTGAATAATATTCACTGTATGTGTGGACCACATATTCTGGATTCCATTCTTCCAAGAGGAACACTCTCTTGGCTATTGTGACTAGTGCTGCAATGCACATGGGAATGTAGATATCTCTTCAAGATCCTGATTTCAATCCCTTTGGATAAATACCCAGAAGTGGGATTACTGGCTTGTATGGTAGTTCTATTTTTAATTTTTTGAGGAACATACATTCTCTTTTCTTTTGAGATGGAGTCTCACTCTGTCACCTAGGCTGGAGTGCAGTGGCGTGATCTCAGCTCACTGCAACATCCGCCTCCCGGGTTCAAGTAATTCTCCTGCCTCAGCCTCCCGAGTAGCTGGATTACAGGCACACACCACCATCCCCGGCTAATTTTTTTGTATTTTTAGTAGAGACAGGGTTTCGCCATGTTGGTCAGGCTGGTCTCGAACTCCTGACCCTCAGGTGATCCACCTGCCTCAGAAAAGTGCTGGGATTACAGGCTTGAGCCACCACACCCAGGCCTAGTTTTTTTGTTTTTGTTTTTGTTGTTTTAACTTTTAGGTTCAGGGGTACATGTGCAGGTTTATTATACAGGTAAATACATGTCACAGGGTTTGATGTACAGATTATTTCATCACCCAGGTACTAAGCCTAGTACTCAATAGTTTTTTCCGCTCCTATCCCTCCTCCCACCCCATACTGTTTTCCATAATGACTACCAATTTACATTCCCACCAACAGTGTACGGGGGTACACTTGTACCAGCTATGAGGCTTTCAGCCAGCTGTGCAAGCTCCCTGCCTCAGTTTCCCCATTCACAAATTAGAGAAAGCAGGAACCCTGCAGCACAGGGTTGTTGTAACAATGGACCATAAAAAGCATATGCTGGGAGCCTAGGCTGTGCTCAACATGCCTCAGTTTCCCCTTCCCCTAGGTCTTCAGTTTCCTCTTTACAGTCCTTTGCTGAAAAGCAGCCATAAAAAGGTCTTCTTTTCTCCACATCCTCACCAGTATTTGTTATCTTCTGTCTTTTTTTATTATGGCCATCCTAACTCTTGTGAAATGTCATCTCATTGTGGTTTTCATGTGTGTTTCCCTGGTGATTAGCAATGTTGAGCATCTCTTCATATACCTGTTGGTTATTTATGTGTCTTTGGAGAAATGTCTATTCAGATCCTCTGCCCATTTTTTAATTGGGTTGTTATTTTGCTGTGAAGTTGTAGGAGTTCCTTATATATTTTGGATGTTAATCCCTTATCAAATATATGGCTTGCAAATATTTTCTCCCATGACATACGTTGCCTTTTCATTTTGTTGATTGTTCCCTTGGCTGTGCAGAAGCTTTCTTGTTTGATGTAGTTCCACTTGTTTATTTTTGCTTTTGGTGCATATGCTTTTGGCATCATACCCAAAAAATCACTGGCAAGACTAATGTGAAGGACCATTTTCCCTATGTTTTCTTTTAGGATTTTTATGATTTCAGGTATTATGTTTAAGTCATTAATCCATTTTCAGTTAATTTTTAGGTATGGCATAAGATATAGGTCCAATTTCATTCTTTTGCATGTGAATATCCAGTTTTCCCCACACCATTTATTGAAGAGACTGTCCTTCTTCACTGTGTATTCTTGTGCCTCTGATGAAGATTAGTTGACCACATATGTGTGGATTTATTTCTGGGCTCTCTATTCTGTTCCATTGGTCTATGTGTGTTTTTATGCCAGTACCATATTGTTTTAATTACTACAGCTTTGTAATATAGTTTGAAATCAGGAAGTATGATGTCTCCAACTTTGTTTAAGACTGTTTTGGCTATTTGAGGTATTTTATGGCTCCATATGAATTTTAGGGTTTTTTTTTCTCTTTCTGTAAAAACAAATGCCTTTGGAATTTTGATATGGATTACATTAAATCTGTAAATCACTTTGAGTAGTATAGACATTTTGACAATATTAATTCTTCTAATCCATGGGATATCTTCCAAAATATAGGATACCTTTCCGTTTATCTTCTCAAGGGTATTTTTTTGGCCAGGCGCAGTGGCTCATGCCTGTAATCTCAACACTTTGGGAAATCAAGGCAGGCAGATTGCTTAAGCCTGTTCAAGACCAGCCTAAGCAACATGGCAAAACCCTGTCTCTACAAAAAAAATACTAAAATTAGCCAGGCGTGATGGCACACCTGTAGTCCCAGCTACTTGAAAGGCTGAGATGAGAGATCACTTGAGCCCAGGAGGTCGAGGCTGCAGTGAGCCATGGTCACACCACTGCACTCCACCCTGGACGACAGAGCAAGGCGCTACCTCAGAAAAAAAAAAAGAGTATTTTTCCTGACACCTACCTGTTATGGCCTTTTTGGTTGCAACAGCTTATCCAGGTCAACTGACAAATGTTATTGAAGACTTACTCAAAAGGCTTACTCAGAAATAGATAGGACAGCTCCTGCCCTTAAGAAGTACCTAATCTTCTGGGCGAAACTGACACAGGAATAAATAGTTTCAACACACCGTGATAAGTGCTCCAATATAACTGTTCAAAGTGTGATGCTGGCTCAAAGGAGGGGTCAATCAGCTCTGCTCTGAGGGGATGGATCAGCAAAGACTTGAGCTGGGTCTTAGAGGATGAGCAGGAGTTCAGCAGGTGGGTAAGGAGGTAAAGACAGAGCTGCACCGGCAAGGGCCCAGATGTGTGAACTAGCACAGCACATTCCGGTAGCTGCGCCTCAGTCCAGGGGCAGGGCCCCAGGCTGCAGGGCAGTATGTGGTAAAAATATGCTGGAGAGAGAGGCTGGGGCAGGTTGGAGAGGGCCACGTGTAGCAGACAAACAGCTGTTCTTTGTTTTGTTTTTAAGAGACCGGGTCTCACTCTCACCCAGGCTGGAATGCAATGATTTGTGATCACAGCTCTTCAACTCCCAGGCTCAAGAGATCCTCCCACCTCAGCTTCCCAAAGTGCTGGGATTACAGGCATGAGCCACCGTGCCTGGCTGTTCTTGATATTTTTTGAGTCCAAAGTCCTCTTTGAAAATCTGATGCAAGCTATTGTCCTTGTACCCAAAAATGCCTATACTGTACTCACATCTTTGCATATAACTCAGGAAGCTTCCCACCCCTCAACTCTACCAATGATCCCCTGGGTGTTAGTGAGCCTCATTTTTTTGTTGTTTGTTTTTTATTTTTTATTTTATTTATTTATATATTTTTTGAGATGGAGTCTCACTCTGTTGCCTAGACTGGGGCGCAGTGGCACGATCTCTGCTCACTGCAACCTCCATCTCCTGGGTTCAAGCGATTCTCCTGCCTCAGCCTCCCAAGTAGCTGGGATTACAGGTGCGCACCACCATGCCCGGCTAATTTTGTAGTACAGACAGGGTTTTGCCATGTTGGCCAGGCTGGTCTCGAACTCCTGACCTCAAGTGATTCGCCCCCCTCAGCCTCCCAAAGTGCTGGGATTACAGGCATGAGCCGCCACGCCCAGCCGAGCCCCAAGTTTTAAGCTCCCATGAGGATCCTAAGGAAGACACCCTGGTAATATGCCCCTGTCCCTTTGCCAGACCTGTCAGATGGCTCAGACCCTGCGCTCTGTGGTTTGAATGATTAAACCCTAAAAGCATCTCCATGCACTTTCCCACATCCAAGCTGCCCTCCTCTTACCTGGCTGCTTGCCCAGGACTGTGAAGCCTTTCTATGGTGTCTCCCTAGAGACCTGGAAGAGCCTCCTGCAAACCTGGCAGTCACCTTGTGAGCACCTTTCTTGTCATTTATATACATGCTCAATAAACCTAGGCCCAGCCCCAGCCCAGGAAACACTCCCTTCTTGGTCCAATAACTCCCACGATTCGCTGCCTGTCACAAACAGCTTCTCCACTGTGACAAAGTCCTAGCCCCAGCCCCGTGATAACTCAATTATTTTAACATTGCATTTGGTGGGTAACCTTGAAAAGGCCTTTGAAAGCCAAACAGATTATAGCTGCTGTTTCCCTTTATCTGGCTGCCTATTTAGCCCTCCAGGAGCTCCATTAAGCCATCCTGGCACACATTTTCTTTGCAGAAACCCACCGTCCAGCCCCCAATGGAGGCGTTTTGCTTGTGTGTTTGGTGACTCTGTTCAGCTGGGAGATGCTGACATGGCTTCAAATATTTAACCAGTTTAAAGACATATTGGTAATGGCAATAACTTTGCTGATGGCCATTCAAATTAAACTCCAGATCAAATAAGATTTGTTGAACCTAAAATACTAATTAACTCCCTGGCCAGCTTCCTTCACAGCCGATGGCCACATGGGGCAGCTGTGTGTCCTGGGAAGAGCACTGAACTTGGGAGTCCATCTGCAAAGGGGAAAATAGTGCTTATTTTCATCATGTGGTTGTGAAAAGCAAATAAGATCATGTTCGCACAAGTGGTTCCTTTTGTGACCTATTACGAAGTGGATACGAACATAAGGGATCGTTATCATTTGTAGTTAAAGATGCTCCCGGCTCACCCTCGGGGGTCTGCCCTGGGATTTGCCAGACCTGTTCTTCGCCAGGCCTGTTCTTCAGAAGCTCTTGAGGACAGAGGAAACACAAGTTGGGTAACAGGCCCAGGACTGTCCCACAGGCCCCCCAAAACCACCCAGCATCACCAAAGAGGCTGTCCTCTCCTCCCACAGGGAGCAAGCTGGTCCCTTTGAGGGGTACCTTCCCCTAATAGAGTGTTCCCTGTGCTGCCTCCGAAATCTTAGAGAGTTCCCCCCAGCTGCAGTCTCGGCTGGGTGCCTCTCACTTGCTTTGGAGGTGGCCCTGGCCTTGGGTACACCCAAGAAGCTTTGGGGGCAGGTGGTCAGCACCACTTTTCTTCTCTCATACAGAATTTCCCAACCTGGAGAGTGAAGAGAGGAGAAATGTCTAATCTGGTCCCTGGCTCAGCAAGGACACTAGGCCTTCTCTCTGGCACTTCCCTTGGGAAGATGCCAGTCATTCCTGAAATACAGTTAGAGCCCTGAGCCCCCAGCCTGGCATCAGCAGAGTCACCCTACAGACTTCCTTGTCAATATGTTGCATTGGTTTGCCAATGCAGAAACCCAGCCCTTTCCTTTTCCTGACCTCTTCCTCCTCTGAGGACAGATAGGTAGTTACCCAGGAGGGCTGCCAGTTTCAAGATCTCAGACCAGCAGCAACCCTGAGAACATGGCCCGTCTCTGCACTTCAGGCAGAGAAGGGACCCGAGGCAGTCTGCCCAGCCAGCCGTAAGCGGCCAGGAAGCCAATGATAATGGCTAATGCAATACATGCAATTTCATTACTAATGTGAAAATTGATTCTAACTCACGGAGAAAGGAAAGGGAAATCTGCTTGGAATGTTAAGTCTCAAGGATTTGGAATGGCTGGATGTGCCTGTGCTGGGAGAGGAGGCCTTTTACAATGTACACCCCCTGGGGAGGGAATCAGACACTTTGGTGGAGCAGGGGTTGGGGGTCGCCTGGACATTTTTGAGTTCCCTGAAGTTCCCCACCTGTAGTCAACTACTGTTCTCCCCTCTTTCTTCCCCAGGAGGAGGTGCCATCTCCAGAAACAGGTCCTCTCCCACTGCCCTGACGCCCAAGTGATGCGCGGCCCTGTCTTGGAAAGCAGCCTCGTCCTGGGGACAAGCACACAGCGGGAGGGATGGGATGCGTGCCGCTCCAGAGGCCGTGAGCAGGTCAGGCCGGAAAGCAAGCATCTTCGTATTCCTAAGGAAAGACTTCTGTCCTCGTTAGAAAGTGCAATATAAGAAAGTCTGTGGCTGTGACACACTTTTGTTTATTAAGGCTAAATAACTAAGAAAAGATTTTTATTTAAACCTTGGCCATGGCCATACATCACGGACTTGCCATGTGGTTTTTCTTGTCATAGGATAGAGACACTTCCCTGCCCTCCACTCTAGGTCTATCCTCTCCACAAGGAAAACTCACTCAAGGTTTGTTTGTTGGTTTCTTTTTTTTTTTTTTAAGAACAAACAAGTATGTGTTCCAACCTGTTCACAGAAGAACATATATTTATTCTACAACAGATCCCCTCATTCATTACTGAGCATCTACTTTGCAGGTGGCACTGGGCCAAGACTGAAGCTGTAGGTAAAGGAAGCTGCACAGCGCGGCGAGGAGGAAGGCGCGTGCCCGTCCACAGTGCACCATGATCGCCCGCTACATAGGCGGGTGCAGAGCATCTGCAGGCCTAAGAAGGAATGATTAATTCCACCTCAGGGTTTCAGGGAGCTTCCAGGAGACATGTGTGTTTGCTTCCTTCACTGTGGGCATCCAGGTAGGACTCCCCCAGGCAGTAGAGAAGCTGCCTGGCAAGATCCCAGAGATCTCATTTGCACACACCCATCTATCTGCCTTCTGTTCATGCCCAATAAAGAGAAGGAGACATCCCTATTAAGGATGGTAGATTTGATTTTGAAGCTTCCTAAGAGGCTGAGGCCCTCTGCAGAGTTCCAATATCTCCGTCTCTGAGTTTCCGCCTCTGACCACAACCCCAAGGCTCTCATGCTTCCCAATCTCTCATTCCTAAAGAACCTGTGGACCAGGTCAAGAGAGGACGATGCAACCATGGAAGAGACAAGGGATCCTGCATGTCCACTAGTTGAAGGCAAAGAGTAAGGAACAGCAACATAAATAAGCTAGGCTCTCCTGTGGCCCTCGGAGTCTTTGAATCAGTTACCCTGAGTCCTCTGTCTTTTGAGGACACCTCCCAGGAAACAGGTCTCGGCTCCCTTGCCCTCTTGCCAGCTCTCTTCCGAAAGAACTGTGGACTTTATCAACGTGTCTCAGAGTGAGGCCCTACGCACTGGGCACAGTGCACCCAGAGCACATGCTCACAGGGTGGAGCATGGGGAGCACGCCCTAGGCCTCAACCCCTGGCCGCCTCCTCAGCAGGCGTCTGGGCCGGGCAGAGCTGGTGGTCAGCCTGCCTCCAAGTCCTCTGCCAATCAGGCCTCCCCCGCTCTGTTTACGTAATTGACTTTTTAGAACTCTAGATGCAGGACTCTTCCTTTGCTGGTGGTTAATTCCATCTTGTTGGTGTGGGTCCATTGTTCTTCCTATTGATCACTCCCCACTCATCCGGTAGGGTAGCTTCTTTCCCTGCCGAGCCTCATATCAATTGGATAATCCACCTTCTCCCTCCTCACCTGAGCCATCAATACATACGTCAACCAGAACAGGCCCAAGGACGACACCCTCTGGCACCAGAGACCCAAAGGAAGGGTTTGGTTAATATCTGTCACGTGACTAAGCGAGTACCTGAATAAATAAACAGATAAATGTGACCTCTCTCCAGGCCCCCCCAATCTGTAATCAATGTTCCAGGTCCAATTGTTCAACCAGCTCCGCATCCACCTGTCTGCAGCCCAGGGCGATGTACAGCTTTTCACCTTTTCTGTACAGACACCATCAGGCATTGGCTTAAGGCTCGCTGAAATTAAGACACCCCCCAGCTAAGACACATAGACTCGGAAAGCTTTTGAAACAGAGAAAAAGAGGTGGTTTGGGCCCAACTTGTCCTTCAGGAACTGCTGCCAGCCCCGCGAGCTCCTCTTTTGTGTTCTCAGAGCTGCAGGACCATCTGCTTCATACACTCTTTCGAATTGTTGCAGGAAAATAGCCTAACACTTATTGCTTTAGAATACTTTTTAATCTACCTTTCTGTTCTTTGTGAAAACATCTGCCTGACTTGATTTTTGGCACCTCTCACCTTCTTAGTGCTACACACAATACTTCAAGGATGGCTTTATAATCTTCCACTGCTCCCCTAAGCCTGACATGAGAGTTCACCTGTGTCTACCTTCTCGTCTTTTTCCACCCCTGGCTTGAGCCCAGCATGAGATACATGCAGCGAGATGGCCAGGAGGAACCAGTGAAGCGTGTTGGGACTGTATTCATGCACGTGTATACCTACCCTGGAAAAGGTACAGTGATGCCTACTGACTGAAGGCAGGCACAGTGTCACTTTCATATCTTAAGGACTGCATGTTACATGGGAGCAAGGTAGGAATAGGTGCAGCAATGCAAATGTGCACAGATACACACATAAAAAATGCAACGTTCACTCAGTTGCTGCTATACTAATACTAATGTGCTAGCCCACTGCCCGTGCTCAGGTAGTAAGTGTTTCATGCATTTTAACTCATTTAATCCTCGCTACAGTCCTGTGAGGTGGGGGATGTAGAACCGGGATCCCGAGCTGTCCTGCTCCTTTGTCCTTTAGTGACCTTGCCCTACACACCCTGCCTAGCCAGCTCCTTCCCTCCTACATGCCCACTTCTAGGCTGTTCCACAAGTGTGGTGCCTGGACAGTGTCACCTCCCTGCCCTCAGCACTGCTCCAGGATCCTGGGTGGGGGTCCCGGCCTGCTCCCTACCCCCTCCTTTTACAGGCTTTTCCAAACTCCTTCTTCCCTCCTTCCCTCCCTCCCTCTTACCTCCCCCTTCACACTCCCCTCTTCCTTCCTTGAGACCACCAAGGCCCCCAAGCCCTCCCCAACCCTCCCTGCAAAGATCTGCACCCCCCTTCCCTCTTCCCTCTGGTCCCAGGAGGTTCTTCCCTGGATCCCCCACCTCCTCAGGACCCCCATCTGCCACCCACCAGGCTCTCTCCCGGGTGTGCTGGAGCCTGCTCAGACAGGCTCACAAGAGTGGGCCGTACACACCTCTTCCCAGCTCCGCATTTAGTGACATCACGTTGGCAACTTAAAATTGACCATGGTATTTACACCGTGGAAATCAGCAAACCCTACAAGTCAGGGCTTCCCCCAGGAGAGCCCGCTGTTGAATACCGGCCAGCTTACTGCAGGGAGTAAACTCTCCTAGGGCAACCAACCATCAGGTTTGCCCGGGATCATCCTGGGTTTAGCACTGAAGTCTCGTATCTCAGGAAGTTCCGCAGAGCTGGGCAAACCAGGATGGTTGGTCACCCTAACCTCTTCATCCCTGCTGAGTGTCCCCCATTGGGAAGTGCTCCCTCAAACCTCTGCCTCTGCTCCCAGGGGTTTTCCTGGTCTCTCCTCAGCTGGGCTGCAGAGGCCATCTGCCTGTCCCCATGTCCCCTCTGGACCTGTCCAATGCTCTTCTGCTATGGCAGTCACCTCCTTCCCACACCCAGGAAGAGCACCAATGACCTCCCAGTGGCCAAATCCACTAGACACTGTATGACTCTTACTGTACTTACTACAGCGTTTTCCACCATGGACTATCCCCCATTCTACCTGGGTTTCTGAGCAACCTCTCTCCTGGCTGTGCTACCCGTGGCTGTTTCTCCTGATCTCTTTTGTGGACTCAGGCCCCAGCGTGCACGGTTCTCAGCGCTCCGTCATCAGCTTCTCTTTGGTCGCGTTAAACATTCTTTCGAGGGGAGCTCATTAAAGCCCCTGTGCCCCCTACTTGCCCTAATTTCAAAATCCCCAGCCCCACCACTTGTCTCTATCCTGGGCTCTGGGTGTGTGCACTCAATTCCACATAGATATCCCTCAGTCACTTCAAAGCCAACCAGTCTAAAATGGAACTGAATCCGTCACCTTCTTCTGCAATCTGGTCCTCCCATCTCCAGTGTCTTGGTAATTGACTCCAAACTGCCCCGAATGAAGAATCTGAGCCTCACGTAAACACCTGCCTTCCACCCACCACCCACCACCCACATCCACCAGCCCCTAGGTGTCCTGCGATTCTACCTCCTTTGTGCTTCTGGGCCCACACTCCCCTCTGTACCCCGGTGCCTGGCTCTTTTGGCAGGATCACTGCCAGGCTCAGCAGGTGCCTTCGTGCCTCCAGCCTGTGTCAGGGCCACCATCCTCCACATTACAGCCAGAGTGATTATTTTTATTTTTGAAAATAAATCTGGTCAAGCTATTTCTGTTTAAAATTTTTCAGTGGCTTTCAGTTGCTTTCCGAATAAAGTTAAAATGTTTTTGTTTTTGTTTTTGTTTTGAGACACAGTCTTGCTCTGTCACCCAGGCTGGAGTGCAGTGGGGCAATCTTGGCTCATTGCAACCTCTGCCTCCTGGATTCAAGCAATTCTCTGCCTTAGCCTCCCAAGTAGCTGGGATTACAGGCACGCACTACCACACCCGGGTAAGTTTTGCATTTTTTGTAGAGACAGGGTTTCACCATGTTGGCCAGGCTGGTCTCGAACTCCTAGCCTCAAGTGATCCACTCACCTTGGCCTCCCAAAGTGCTGGGATTACAGGTGTGAGCCACCACACCCAGCCAAGTTAAAACTTTTGAACGTACACATAAGACCCTCCATAATCCAGCTCTGCAGATGCCCCAATGACCCAACCCTGGTGTAACATCCTTGGGCCAGACAGCAGCAGTGAGGCAGCAGGGGCAATGGGAGAGCCAGCACCCCTGAATCAGACTGCCTGTGCCCATATCTCTAGGCTCAGCTATTAAAAGGGGCGCTAGCAGTACCTGTATGCAGGGTTGTTATAAGGACTAAGCTAGATAATACAAGGAAAGCCCTCAGAACTCTGCCCAATGCTTAGTGAGTGTGCAGTATATTATCATTCTGTAGATATTATTAACCCTTACCTTATTCTCTGCCATCTCTCACTCTAGAAGTCCCCTCTGACCCAGCTGTGACATGTGCTTTTCCCTCTGCTAGGAGGCTCTTGTCCTTTCCTTTGCCAGACTAATTCCTCCTTGTTTATTGAAATGCAGTTCCAACTGCAGTGCAGGTTACTCCTCCTCCAGGAAGCCTTCCATGCTGCCACATCTGATTTTACCGTTTTCTTCCATGTCTCTGCGCCCCCCTACATTGGCCTCCACCTTGGCACATCACACCGCATTGCATCATCTGTTTACTTCTCTGTCTCCACCACTAAGTACTGAACTCAGGAATGTGTCCCCTTAGTGCTGAACACAGGGCCTGGTGAATAGACGGATGAATGAGTGAATGAAGCCAGCAGCCCTACCGGGCTCATCCCCTAAGTCTCCAGGCACTGCCCTTCCCACTCCCTTCCAAGGAGAAGCCCAAAGCATCTAAAACCCCAAAAGAAAGGGGACAAAGACAGGCCGACTGTCTTTGTCCCGAGTCTCCAGATACTTCAGAAAACTCTGGTTGAGGGATGAATCACAGGAATCCACTTGGGAGGGACTAGTAACTGCAAGAAGGCCAAGGCCAGTGCCAGAAAGCAGAAGATGCTAATTATGAAGCCAGCGAAATGAAACCAAGGTTTGCGGGGTAGGGGAAAGAGTCCACACTAGAGCAAGAAAAACAAGGCAAAGCGAGCAAACTATTTAAGCAGCCAGCCGGCTCAGAGGGAGGAGGACAGATTAAATCAAACCTCTGACAGGCAATCAATGGACATTCAATTAACAGTTACAATATTATTAATTTACACAAAACGTCTAAACAATACCCTCTCCCCCTCTGAGAGGACTTTGATTCAATGCCTCTAAGCTGTTGGGACATTCCCTGACAATACCACAGGGCCACCCGACTCCTGGGTCCACACCCAGGGCGGACCCCCGGGCACAAGGGCAGCCGGATCAAAGGAAGCTGGGGGCGGGGTAGGGCCCACAGGGCTGCAGAGAGCTTAGCATGGAGCTGGGGGATGGATGTTCAAAGCAGCGAGTCCAGGTCACTTTGGGGGCTAGGGAGGAGCAACCAAGGACTCAGGAGGTCAAATCGGGACCATGCAATCACCCTTGTGCCAGCAGCCCAGGGCCTGAGTGGCCACAGGTACCCGGCTCCAGCTGTGGCTGTCTTGCTCCGTGTTCAATCGTGCACCTGCCAGGTGCGCTCCTGAATGGAGACCTTCCACCTGCCCCACATCCAGAGGTGGAAGCAGGGGGAGGGTCTCCATTTGGGAGTAAAGGGGAGAAGAAGGGTTGCCATCTGCTGCTCCACAGGGACATCCAAAGGTCACTGGTATGACATCCTTGGGCCACAACCATGAGGTTGCAAGGTGCTAAGAGAAACAGGCAGGCTGGGCACGGTGGCTCACACCTGTAATCCCAGCACCTTAGGAGACCAAGGCGGGTGGATCATCTGAGGTCAGGAGTCCGAGACCAGCCTGGCCAACATGGTGAAAACCCGTCTCTACTAAAAATACAAAAATTAGCTGGGCATGGTGACATGCACCTGTAGTACCAGCTACTCGGGAGGCTGAGGCAAGAGAATTGCTTGAACCTGGGAGGCAGAGGTTCCAGTGAGCCGAGACTGCGCCACTGCACTCCAGCCTGAGCAACAGAGCAAGACTCAGTCTCAAAAAAAAAAAGAAAAAGAAAAAAGAAACAGGCAGAGTTCAGCTGTAACCATGACCTTGGGCAGACCCCTCACTGCACCAGTCTCAGTTTCCTGATCCAGTAATATGGGATGATCCTGGCACCCACCCCAAGGCTGGTGTAAGCACTGGAGAGCACATGTACAGAGCATTGGAAACTCCTGGTGTCTAAATGATTATTTGGGCAGCGCTATGGAGCAGGTGCCTGTGGCAGGGGCAGACGACATGAAAGGAGGATGTGGGGAAGGAAAATGTCATTTCTCCTTCCATAAACAAACATGCATGAACCAGGCACAACAAGCTCTGAGTTTCACTCTTGATCTTTCTGGCCTTGATGGATGAATTATGAAAGAGGTTGTAGGGTAGCATTTACACATAAGAATCGCAAATCCACCCACATTTTCTAAGCCCTCCAAAAGTCTAGTCTTAAGCAAAGCACTCTCTCAAGGAAAGCAAGAGAGCTGTCTCCAAATATCTAAAGGGCTGTCACACCCTTCTGCTTAGACAGCTCCATCCTTCCGCTCCTGAGCCTATGATGGGAACCAGGAAGGACTCATCACCCCCACTCTGCAGAGAGGAAACTAAGTCCAAAGAAGTAAAATGACTTGATCAAAGTCACACCGTAGCAGATCTCCTTTTTGTGAACCGGCATTTTCTCCAGCCGATGATGCTCCAGAGACATCAGTAGGACACAGGTGCCGTCCACTGTAGGGAAGCGGGGTCTAACAATCAGAGTTCTCCTCATCCCAAAATGCCATCCAGCTCTGAATGAATCCCCTCCACACCCCAGGGCCATCTCTGTCTTCCTACATCACGGAACCTGTAGCAGGCCCCTTGGTTTTTCAGAGACTTAGAACCTTCTTAGGCCTCTGAACCCCATTCTCAGCCCTGCGTGGCAGAACCCAGTCCGCCCTGTAACGCGGTTGTCGAAGACAGAGGCTTCCGTCTGGAACCCAGGTTTGGGACTTTGCAGGAAATGGCTTCCCAAATTAAGGATTTTAAGCACAGATGACTGAAATAGATATTTGAAAGCTATTCACCCAGCCAACAGCCACCTCCTCAGCCTGGAGAAGCTGCCTCTGTTGGCAAATGTGCTTTCTGACAAATTTTACTGTGCAGACTAACGACTCACCAAACTGGACCAGAGTGCAGAGCTGCCCCCAGGATAAGTCCCCCTACCCCCACCCACACCCCAGCAAGGACCCATCTTCTAGAGCCTGCAATAGCTTGGGCTCCTGTCACTCTTCTCCATGAAATATCCTTCCCCTGGAGCCTCTCCCCACAGGCCATCGACCGATTCATTTGCTCACCATTATTTTTTAAACTCAAATTTTATTAGCAGTGGAGCATGAGTAATAAATACTAATACACTGTTTGCACTTGAATTAGCCCTACATGTCCTGGGACCACAGGGCTATTTGTCAAAGGCAGACGTTTCTCCACACCCGCACCTTGTGGTTGGCACACAGGCATTTCCAAGGTCAGGGACTCTCAGGCATTAAGCAAGAACATGGGGCCTCATAGGACTCACACTTGGGGCACCCTTACTCCTAAGCAGGCCACTGAGCCACCAGGAAGGAAGGGCAAGTGGAGCTGTAATGCTAGAAAAAGGAGAACGGGATCCTAGCTCTACTGCTTACCAGCTGTGTGACTCGGGGCATGCCAGTTTAACCACTCTGAACTTCTGTCTCCTCATCTATAAAACAGGTCAACAGCAGCTGCCTCCCAGGGTTGCTGGAGAGATTAAATGAGATGCTGGATGTGAAAGCACCTTTGTTGGAGAGATTAAATGAGATGCTGGATGTGAAAGCACCTAAAAGCAAGTGTACTTGCACACAGCGGGGATGGTGGTTGAGGTGGGAAAGGCAGGTTGCGAGAGAGGCTACTCCCTATCAGGAGTCAAGGGATACATTGAAATCATCTCCACCTTGTTTCACAGAAGGATAAGTGACAGACAGCACTTTTCCCACTTCCCCCACCACTCCCGACAGGGAACTTACATGTGTGACTATCCAAGGACATCTAAGAGACACTATTAGGCTGCATCTCTGTGCAGATGTCAGGAACCCAGCGCTGTGCAAAACAGATGTGGTCACTGGTGCCCAGGCTGGGCTCTAGGCTCGTCCCTGTAGTAACTGCTAGGGGCTCAGACTAAGGTGGAGGAGGTCACAGCCAAGGGCAATCCCTCTAATGTCGATGGGCACAGCGGCTGGGCTTGCTCCTCTCTTTGGTGCTCGATCGCTTTGCTTCTTTCAACAAATATTTGGCAAGATCCTCCTGTAAGCCAGACACTGTGTTAAAGTGTGGCACAGAAGTGGATGTGGTGACTTGATGCCTGGCCTCCCACAGCTCAGTGCTACAATGTAAGTTGTAGGTTACAATGCAAGGTGGGAGTGCTCCAAAGGGAACGAGGGTTGGGGCTGCAAGAGCACATGAGGGTCGGGGTGGGGGGTTATGCAGGCTCAGGGAGGCGTCAGGAAAGGGCTTCCTGGAAGAGGAATGGATAAGGAGTAGTGAAGCAAGAGAAGGAGAGGAGGTGGAAGGAGGAGTTGCAGGCAGAGTGAACAGCATGTGCAAAGGTCCTGAGGCAGGGAGCCAAAGCTACCCTGGGAAACTAAAGTGCTGTAGATGGGCACATGCTCAATAGATGGTGATGTGGTTTGGCTGTGCCCCCACCCAAATCTCATCTTGAATTGCAACTCCCACAGTTCCCATGTGTCGTGGGAGGAAACTGGTGGGAGGTCATTGAATCATGGAGGCAGGTCTTTCCCGTGTTGTTCTCATGCTAGCATCTCATGAGAGATCTCATGGGTCTCACAAGATCTGATGGTTTTATGAGGGGCAGTTTCCCTGCACAAGCTCTCTCTTTGCCTGCTGCCATTCATGTAAGATGTGACTTGCTCCTCTTTGCCTTCCGCCATGATTGTGAGGCCTCCCCAGCCACGTGGAACTGTAACTTCATTAACCCCTTTTTCCTGTATAAGTTACCCAGTCTCTGATATGTCTTTATCAGCAGCATGAAAACAGACTAATACAGATGGGTTCCCTAAGACAGGCTCAGAGGAAAGAAGGGTCCCCCATAGTCCCTGCCCTCAGCCAGCCTCCAGTCAAACAGGGGTGACAGGACCAACATATTTCAGACAGACTTAATATAAAAAAATTATAGGGTCGGGCTTGGTGGCTCATGCCTGTAATCCCAGCACTTTGGGAGGCCAAGGCGGGCAGATCATGAGGTCAGGAGATCAAGACCATCCTGGCTAACACTGTGAAACCCCATCTCTATTAAGAATACAAAAAATTAGCCGGGCGTGGTGGCGGGCACCTGTAGTCCCAGCACTTTGGGAGGTTGAGGCAGGCAGACTGCTTGAGCTCAGCAGTTCAAGAACAGCCTAGGCAACATGGTGAAACCACGTCTGCACAAAAAATACAAAAATAAAAAATAAAAAATAGCTGAGCATTGTGGCCCATGCCTGTGGTCCCAGCTACTCAAAAGGCTGAGGTGGGAGGACCGGCTGAGCCCGGGAGATCGAGGCTGCAGTGAGCCCAAATCCCGTCACTGGGCAATAGAGTGAGACCCTGTCTCAAAAAAATAAAATAAAATAAAAGGACTTGTTTGTTGATGAGCTCACTCTATTCACAACGCATGTGTCCCTGCTGAGGGCCAGGATAAAGCAGCTGAAGGGGTTAACCAGAGCAGGCCTCCCAGAGGAGGTGAGGCTGGTTCCGCTGGTAAAGAAGCCTCTTCCTCCACCCGTGAGTGGGACCACCAGGCCCTCTTTTTCCCCACCTGATTGGAAACCTTGGACAACAATGAGGCTGTATCTGCTCTGCCAGCTGCATATAAATGCAAGCACAATGCCACCTCTCTCTCACCAGACAAGGCCACACGCCAGGGGTGGCTTAGTGTGAGCGAGGCTGTCTGGCTCAGCCACATCACAAAGGTAACAAAAGCACCTGAATGCCCGTCTTCCTCCCAGCCCCCAGCCCGCCCCTGGAGGATGCAGGTGCGAGTGTCTGGGGCGCAGTTAGGCCTCTGGGAGGAGATAAATCCCCAGCACGGGCTCCAGGAAGGCAGGAGGGAACTTGCAGCGGCTCCCTGCTCCCCTCCTCTGCTGGGATAAGCATTGCCATGCTCCCTCTCTCACCGGCAGGGGTCTGCCCTGAGGGGTTTTAACTGAGTGAAACACCATCTGCTCCGGGGTCCCCACCCAGCAGACCCTGCAGACAGATGCTGTCCAGCTCCCGCCCCTGCTTCCTCCCACTCTGGAAGCATCTCCACCCTGGGGCCGCAGGGAGCTGAGGCTGCTCTCCACATTCCATGAAAGCTGAGGCCTGGCAGGACCCCAGCAGGGGCAGAGCCACAAAGATGACGCAGCTCCAGAAGCCAAAGCCCCGGCAAGCCGAGGCGGGATCAGGGCAACCCCACCTGCCTTTGCATCCTCCAGGTTCCCCAGGACTGGGTGCTGGCTCTGGTCAGACCCTCTGCCACGGGCTGGCTGTGTGACTTTGGGCAACTTCTGCAACCTCACTGAGTTTCCCCACTTGTAAAATGTGAGTTGTTGAGGTTTAAATGAGAAAATGTTTCTTCTGCCTAAAGTGTTCAACCACTATTTCTATTAACATCATTCCAGGTTTCCTCTTGGACACTGTCAAGTGACCGCCCTTTAGCCATTTATAACCTGACTGTGATAAGCACTTTAAAAACGAACTTTTTTTTTCTTTTTTTTGAGATGGTGTTTCACTCTTGCTGCACAGGCTGGAGTGCAATGGTGCAATCTTGGCTCACTGCAACCTCTGGCTCACTGCAACCTCCGCCTTCCAGGTTCAAGTGATTCTCCTGCCTCAGCCTCCCAAATAGCTTGGATTACAGGCATGTGCCACCACACCTGGTTAATTTTGTATTTTTAGGGGAGATGGGGTTTCACCATGTTGGTCAGGCCGGTCTTGAACGCCTGACCTCAAGTGATCCACCAACCTCATCCTCCCAAAATGCTAGGATTACAGGCATGAGCCACTGTGCCCGGCCTAAAAACAAACTTTTTGAATTGATGTATACTGTTTACACAGAAAAGTGCACATGGCTGGGCACAGCGGCTCACACCTGTAATCCCAGGGCTTTGAGAGGCCGAGGTGGGAGGATCGCTTGAGCCCAGAAGTTCAAGCCGGGGCAACATAGAGAAACACTGTCTCTAGAAAGAAAAAATATAAAAAATTAGTGGGGCATGGTGGTACATGCCTGTAGACTCAGCTACTGGGGTGAGAGGGCGGGTGCCAGGGTGGGAGAATCACCCTGAGCCCGGGAGATGGAGATCATGCCACCGCACTCCAGCCTGGGCGACAGAGTGAGACCTGCCTCAAAGGAAAAAAAGAAAGAGAAGTGCACATAAGTGTGCAGCTCAAGGAATGTCCACAGAACTAGCTCTCAGATCACGAAATAGAGCATTATCAGTATTCTAGAGGCCCTTTCTCAGGCCCCCTGCCAAGGCTAACTGCTATCCCAGCTTCTATTACCATAGATTACTTCGCCTGTTTTTGAACTTTATATAAATAAAATCACACAGTACGTACTGAAAACACCTTCAGACTTAAGAAGCCCTTTCACAGGTGGTATCTTATTTGCTCTTCCCCAACCCTGTGAGATTAGGTTTTTCATTGTCCCCATTTTATTGCTGAGCAAACAGAGGCTTCAGATACATGAACAAACTTGTCCAACGCCGCACAGTGAGTAGAGAGAGGGACTCTAACTCCAGCTGTCCAAGCCCTCCCGTCACCCCCCACCACACCAGGCTACTTCCCACACGTCAAACCAGCCTCTCCCTGTGCCCCAGTTAAGGCCGCTCCTCCCCAGAGCCCTACTTCCTCCAGGAAGCTTCCTTGGATTGCTCAGAGGAGAACCATCAGCTTGTCCCACTCTGCCCCCATCCCCAGCCTAGACACGGGGACGTAGCACGCGGCTAACCTTGGTGTGGGTCTGATGAGTGTGTGTTGACTGCCTGCTATGGTTTCTGTAACACCCCTGCTGGTCTCTTCTCCATGTGCCTCTCAGAGTCACAACACCCAGAGGACAGGGCTGCTTCTACAGCTCTTTCCACGCCCTGCCCAGTATGAATGGGGCTGGCTGGCAGCTGGGGTTGGAATGGGCACTGCATTAGGTCAGGTGGGGAGCAGGGCACATGCTCCCCTGGTTTGATGGGAGGCTCCTGGTGAGTCCGTCTAATGAAAGGTATGATACCAAAGGCACTAGCGGCCAGGGGACCCCATTTCAAACCTCGATTCTGCAAGTCACATGATCTCAGGCAAGTTCCTTCCCTCTCTGAACCTCAATGCCCTCACTTGTGAAATGAGACGGCTAGACTCAATCTGACTTGACAAAGCCATGGTACCCTGTGGCCATGTCAGATATCACCCCTTCCCAGGGCCCCTTCCCAGCGCCCCTTCCCAGGGAGTCCAGTGCCCCTTCCCAGGGAGCCCACAGTTGGCCTCAGACTTCTTTGGACCCAGCACTGCAGGCATCATGGATCCACTGAGAAGGGTAAGAAGGGGAAGCCTGTCCAGCAGCCTTGACCAGGGAGGTCCAGAGTCACTGGGCATTCATGGTGCAGCCCCTGATGGGCTCCAGAAGCCAAGAAGACGGAAGGTGGACTAGGACCTCAGCTCACCCTGCAGACCGCAGGGACCTCTGTCATCCCCACACAAAGGCGACCTCTTCCTGGGGCTCTCTGCCACCACAGTACCCAATCCTGACCTGCCCAGTGCCCTGCCACGTAACTAGCTCCGCGTGATGATAAATGCCCCCAGGATGCAGGCAGCCCCTAGCTCACACTGGGTATGTCTGAAGGAGCACCCCAGGTCCAATCCATGTTCCCAGAGCCTCCTCCTGACTCATGGCAGCTGCAGTGCCCACAGCCTGATCCAGAAGTTAGCGCTGTCAGCCCAAACGCCACCTTTGCTCTTACCAGTCACCCCAGTACAGTCCCCCTTGACCCATTGATGCCAGGCTCATCTGGGTTCGAGGAGGGGGTAAAGTGCCTGGAGCCAAGGTCCAGGTAGGCCTGGTGTTACTCTTTGTACTGGTTCAGCTCCATCGCCGGCTACACTAACCTGAGAAACCAGTCCTGTCATCCACCAGGGGAAATGTGTTTTAAGATCACACAATTGACTTTTCAATCCCATACATCTGCGAGTCGAAGGCGGCCCATCCAAGCTTTCCAGAGTCAAGGCTCATTGCTAGTCTAGGGCTCCAGAGTCCAGGGCCTCTGCAGACAAGCGGCTCACCAAAGCAGCCGTTCACCCACTAAACGCATACTGAGCACCCAGTGCTGTTCTGGTTGTTGGGGAAAGAATGCAGAAACGGCCAGACGCGGTGGCTCACGCCGCTAATCCCAGCACTTTGGGAGGTCAAGGCTGGTGGATCATGAGGTCAGGAGATCGAGACCATCCTGGCTAACATGATGAAACCCTGTCTCTATTAAAATACAAAAAATTAGCCAGGCATGGTGGTGTGCGCCTGTAGTCCCAGCTACTCGGGAGGCTGAGGCAGGGGAATCACTTGAACCTGGGAGGCGGAGGTTGCAGTGAGCCGAGATCGTGCCACTGCACTCCAGCCTGGTGACAGAGCAAGGCTCCGTCTCAGGAAAAAAAAAAAAAAAAGAATGCAGAAGCAAACAGTCCCTGTGCAATGGAACCCGTGCCTTGTGGGGAGACAGATGATGATCTCTGATGACCTCCCCAAAGCATCCAAGGGTGGCCTGACCTTGCTCTACCAGCCCCACCCTGATCATCTCCCAGCTGGGCTGCTCAGGTTCTTCCCCTGCTGGGAGCTGGAAGTTCCTTAGAAAGGCACTGGCCACACGGAGAAGCAGTGGCTAAAGAGACGAAGGCAGACCCGGGCAACACCGAACCACAAAGCCCAGGTTCAGCTGTGTGACCCTGTGTCGGTGTCTCAGGTTCTCTGGACATCTGTGTTTTCCCTTGTCCAATGGGACTAATAAGACCTGCCGTGGAGGGCTGGTGTGAGGACCTGCAGTAACGCAGGATGGCAACTGGAGAAGCAGCGAGAGAAGTAGCAGCATTATTGGCCCAGGAATACAGGACAAAAGTCGGCTCCTCCTCCACCCCTAAAGCCCAGGGTCAAGCTCTTGACATACCCCCTCCCACTTCCCTCCCCAAAGGAGCTGAGGGCAAGAGAGAGCCCAGCAGCCGCCACCCCACAGCTCCGTGCAGGAGAAATGCACTTTCTCAGCTGACTTCCGCTACTCAGACAGCCCGATTGCTTTGTTTACTGCCAATTTGCACCCCACCTGGCAGATCTCATGTTCCGGCCTATTTACTCTGGACTCTGGCAGGACCGTTACGTTTCAAAGGAGAGTCGGCTGATGCTATTTTAGCACAAATAAACTGGTGAGCTTCCTCCATCTAGTTGCCTACTCTGTGCTCTTAGATTTGGGTCAGCTGAAATTTTGGCCCCCTGATGGGGTGTCTGCATCCCCACCCAGCCTCCTAGGAGCAGTGGAGAAGCAACAGTTCTCCTAGTCCTCAGGCTCCTGTCCCCAGGACCCCACCACCAATCTGGCATCTGACAGATTCAGCAGGTGTCTGTGCACACATTTTGTAAGGGCCCAGCCTTGAGATGGGGCCAGCTGTGCTGCTCCGTGGCTGTGCCTGGCACATAGGAGGCACTCTGGAAACATGCTAAAGAACGGATGTGTGACAACCCTCAGCGCAGCCCTGTGGCCAAGGATCTATCTCCCTCATAAGGCAGGTCCCAGCCTTGGACATTTCTCTAGGCCCACAGGCTGTTGTCTTCCTGGCCAGGGGATTTCAGTTTGGGGAAGGGTCTTGGAAACTGAGGTAGAAGGAGACTGAAAGTTGGCTTTGCTTCTTGTTCATTAGGTAGCTTCACATTCAGAAGGCTGGAATGGGGTTCCAAGGAGGGTGCAGAACAAAGACCCATGGGAGCCAGGTGCAGTGGCTCACACCTGTAATCCCAGCACTTTGGGAGGCCAAGGCGGGCGGATCACCTGAGGTCAGGGGTTCGAGACCAGCCTGGCCAACATGGTGAAACCCTGTCTCTATAAAAATACAAAAATTAGCCGGGTGTGGTGGTACACACCTGTAGACCCAGCTACTCAGGAGGCTGAGGCAGGAGAATCGCTCGAACCCGGAAGGTGGAGGTTGCAGTGAGCTGAGGTCGCGCCACGGCACTCCAGCCTGGGCAACCGAGCGAGACTCCATCTCAAAAAAGAAAGAAAGAAAAAAAAGACCCATGGGAAATCAATTTGGCTCAGTCTAAGGTAAAACCTCCTGGTATGTTTAGAAGTCACTTGCATTGACTGAGCACATTCCCTACGCCGGGCAAGGCACTGGGTGCTTTCATGTGCTCCCTCGTTTCACAGCTGCCCAACTCAGCGATGGCCTGCCTTAGGATCACTCCAGAGCATGGCCCAGGCTGCCTAGTTCATATCCCGGCTCTATCACTTGGCTCATGTGTCATCTTGGGCAAGCTACATAACCTCTGTGGTTATGTATTTCCTCATGTGTAAAGTGGGACAACAGTACCTACTTCATAGGGTTGGCTGGAGAATCAACTTAATACATACAAAGCATCTAGAACAGTGCCTGGAAGGTGGTAAGTGCTCAATGATGTCAGCTTTCAGAAGAAGGGGAAAATGGAGAAAGAGGAAGAAGAGCAGAAGGCGGCAGCAGCCGAGGCAGGATAACCACCCGCGGGAGATAATAGAAGCTCAGGTAGGACGTCAAATGCAATGATCTCGAGTTACTTCAAGAATAAGATTCTAGGATTCATTTAACCTCCCTGGACTTCATTCAGTTTTCCCAGCAATACAACAGGCGTTCTCATTACCTGACAAGTGCTGCTTTCTTCCGTGTGATATTCTCTACCTTGGGAATAGCAGGTGTTCCCAGGGACCACTGCCTCTACCACCGCACAAACTGGAAGGCACAGGGTGGCAGATGCAGCCCTGGGCAAGGGGCAGGAGTCCTGGGAACTGATCCAACTTTCCAATCAAATAACTATGTGGCTTTCGGCTAGTTACTGAAATTCTGAGAGTCTGGGACAATAATTTTAACTGCCCTCCTGTCTCTCAGGTTTGTGGCCCTGTGAGCTCTTTGGGGGAGAGGACACAAATCACCAAGAACATAATAAGCCGTTGGGCATGTGACTACCATCAGAAAGTGGCATTGTGGGCCGGGCGTGGTGGCGCACACCTGTAATCCCAGCACTTTTGGAGGCCAAGATGAGGGATCACTTGAGCTCAGGAGTTTGAGTCCAGTCTGGATAACACAGTGAGACTCCATCTCCACAAAAAATCAAAATATTCGCCAGGCATGGTGGTGCACGCTTGTAGTCCCAAGCTATTGGGAGGATCAGTTGAACCCAGGAGGTTCAAGCTACAGTGAGCTGTAATCATGCCACTGCACTCTCGCCTGGGTGAGAGTGAAACTCTGTCTCAAAAAAACGAAAAACAAAACAAAACAAAACAAAAAAAGAAAATGGCATTGCAACTTCAGCATAAGGGCAGAGTTGTGCTGACCTCCCACCTGGAAATAACTCTACAGGGTCTTCTGCATATCCCGTGCCCCGCCCAAACCCACTTTTGTCTTCTTTAATTCTGAAGATGCCTCTGCTGCCTCCAAAAAGAGAGATGTTCCAGTTTCCATCCCATCATCAGCCATGCTAGGGACCTTGTTCTGTTGTCATCTTAGGAACTGAACTAGGCTAGGGGAGATGCTGTCAGGAGCAATAACGACCATGAGTCTAACAATGCTACCATCAGATTTCTTCCAAAGAGACTCCCTATTCTGCTGCTGTTGCTGAGAGTCCAAGACCCCAGTCAGATTCCACTCCTTCTAATCCTCGGCTATTAACCTGGGGCAGCCAGGCCAGCCAGCCAGCCAGGCCCTTGGAGGAGGTGGTGAGTGGACACAACCCTGGTTGGTCCAGTGGGGGCAGGACTGCTTTTAACCTCCTAAAGTCCTGTCTCACCTGAGCACTAATCAGTGCTCAGACTCGGCAGCTCAGGAGAGGGTCTCCTCAATGCTTTATGTCGCTGCCTTCTTCCTGCCTCCACACCGGGCCCTTCCCTGGATGGCCTCCATGGTGGAAAAGAATGGCACGTGATTCAGGAGGTGGCTCTCTAATCACTTCCCCAATACTGCCAGTGACCCTCTCACTCAGGGATCGAAGAAATCAGGCCAAGGGAAGGAGAGTTCCAAAACGCATAGAGGCGCCACCACTCATTCTCCGCGCCTGCTGATGGCTGGACGGGCTGGGACTGGGGCTTGAGGGTGCCGGTTCTGGAAATGAGCATTGGCCTCCTTGCCTAAGAGATGAGGAACAGAAATATAGAAGCAGTAGTGAGGTAGGCTGGGCGCAGTGGCTCATGCCTGTAATCCCAGCACTTTGGGGGGCTGAGGCGGGTGGATCACCTGAGGCCGGGAGTTTGAGACCAGCCTGGCCAACATGGTGAAACCCTGTCTCTACTGAAAACACAAAAATTAGCCAGGTGTGGTGGTGGGCACCTAGAATCCCAGCTACTCAGGAGGCTGAGGCAGTAGAATCGCTTGAACCCAGGAGGCGGAGGTTGCAATGAGCCAAGATCGCGCCTCTGCACTCCAGCCTGGGCAACAGAGTAAGACCCCGTCTCAAAAAAAAACAACAACAACAAAAAAAAAAACAAAAAAAAAAAAAACCAGTAGTGAGGTAGCCAGAGGTAGAATCTAGGAATTAGGGAGGGATTAGTGCATATTTCACATACACTTGTGCACCCACAAGCATGCATGCATGCACACAAAGGATTTCCCACTAGAGCTTGAAATCACACTGCCTGGGTACATATTTCAACTCTGCTTCTTACCAGCTATGGGACTTTGGGCTAATGAATCATCTACTCTGAATCTCAGCTTCCTCATCTGTAAAATGGGTATAATAAACTTAAGGTTATTATCATAGTGCATTTGGGCTGCTGTAACAAAATACCATAAACTGGGTAGCTGGTAAACAATAGAAGTTTGTTTCTCACAGTTCTGGAGGCGGGGAAGCCCGAGATCAAGGTGCTGGCAGATTCAGTGTCGGGTGAGGGCTTTTGGGTTCATAGATGGGCCTCCTCACTGTGTGCTCACACGGTGGGAGCGGTGAGGGGGCTTTGCGGGTTCTCTTTTTAAGGGCATAATCCCATTCGTGAGGGCTCTGCTCCATGACTTAATCACCTCCCAAATGCCCCACCTCCTAATACTATCACTTGGAGGTTAAGATTTCAACATGAATTCTGGGGGAACACCAACATTCAGTTCATAGCAGTTATTAGGAAGATTAAGATAATATATGGAAAGTACTTTGCATTGTACTTGGCACATAATAAGCATTGAATACTTATTAGCTATTATTATTGTCATCATCATTGTTGAATTCACAGCTATGTGTCAGCCTAGTGTTAGAGACAAAAGCACAAGGCCCTATCCGTGCCCCCACAGAGCCCATGCTCTAGTGCCTTAAAGAATCAAAATCATCCGCCTGCTTAGTTCTAGACCGATTTTGTTTGGATGTTGCAACTGGACCAAACAATTTGTTGAAGCATCTCTTTTCCAGCACTTTCGCTCCTGCAGGCAGGGCCACAAGACCCAGCAAAAGACACAGGCTAAGCCAGGCACAGTGGCTCATGCCTATAATGTCAGCACTTTGGAGGCTGAGGCCGGCGGATCACCTGAGGTCACGAGTTTGAGACCAGCCTGGTCCATGGTGAAACCTGGTATCTACTAAAAATACAAAAAAATTAGCCGGGGGTGGTATTGGGCACCTGTAATTCCAGCTACTCAGGAGGCTGAGGCAGGAGAATCACTTGAACCTGGGAGGCGGAGGTTGCAGTAAGCCAAGGTCGCGCACATTGCACTCTGCCAACAGAGCCAGACTCCATCTCAAAATATTTAAAAAATTTTAAAAAGACACAGGCTGGGAAGCCTGGAGCCCTGGGCTTATGCTGGATCCAGCTCTGCCACTCCCGTTACACTGCTTGGACAAGTGACTTAAACACCCTGGGCTTTGGGCCCCTCGTCTCTCTGGGGCTTGGACTAAACCCACTATAGACTTTTCTGATTAAAAAAAATATATATAGCTTTGCTGCCTCCCAAATCCCCATCCTTTCACCAGCCTTGCTAGAGACACTATTCCGTAGAGTCTTAGGAACCGGACTGGGCTAGGAGAGACACTATGAGGATGCAACACAATAATAACTACTAATAACCACTGCTGCCACGGACTCGTGCTCAGCACAGCTGCCGAGAGTCATGGAGGCCAGGGTGGGCTTGCATAGCTTTGTGCCCAAAGTTGCACTGCTGGAACTGGAAAAGCTGGGATTTGTCCTATGTACCTGATCTGGAAGTGGCCAGGCCAACCATTGCACCACACAGCCTCAGGGGGAGCAATGGAGGTTGGGAGGGAGACACAGGAAATGCCCTTCACTCACTCCCAGAACACAACCTCCCTTCTCAGCAGCCTCCCCAGGCTGGAGAACAGGGAGAGCAGAAACCGGCCAATACCGGCTTCCCCTGCCTCCAGATGTGCCCTATCTTCCACGCCTTCTTAAACTTTTCTTTTTCATTAAGCGTGCCTTGCAGTCAGCCTCTCACTTACACAACTTAACCTCCTCTGGGCTATTGATTTCTCATTCTATTAAATCCTCCTCTTTAACTCTGGCCCTTAAACTCCAATTCTAAACCTGTGTCTACTCCCTAGTCACGCTCCCAGGCCACCACTACGACTCCTCTGTGCTAGGGGCCGGCCCCTTCCCACTCCCTCCTGGGGGCCTTCACAGGACTATCACACTCAACTGGGAGCTCCGTGAAGTAGAGTTTACTCTATGCCTTTGTTTATAGGGCGGAAATCGAGGCAGCAATCCTAGCCCGGCCTTCTATTTCCCAGCTGTCCCCTTCCCGAGATGCCCACTGTGACTCAGCACTCAGGCATCTGCGTCCTCTCTCCCAACACCCCGCAGCGTAGCACAGCTATCACCCTCACCACTTGGGTCTCCCTGCTCTCCAACTTTAGGCGGAAGTCAGGGGTGCACAGGCGGGGGCACCGTTTGCCTCAGGGGGCCTGCCCATGGCCTCCCTGGGGCAAACGATGCCAGCCTCACTTTGACAACACAAGCGGGCACCAAGAGGCTGGACACTGAGGACAGGAGAGGATCGCACCAAGGAGCCTGGGACACCCCATTCCCGGAAGCCTAAGGCCACACAGCCCCTCTGGCTGCTCTTCACCCTCCACAGCCTCTGAATTTATCTCTGTAACAAGTGTCTGTTAAACATGAGTTGAGGTCCCTTAAATGGGACAAATATTGACTTAACACCTGTTCTATGCAAGCACTAGGGATAGCTCAGTGAACAAAGCGGACAAGGCCCTGCCCATTTGGATGGCAGCTCCACGCTCGGTCCCCGGCGGTGACAGGCACAGACGGAGGAACTTCCAGGGCAGTGAATATCAGACACGAGGGTACCGTGGAGGGAGGGCGGCGAGGGCTGGCAGGAGGCTGGGGAGGTGAGACTGAGGCACGCGAGATGCCTTAAGCTGGCCCCCGGCAGCACGCGCCCCAGGCCTGTTCCTGCACAAGACTAGACAGTGGCTGCTGCCCAGGAACGCAGCAGCCGCCGCCCAGGGTGAGCCCCGATGGCTCCAGGCTCCTCCTCAGGCACAGCGCATCCAGGCACGCACTGTCAGCTTTCCCTCAGACCTGCTTCCCCCTCCGGCTTCCCTACTCCCCTCGCATCGCCCATCCCCCTGGTCTCCAGCACTGGAAATCTCAAAGTTATCTCTGACACTTCCGGCTCCTTCATCTGCTGCATCCAATCTGTCAGCGCGCTCTGCTGTTCTTGAAAATGTCATTCAAGCTTACCCCCCTTTCGCCTCACTGTCACCAGCGCCCAGGCCCAGCCCTCAACCCGCGCTTCTGCACAGCACTCCTCTGCCCACGAATCTTCACCGGCTCCCCCGAGCCTGCTGCACTGACCTGAGCCTTCTCTGTTTGGTGGCCAGGGCCCTCTTGGATTCCAGCAGTTCTACCCACCCCGTCTACCGTGACAATCCGCTGCTCCCTGACTCCAGCCTTCTGCTGCACACGGGACTCTTCTCCCACTTGCCTCGTCCTGTGCCCGAGCGCCCAGTCCTCAGATCATCCTCTCTCCCCTCATCCTGCCTGCACAGCCCCTTCTCAGCCTCCTCACTGTGAGTCTTCCTTCCCCCATTCCTGAGCACCCCTGCCAGCTCCTGCCAGGTCTGAATGCTGGTGGCAGGTGCAATCAACACACACGCCATGTTCCCAGAGACCGGGTGTCTTGGTGTGCTATCCACCCAAACTATCACCCTGTGGGAGAGAAGGGTCCTGCCCACCCCCCAAACAGGGGACTCCACAACCGCCCCATCCCTGCTGGGCTCTGTGTAAATGACTTGAGTGCTCAGTTGTTTAAAGAAAACCTGTGATGAATCAAAAAGTGTCTCCCTCTTGGTTTTTAAGGCAGAGGATGCCCAAGTGTAGGGGAAGAAGCTGGGGTCCTACCGCACTCACCAGTCTGGGATGTGGGACAGAGTGTGTGACCTCCTGGGACTCCCTTCCTCATCTGTGGAAAAGGAGATGCCCACAGCTAACTCGCCGGGTAGCTGGACTGACTGAGCGAAACAAACGGAGTACGCAGTCAATACAATGTTACATTGATTCCTTCCTTCCTTCCCATAATTTACCCAGCCTGCAACTGTGGCATAAGTTTTTTGTTCATACTGGATTTACTAAATGTAAGGCATACCCTATTTTATGTAACAGAACGTTATAATCAAGCAACAACTATATCTTATGTCCTTACTATGAAGAGGGCCGATTTACAGGATGTTGAAGAACAGCCTCGCTCTGCTGGGAGTCAGAGAATGTGAAAAGGTGTCAGGCAAAGGCCTTGCTCCTCCAGGAATCTGCCCTCTGGGTGGGGAGACAAACGGACAGACGATTACCAATACCAGGTAGGAGCAGGGGGCTCAGCCAGCCCATACAGAGGGAGAGCAGAAGGCGGCCACTCAGAGAATGTGCCCTCCATACCCATGCAGGTGCCCTTCACACTGGACGAGTCACACTCCCACTCACATTCCATGCTGCTAACCCTCTGAAGCAGGTGAGATTTATCCCCATTTTACAGGTGAGGCCAGTGAGGCTCAGAGTCCCCATTTTACAGGTGAGGGCAGTGAGGCTCAGAGAGGTGAGGCAACTTGTCCGAGGTCATGCAGGGAGTGATGTGAGGACAGGAACCCAGGTCTGCCTGATACTTGGTAGCTGGAACTGGTTCCTCTTCCAGCAGCACCTTGAAGGCTGGGCAATATATGGATGGGAGGAAAAGAGGAGGAAATGCAAAGGGCCAGGGTGAGGACACACAGTGCCAGGGCTGGGTGGCCAGGGGAGGGGGGACAAGATCATGCCAGACACCACGTTGTGACATAAAGTTGGGGTCAGCGTGCAGAGGGCCTTCACCTGCAAGGCATCTTGGAAGGCACTGCCACTGACGGCTGCTGAGACAGGGTCCCCTGTGAGAAGCGTTACCCTCTGTAAGAAGACAGGCACAGCGGCAGGATGGCTGGAAACTGAGGCTGGAGGCCCAACAAGGAAGCTTTCAGGACCGTAACTCAGGGTGAACAGCCAAAGGCCCAAGTAGGGACCACGGCAGTGGGAGAGCAAAGGTCGGAGTGGACACTCGAAGTGCCCAGAAGAACTGAGTGGGCTGAGGCCTAAGGCACCAGAGAGAGGGAAGGAGGGTGCCCCAGGCACCCCGGCTGCATGCCTGGGGGAACCCAGCCGTTCTTTCCACAAGGAGGAGGCAAGAGGCAGTGCCCACTTGGGGTAGGGGGTGGTTGGTTGGGTCTAGGGAGTGGCGGGACACCCAGGCAGCCAGTCTAAGGCTGAGGAGACTACAGAGCAAAGACTCCACCAGGCCTGGGGTGGGGGTGAAAACGGTGAGCCATCACTGGAGAGGGCGAAGGGGATGAACTGAGGAACAGGCAGGACCAAGGGTGGGCTTTCTGAGAACCAAACAGCTGAGACCTTAAAAAGCAACAGCAACGAGCCCAACAGCACTGGACTGAGCGTCCAGGGGCCTGGGACCCAGCTGTGGAGCCTTGGATGAGGCATCCAGCCTCTCTGAGCCTCAGTTTCTGTTGGGTCATGAATGCCTCCTTATAAGGCTGTCTGTAAGGAGCGATCAGATGCTTGCAGGGCTGTAGTAGAGATCAAATGAAGTAATTGTTCTGAGAGGCATCTGGAATGCTGCAGAACCCCATACACACATAAGGGATTAGTACTATGCAGAAGCACCAAGAGATGCATCCTTCCCACACACGCTTGGCGCTGCCCACCCTCGCCAGCCACACAAAGGCCAGCTTCCGCCTCGCTGCTTCTCTTGCCTTCTGAGCAGTCTCTCCCCCAACCCAGGGCCGGTCCCCCTGTCCTCCCTTCCATCTCTGGATGGCTGAGAACCACCTCAGAAGCAGCTGAGCTCCTCTCTCCTGGATGCCCTGACTCCCTGCAGCTGGGACTTTCTCCTAGAGTCTCTGCCTCTCTCCCGGTACTAAAGTTCCCTCTCCATCCTAAGGGAAAACCAAAGTGGAAATCAGACCACGAAGCCGACCCAGGCTCTCGGAAGAATTTTCATTGCTGGGGAAGACAGCAGCCACCGATCAAGATGCCCAGGTAGGGGGATGGGAAAAACACAGAAAACCAAGATCCCCTCTCAACCTCCCCTCCCGAGCATCCACCTCTTCCCCACCCGGAGGGACCAGTGCTGCCTCTGGGTTTCAGGTGGCAGGTCCAGAGGAGGACAGAGGGGTGGAGCTGGTGAGGCAGGCGGGAGGCTGGTGGGCAAGCCCGGGCCACAAGGAATGAACAAAATATGGAAAATTAAACAAACCCAGACACTGTAATGTGTGCATATTAGATTAACTCTCCGAAGGGTCGTGACCTTGAGGAACACATCTGGCCAGTGAGAAAAATAATAAACCTGATTAATGATGAAGCCTGAGCTGCAGCTTCAGCAAATAAAGCCAGCATGATGACGCCCAGTGGAATTCCAGGGGCTGCCATCCCTGGTGGGACCGGAACACAGTGGACCTCGACAAGCCCCTCGCCCCTGACCACGCGAGCACAGACAGTCAGGGAGTCAGGCAGGACCGGATTTGTCTCTCAGATGCCCACTACCAACCCAGGCGGCCTCTCTCCCCGGAGATACCACGCCCGCAGTTTCCCGGTGCTCCTAGAAGTGTCACTACCAACCAGGTGACCCATAGGGAGTGAAAGTGAAGGTAGTTCTTTGTTCCTGGCAGGGCTCAGTCCTCCTGACCAGCCCTCAGACCTCTTGGCCTGGTCTTGACAGCTGCCCACTGCCTGGCAAAAGGGCCCAGCTGTGCTCAGAGCTCCCCTCCTCTTCCCAGACAACCCAGACCCTTGGGAGACATGCCCAGGAGAGCCACTGGAGGGAGGCAGGGAGGTGGCACCGCGTGGCATCACCAGACAACAGCACCAAGAGGAAGATGGCAGCATCAAGTACAGATGCCAAGAGCCACGCAGCCCAAGGTCCAGCCCGGGAGTGGCTCGGCCCGCATTGCCCCACCACTGCCAGGCAGACGGGCCAGAGGCGCCCGGGGCCCAGCCCCCTCGGCCGCCTCCTCCACCACCCCAAGGCCCTCAGCCAACTCTCCCCAGGCTCCAACTCCTCCCCTCACTTTGCTCAGCTCAAGGGAGCCAGGGAAAGAGACACAGGTGCTCTCAGTGCCTTGAACCCCCTGTCCCAGCTGTCGCCTGCACGCCCTCCACCCCAGCCAGGTCGGAGCGCACAGCTCTGCCAGTCCTCACTGAAGAGAATCTAAATCAGCTCCCCTCCCCCTCCGCCCCAGCCCCCTCCCCCATCACGCGCCCATTGCAGGTCTCTAGAGTTTCTCCCTCACTTCCCACTCGGATGAACTAGGGTGGGATGGGTGGGAGCCCCATTCTCCCCGGGAAAGAGGATCATTTCTGATAGGACGCTGGTTCCCCCAAGCAAGGCGGTGTGCAGGGTGGGGGGGTGTGGTGGTGGCCCGAGTCCAGTGCAGGGGCAGGGGGCAGTCGAGGCAGATGGCAGTGAGGAAAGGGGGAGGGGGCTTGGTGGGATGCCAGGCTGAGCCGGGATGGGGGGCTGCAGCCGGGGAACAGAGGCGCTGGGAGAAGCGGAGGGTGACGAGGTGTAGGGGAGACGCGCCAGGCTGGGAAGGGGCTGTCATCCCTGCAGGGGACAGAGGCAGGGCTGGGAGTTGCACGGGGAGGGGGAGGACCAGAGCGGGAGGACCGCGAGCCCGGGGAAGGGATGCGGAGGGAGGGAGACGGACCGGGGTGAAGACTGGAGGAACTACGGGAGCAGAGCGGTGGGGGGTTCGGCGGCGAATCTGGAGACGCAGGGACCGAAGTGCCAGGGACCGGGCTGGCGGGAGGCGGGAGCGGGGAGGAGGGCGCGGGGGCGGGGGCCGGGGCAGGGGTGCGGGGCCGCGGCCCCCGAGGGCAGGAGCGGCGGAGACGTCAGAAGTCGGGGTGCGGGAAGGGCCAGCGCGGAGGGGACTCGGGGGCGCGGGGGCAGCGCAGGGAGCGGGCCGGGGGCGCCGCGGGGGGCCGCTGCCCTTACCTGGTCGGCTCCGCACTCCGGGGGCTGAGCCGGGGGCCGGGCGCTGCCGGGCCGGCCGCGGGGCTGCTGTTGGCCGTTTTTCCTCTTCCGCAGCAGCCGTGGCGGCTCCAGCCCGATCCGCCCGCAGCTGAAGGCAGTCTGTGTCCGGCTGCGAGCGAGCCCGGCGCGGGGAGCGCGGGAGGAGCGCAGCGAGGCGCGGGGCGCCGCCCGGCGGGCAGCTGGGGAACTGCTGCGGCCCCGCGCACGGCCGGCCGGGGGGGCGCCCCTTCGGGGCCGGGCCGGAGCCCCGCGGGCAGCTGCACGCGCCCCCCAGCGCCCCTCGGAGCGTCGCCCGGGAGCCCAGGCGCGGGGGCGGCGGGGGCGGCGGGAACGGCGGGGGCTGCTGCGGGCAGGGCGGGCGCGGGTCCGCGCGGCCGGGGGCAAACTTGCGGCTGCCCGGGGGCCCGGGGCCGAGCGAGAGGCGCCCGGCTGGGGAGCGGCGCCCGGCAGAGGCTAGGGGCGCGCGGCCAAGCGGGCTCTGCGAGGTACGGACCTCAGGTGGGGAACCCGGCGCAGCCCGCACACTCCACCGCCCTGCGCAAAGGGGCAGCCCGCCCCGGCCCCGAGGAGTTATTAGCCCGGCGGCTTCAGCGAGCAAGGGGCGCCCCCTGGTGGCATTCGGGAAACAGCGCGGGGGACGAGCGTGCCCCGTTAGAAGAGACTGCGGCCTCAGTGGTGCGGAAGATGGAGAGGTGGAGGTTTCATGGGACGAGACAAGAGCACCTTGTTCAGGAGACTGAAGAGCAACAGCTTGCATGGAGTCATTCCAGAGCACTGTTGTATACATACCAACATCTTGGGAGGATCTCATGTTACGCATGAAGATCCTGAGGCTAGGAGAGGTGAAGGGACCAGGCCAAGAACACACGGGGAGCAAGTGGCAGGACCCAGGAGGCAACCCCGCTTTCTGACGCGCGGTTCATTTCAGTACACCGTGTGGTTCATCCTAATACAACAGAGTTGCCCTTAGGAGGAGGCTGGGTGAAGAGGGAGTCCTGGGGGAATAGGAGGGAGGGCAAGGGACACGTGACCCCCTCAAACCTATTAGCTCCCTCTTATCCAACCCGCAGAGTCTCTGTCTTGGGCAGACCACCAAACTGATCACACCGGCCCTCTCACCTTCAATGGCCTGTATCCCCACACCCAACCACCAGCACTCCCACAATCTCATTAAGCTCTCTGTGAAGGGTTTGTTCACAGACGTCCTTGGTCAGGTCTCACGCATGAGGCATACTATCGGGACTATAGACTGTTCTGGACGTTGCATTCCCCGGGGAGGGCTGGCTGGCTAGCCTGGGCGCGTACTGGGCCTCCTGCTTCAGGAGTCGTGCCTATCCCTCCCCCAGCTCCACACACTGGCTGGATGAATGCCATATGCGAACAGGGCTCCATTCCTCCAGCCAGACATTATTTAGCACCTACTGTTTGCCAAGACTATACCGCTTACACAAGTGTGATTCCCAATAATCAACTTTGCAAGGTAGGTGTTGAGGTGACACTAGTCCCATTTTACAGAGGATGTTAAACCTGTTAAGGTTTAAGAGCACCTGTAAGCCAGTGACACAAAACTAATTTCTAATTCCAACTCTATTCCCCCACTCTGGAACCCCCTCTCTTGTGCAAAATGGACGGAACAGCAGCATAAGCCTAGCAGAAAGTGTACGGGGCTGGGAGGAGGGAGAGGCATCCCTGTGATCCCAGCAAGCGATTTCACTTCCCTGGACTTCAGTTCCCATAACTCTAAAAGTGAGGGAAGCAGACTAGATGATCTCTCAAGCCGCGCAAACTCTGAAATGCCAAGCATGGATCCCTGGCCCCTTTCACGGGAAGAATGCAAGATCAGCGAGACCAGAGAGGCTTATTAAGTGTTTGGAAAGAAAAATACTATATAAGTGAAATGCTTCATCATATTCTTTTGCCTGGTGATCTCATCCTATTAACCAGGGAAGCGGGGAGGAGCTTTTGGCAGGTCAGAGAGATTGCTGATGGCTCTGGAGATAGTCTTGGCTGTGGCCTCCTGAGGGCCCTGGTTTCTCCCCTTCTTGCAAGAATGGTTCTGACTTTCTTTTCCTTTCTTAAGGCCTCTGCCCCTAGAAGCAGGGAGTCCCTACCAGTCACAGGGTGGACAACAATGTCAGCGAAGTCTGCCGGTACAGAAGTCTGCTGTTAGCCTCAGCCTGGTTGCCCCCACCCACTCTCCTGTCTCCCCTTGCTGCAAGATGTTGAGTTCTTTGGGATACTTACTACTTGCTCTCCACCTTTTTTACTACTGAAAAAATTCAATTCCAGGCAAGCTGACTTCTCAAGCTCAGCTCCAGGGGTGGGAAGGTCAGTCCAGATCTTTTTTGGAAGCCACAGGGGGAGAATGTCAGAGGGCCACGAGGCTGGCCCCGCTGATCTACTCTGAGGCTGCTGCCTTGAATGAAAAAACAGAAGGGTTGGGAAATGGGGCTCCCACCTCTAGAACCTCTCATCTGAAACATCCCTCACAGCCAGCTGCTATGCTGTGCAGGACGGATAGGATTCATTGTGCTTGGGCGCCATGGTGGTCGGAGCGCACAGGAAGGAGTTTGTTCTCTTGGATTTATCTTTAATTTCTTCCATCTATCTGCCTCTGGTATATCCACTAAGAAGAATATTTGATCTTAAATGTACCTGCCATGTCTTTTCCGAAGGTCCCTTTGAAGGTTCATCACACATTCATAATGATCCCTCTGCATAAATGGGGCCAGCTGAGGCACACGGTGAGCAGGTGACTTGTTGTCACCTTGCTGAGTGGCACATATCATATCATGTCACCATGTCTTAGAAACTATTGCAGCGGCCCTCTAGCTCATCTCCCTGCCTTTAAATTGGCTCCCTCCAATATGTCTACAAATGGCTGCCAGAGTGATGTCTCTAAAACAAGCTTCACCACTTTACACCCTTGCTGAAAACCCCTTCATGACCTCATATTGAGTCCAAAACTTTTTTTTTTTTAAGACGGAGTCACTCCTCTGTCACCAGGCTGGAGTGGAGTACAGTGGCGGAATCTCGGCTCACTGCAACCTCTGCCTCCCGGGTTCAAGCGATTCTCCTGCCTCAGCCTCCTGAGTATCTGGGACTACAGGCACCCGCCACCACGCCCGGCTAACCTTTGTATTTTTAGTAGAGATGGGGTTTCACCATGTTGGCCAGGCTGGTCTCCAACTCTTGACCTCGTGATCTGCCCGCCTCGGCCTCCCAAAGTGCTGGGATTACAGGCGTGCACCACCGCACCCAGCCTCGAGTCCAAAACTTCTTAGCACAGCATACAAGTTCCCTGCTTACTTCCCCACCTCACCCATCATCCATTTCTGTCCATCTCACCTTCAGTCAGTACCAAGCAGCACTGAGTTCTCTGCTCATCCCATTTCATACCTCTGTGCCTTTAACACACTGAATTCTGCCCAGAGTCCCCACCCTACCTCCCACATACACACTGATACACAAGTTCCTATTAACCGCTCAGAATTCTGTTTGGGAACCTCTCCTACTAGAAGTTTATCATACCTGGCTATCTAGTCCCTTCCCAACAGAAGTAATTACTCCCTTCTCGGGATCTCTCTTGTGCTTGTTAGAGTTTATGGTCACTTACTTGTTTCACGTCTGCTCTCACTAATAGACTGTGAGCTTGTTCTCCTGGATTTATATTTTAGCTTCTCCCTTCTTTGTATTTGCCTCAGGTATATCCGCAAATCAGATATTTGATCTTAAATTTACCTACCATTTCTTTTCCAAAGGTCCCTTGAAGGTTCATCTCAAGTTCATAATTAGACTATAGGCTTTTTAAAAAATCTCTGGCCGGGCACAGTGGCTCACACCTGTAATCTCAGCACTTTGGGAGGCCGAGGCGGGTGGATCACCTGAGGTCAGAGTTTGAGACCAGCCTGGCCAACATGGAGAAACCCTGTCTCTACTAAAAATACAAACTTATCCGGGCGTGGTGGCATGGGACCTGTAGTCCCAGCTACTCAGGAGGCCGAGGCAGGAGAATCACTTGAACTGGGGAGGCAGAGGTTGCTGAGATCGTGCCATTGCACTCCAGCCTGGGCAACAAGAATGAAACTCCAGCTCAAAAAAAAAAAAAAAAAAATCTATTAACCACACAGTGCTTGGCATAGGAGATTCTTAGTAAATGTGTTGAATGGATAAACCAATAGAGAGAAGGGGTTAATGAGGTCTACAGTTCTGGCAAATCGGATTTGCTCCTGTCATTTGTCCAGATGAGTCAGATGAAATCCTAACTGGCAAATATGAAACTGTGCCCTTGGTAAGCTTAAAGTCTTTACAACCTAAGTTGAAGCTGGGGTTCACATTTGAGGAACTTAGGTTGAAGGAAGCAAGGGCCTGATTATATATCATATTGCAAGACTATTAAAATTCATCAGTCCTATCGGAGTACTTAAACTCCAGATTAAAAGAAAATAAATTCTGTGTTCTTCTTGTCACTTGTTTGGAGGATAAATGGTTCATTCTTACAGCAGATGTCTCACAGAACCAGTTTTGAAGCAGAAGTGAGTTAGAAGGAGAAATGTTCTCGATGTTTACTCATGCTTTAAAGGATGCAGTAAGCAGTGGTTTTGCCCAGTGATATTATGGGCAAGTATTGGCAAAGAGCAAACATATATGTGTGTGTGGTTCACATAGTCCCCAAGTCTCATGGCAGCATGCTGTTTAACGCAGCTGGCTGCAAATACTACATCGAATGTTAAAAGGTCCCATCCCCACTTGACAACTATATTATTACACAGCTCCCTCCCCGCAATGTCTCTTGTCTCATTTATTAGTCTAGGTGTAAAGAATACTGCTCGCATTGAAATTAAAAGAAAAATTTAGATCATCCTTAATCAGAATATAACCTGCCTCTCATTCCGCAGCCCTGCTCCCATCCCTCATGTGAGAACCTAATTCATTTCTACCACGTGTCTCAGTTTCCACTTGCTATTCTGCAGAGGAGATAAGCTGCTGTGACAATAGTTCTTCAAGACATCTTTGGTGCCTATTATGTGCCAGGCACCAAAGACAAAATAGGAAACCAGACAAATCCAGGGCTGGTCCCTTTAGCGTTGGTAGTCAAGTAAAAGATGTTATAGAGGCACTACATTTTCCTTCTAACAGTTTTGGTCCACTTGACATCAGGTATGTTCTTTATGGCATTTTGCAATTAACTCAGTTACACGGTCATAGTTTAGTCTGACAGTCTGGATGGAGGCAGGGGAAGGGGCGTGCAACTTTTGGCAACTCAAGAGTTGGAGCCAAGGGCTTTAGCACACAGAGGCTTGGGTATGCACTCAGAATTCTCAGTCTGAATCTTCCATAGACCTGCATTGTAGCCGGGAGTCTTCCACTATGGCCATGCCTGTCTGGGAAAGGGGACTTGCTGCTCATTTGCACAAATAAAGGCTTTAACCAGTTCCACCATAGTAGGGGTACTATGCTTACATCTCTAAAAGCGGGATTTTACTTGTGATAAGCTTTATACTTTCACATTCATCTTTCGTCATTTGATTTTCATAGTTGGTCCAGGTAGGTTCCATTACATGACATTATAGATACAAACCACTCAGTCAGGAAATAGCAAAACTGGGCTAAAACTCAGGGCTTCCGGCTGCATGAAAGACACTGGTCAAAGATCACTATGAAAGTCAAGCTGTGTAAAATGTTAAGCAAGTATTAAAGCCGCAGTATTTTCCCCCATCCTTTTACTGTTTTTCTTCACCACTTCCAACAATAAGAGCAACTGAAGAAACAATCCACTCAAACAGGAGGAAGAGGTCGGAGGAGGAGGAACAGAGTGGCATTTTCTACCTGGGAGCAAAGCACAATCACTTAGCAATGGAAGGTACAGAGAAAAGGATCTGTCTTCTCAATGAAACCACCCCCGGATATCGAAAATAAGGTGGCAGTTTTCATATTGCCCCAGGTGTCTGGGGTTTGCAATTTATCTAGAGTATAGTTTTGTCTGAAGACTGGCATTAAATATTCCTATAAATTATTATGAAATAACACAGGGATATTATAAAGGCATTCAAAGGCAAAAAAGCGTGTGCATATACATATGTGCATATAT